>NC_000014.9:67490500-67793531 GCF_000001405.40 Homo sapiens
TCTACAATGTGCTGGCACTCTCAAAAGCCACATCAGTTTTCATGCACATAGGATTCACTTCCCAAAGAGGCTACTGGCAGGAAATTCCCTTCGCACCATTTTCTCTCCTTTCCTATAACTATTTAAGGTAAGCTGGGCTTGCAGGATTGAGTCTCTGCTTCTCTGACCAGAACCTAAAAATCAGATCTCTCTCCCCGGCCCCTCATCATCTCCTTGGCCTGGAACCTAACACTGGAGCCAGAAAGCATGCAGGCAAATACTACCTCTGTTTTTTTACCCCCACTCTCCTTTTCCTTAACACTCCCCAAATCTCCCTGTAAAGGAAAAAAAGTTTTTTCCTTCTGCTCTCACACTCAAAGCAGAACACTTCTGTGACCAGATATGGGGTGGGCGTGGAGGGGGGCAGATATGCCCCCCATATCTGGTCACATTTCTCCAGCAGACACCAACTGGGTCTCCTACAGTTCATTTAAACTCTGATGCTATCTATCCTGAGATAGCAGCAGATCCCACATTCTGAGGGCTCAGTCCCACAAGACTGCCCCCACTTCAGATGCCAGTCACAAGTAGATCGTCACCTATACTTCTGAACAATTGGTTACAAACCAGGGTTCCCATGACCGCCTCCTTGGGTTCTATTAATTTGCTAGGATGGCTCACAGAACCCGGGGAAACACTTACCTTTACTGATTTATCACAAAGGGTGCAGATGAGCAACCAGATGCAGAGATGGATAGGGTGACGTATTGGGGGGTCACCCACCAGCACCGCCACATGTTCAGCCACCCAGAAACCTATCAAATCTTATTCAAGAGTTTTTATGTAGCTTGATCTCCACCCTCCCACACCTTTCTTGGAGGTTGGAGGGTGAGGCCAAATGTTCTAATCCTCTAAGCATTTGGTCTTTCTGGAGACTGGCTCCATCCTGAGGCTGTCTAGCCCCTCCACCACCCCACCACTTCCCCAGTAACTTCATTAGCATAAACTCAGGTGTTATCAAAGGTGCTTATTATGAATAACAAAAGACATTCCTTTCACTCAGGAAATTTCAAGGGTTTTAGGAGCTCTATGACAGGGACCCGGGACAAAGACCGAATACATTTCTTATTACACCGCACCCTGACCCAGGTGCCCACAAAGTAGAGAAGATGCCTAAAGGCCCACTGGGGAGCCCTCTGGTTACTCAAAGCCCCCAGTTCTTCTCACGTGACTCAGAACAACCACTTTTACTTATCCTAGAGTAAGAAAAGCCCTGAGCACAAATGGATCTGGTAACTTCCTACACCAAGGAGGGGCCAAGCTCAACTACAAAAGCAATCAGTATTCCAGATTCCCTGAGGGGAAAGCCTGTGTCTGTCCAGCTCCCCCAGGAAGCAAGGAGAGGCCCAGGCCGCGGGGGCCTGCCTGGCATGGGGAAGGTGCATGGAGATGGGAGCCAGGCCCCAACCCCACGGGGCCCTGTCCTTCCCCTCTGTGCCCCTTGCTCTGAGCTTGGAAGCTGCATTGCCCCACCTGCCTGACATCTCACCCCACTGTCTTCTGTCTCACTTGGAGGCCACCTGTCCTTTCCCTCTCCTCTCCCCCTTCCTCCTCCCCATCTAGCCCACTCTATCTCACATGCCCCTCTCAAAGTCCCCCACTGAGCAAACCCTGACCACCCAACTCCATCGCCTTGGAGGGTGGTCTCTGGTCCCACGTCTATTTCCTCCCATTCCCACCCCCGGCAATCAGTAGCTGCTGCTTGCTGCCTGAAAGGCTGGACAGCTGCTGGGCTCTCTAATTAGCTGCCTGGCCGCCGTCCCAGAGTGAGGCATGTGTTACTGTAAAGAGCTGCCTCACCTTGCCTTCATCAATAATCCCCTATGCAGATCCCATCAGGCAGCGGCTGAGAGGCCCTAGAATACTCTGCACATGAGACCAGCAAGCCTTCTCCTGTCAGTCAGAAAAAAGAGGCAGTGGCCTCACAGCCTCACTGGCAAAGTGACCAGGATTTTATCTGGGTTCTTCCCACTACTGCCCATGTCCTTAGGGTGTCCTGGAGGTTACCCTGCCACGCTGCACCTTCAGAAGTGATGGGGACCCTGCCCCTTTGTTGCCTCACCAGGGAGGCAGAAAGAAGCCCAGCAGGGCTTTCAGAAGACAAGCCTGGACCGCTCTTATGGTGTGACAACAGGACTCCGCTTTTCACAGCCTGTACAGCCAAGCCACCTAGAGATTTCTAAACAACAAGGGAACTTAGTCCAAGAAGTCCTGTGGTAGCTGGTTTATTTATTCAAGGTGTTATATTCCAGCAGTCAACAAATATTTACTGAGACCCAGTGAAGGCCAGGTACTGTACCATGTGTGAACAAGACAATGTTCCTGCCCCCTTGGAGCTCACAGGCAGGTGGGAGATCAGCAATAACTAAGCAGCTCTAAACATACTATAAGTTTTAATATTATGCCATGAAGATGGGGAAGGCCAGGTGGGGGAAATAAAGAAACCCGATGCTGGAAGGTGAGTCTTAAATGTTAAGGAGGTAGCATTTGGGCATAGGTTAGAAAGATGAGAAGAAGCCGTGCAAAGAACTTTGGGAAAAGCATTCCAGGCAGAGAGGACAGTTAGTGAAGAGACCCTGAAGTAGGAGAAAGTTAGACAAGTTTGAGAAACAGCAAGGCCAGAGTAGCTGGTGTTAGGCACAGTTTATCTTCAAAGGTTTCAGTTCCTTGTTCTTTGTTCTATTCTGAAAGTAATCTTACCCATCCATCTATCAGCCCTCCCTATCTCTGTTGCACCCAAACACGCCCAAGCATATGCCATCACCTGTGTACTTGTCTTTCCCGCCAAGTGCCCACCCTTGCCTCCTTTGATGATGTCAACAGTAGCCAATCGGAATTAGTTTAGATTGTGCGGTCCAACCCCAGCCAACACAGGGAGGACACAGGAACAGGGTCTGTGTTAGGGATAAAAACCCCTGCTCTCCTTTGTTCAGTGTGCTCTCGTGATCGTAACTGACACAGGCCGCACCCTTCTGCAGGAGTAAATTGCCTTGCTGAGAAAACTTTTTCTGCCTGAGTGCTGGTTTCACTTTGCGACACCAAGCTTTATTTCCAACACTGAGGGTCAGTGTGCTTTGGATGCTGTCAATACCCTGCCTGTTGGGGTGAGCATCAGGCCCCAGCCTGGCCAATCACAGCACCACATTCCCCTGGTTCTGTGATTGGTTCAGGGATGGATACATGCTCCAATCAGAGCCAATCCTGAGATTCTTGTTGGAATGGCCACAGAGACCACAAAAGAGGCATCCTTTTCTTTTTTGTTTTGGACTTGGAGCTATAAGGATGTCAGTCTGAAATTGACAGGGTAAGGCCAGGGGCAGTGGCTCACACATGTAATAAACTTATTTATTTATTTAAAAATAATTTTTTTTTAATTGAAGGATGAGAGTTGTTCTGGGGAATCTGTGACAGTTGCTGTCTGCTCTCCATCTGAACCAATCGGTACTGTTCCTTTCCTTAAGTAACAGTCCACAGGAAAGACCACCATGCACTCAGCTGGACACTGACCCCAGCCACACCAGGCACCTCCACCATAAGCCTTAAGCCCAACAACCCCTGCCCTTCACTCAGCCCCTTACTGGACAGCTCCATCTACTGAGAAAGCACCCAGTCTTGCTAATGCTTAAAATATGGCGCCAAACAGCACTTAGGCAAGAGTAATTAAAGGGAATGTTATCTCAGTCAGTCTCTCATTAACCATGTAATTAGACTGCTGAAAATAATTAACATTCCTTTTGACAAAGGATAAGAGGACCCATTACATTCATTAGGACAGCCTCAAACCAGCCTGAGAAAGGCCGAGAAGAGAATTTAGAAATGAGACCCAAAGAGGTTATGCAGCTTTCTCAAGGTCACAGTGCTAGTAAGGGCAGGGCTAGGATTTGAAGCCAGGCAGTGTGCCTGTGGGTTCTGTGCTCTATCAGAGAAGCAGCTGTGGGGGCTACAAGGTTTCAGCCAGCAAATCCAGGCACAGGAAGGGCCCTGAATTGGTGGTTATTGAATCTGGAGCAGCCAGGCCAATCGGCCCCGCCCCCACACACCATGCTTATACTCTGGACACGGGTTGAGAGGTAGGGGATGCCTAGACCAGCTCTTGTCAGTGCTCAGCAGGTACATCCCACCCTCCTGTCCACAGCCGGTGATGGCTGGCTGTGGTGCACAGAATCAGCATTCACAGAGAGGTGACCTGAAGACCCCAAGATCCAACAGAGGAACACAGAACGAAGGCTCGCCCAACATTTGACAAGAACCAAGGCTACAGAAGAAGCACCAAATTTTAAAAACAGAAGTGGCCAGATGCAGTGATTCAGGCCTGTAATCCCAGCGCTTTGAGAGGCTGAGGTGGGAAGATTGCTTGAAGTTAGGAGTTTGAGACCAGTCTGGGCAACATAGTGAGACTTTGTCTCTACATAAAAATTTAAAATTAAATAAAGCAAATGGGGCAAAATGTTAATCACAGGTGAATCTGGGTAAAGAGTATATGAGTGTTTTGTACTGTTCTGGCAACTTTTCTGTACATTTGAAATTATTTCTAAATAAAAAGTTTGGAGGCAAAAACATCAGGGACCCTCTTATTAGGACAGGGGGTGGGGCCCAGGAACAGACATGGAGGCAAATCCAGGGAGAACCACACTGGTCATCAGAGGTCTCCACTGGGCACAAAAATTCCAGCTCTGGGGTTTCCGCCTGCCAAATCCCTCCTGGAAACATTTCCTCTTCCAATTTGGCCCTCCTTTTTCTTGCTTCTCCATTGATTTACTCCCACCTCCTCCTCCCAGGATCAACAACCTTGCAGAAGGCATCCATCCTAATGCCAGAAGACGGGGTTAAACTTTGGAGTGTATCCGTATATGTAGTTAATATTTCCTGGAGATATTTTGACACCTGTTTTGTCCACAGCCCATAATAATGAGTCAGGTTACATTTGTTAAATCACAGCCTTCTGGATTTTTTTTTTTTTCAGATGGAGTTTCACTCTTGTTGCCCAGGCTGGAGTGCAATGGCACAATCTCAATTCAGTGCAACCTCCGCCTCCCAGATTCAAGCGATTCTCCTGCCTCAGCCTCCTGAGTAGCTGGGATTACAGGTGCCCCGCCACCATGCCCAGTTGATTTTTGTACTTTTAGTAGAGATGGGGTTTCACTGTGTTGGCCAGGCTGGTCTTGAACTCCTGACCTCAGGTGATCCACTCACCCCGGCCTCCCAAAGTGCTGGGATTACAGGCGTGAGCCACCATGCCCAGCCAGCCTTCTGGATTTTATATTTTATTTCCCCTAAAGTTACATGCTATTCCAAGTCACACTGCCTGACTTAGGCCTTGAGGCCATGTTCCTACCTTCTGATCTCTCAGGCAGGCTTTCTAGGGTAGGTGCCCCATTTCAACACCTCAGCACCATCACAGCCACCTAATTCCAAAGCAAAGCCCTCAGACACAGGCACAGCCTCCTCCTCAGGTTCACTGTCACAGCTGTGTGTGGCCATGTTAGATAACGCACAGCCAAACAGCTGAAAGAGTCTTTACCCACTGTAGTCCCAGCTATTCAGGACACTGAGGTGGGAGGATTGCTTGAGCCCAGGAGGGCAAAGCTGCAGTGAGCTGAGATGGTGCCACTGTACTCCAGCCTGGGTGACAGAGTGTGACCCTATGTCTTATTATTATTTTTAAAAATTTTGTATCTATTTATTTATTTATTTTGAGACCAGGTTATGAGACTGGCTAATTTTTGTATTTTTGGTAGAAACAGGGTTTTGTCATGTTGCCCAGGCTGGTCTCAAATTCCTGGGCTCAAGTGATCCACCCATCTTGGCCTCCCAAAGTGCTGGGATTACAGGTGTGAGCCACTGCTCCGGCGTTTTTTTTTTTTTTTTTTTTTTTTTTTTTTGAGACAGGGTCTGGCTCTGTCACCCAGGCTGGAGTGCAGAGGCACGATCTCTGCTCACTGCAGCCTCTGCTACCCAGGTTCAATAGGGTGTGCGATGACTCTTGAGAAATTAGTTTGTGAAGAAAAGGAGAGAGAAAAGCTGCTGGAAGAGAAGTAGACGTGAGAGAGGTGTCCTCCCTCTCCCTCCCTCCTTTCTTCCTATTCTTTTCCCTTCCCCTTTTCTTTCTTTCTCTCTCTCTCTCTTTCTTTCCTTCCTTCCTCCCTCCTTTCTTCCTATTCTTTTCCCTTCCCCTTTTCTTTCTTTCTCTCTCTCTCTCTTTCTTTCCTTCCTTCCTCCCTCCCTCCCTTCCTCCCTCCCTCATTTCTGTCTTTCTTTCTTGCTTGCTTGCTTGCTTGCCAGAGTTTCATTCTTGTTGCCCAGGCTGGGGTACAGTGGCGCAATCTCAGCTCACTGCAACCTCTGCCTCCCGGGTTCAAGTGATTTTCCTGCCTCAGCGTCCTGAGTAGCTAGGATTACAGGTGCCCGCCACCACACCTGGCTAATTTTTGTATTTTTAGTAGAGATGGGGTTTCACCATGTTGGCCAGGCTGGTCTCCTGACCTCAGGTGATCGGCCCGCCTCAGCCTCCCAAAGTGCTGGGATTACAGGCCTGAGCCACCGTGCCTTTCTTTCTCTCTCTCTCTTTCAAGATAAGAGAGACCTAAGGATGTTTAAATGGTAAGGAGAAATCACAGCGAGGGAGAGCTCGTGGGTGGTGTATATGCTGCGGGCACACACGAATGCCCTGGGTTGTCTGGGGTCACGGGAGGGCAGCACAGTGAGCATCCGTCCCGAGGTTAGGCCAGATGCATGTGTCATGGTCATCCCCTTTACAGAGAGGAGACCCAGGCACGTGGAGTTAAGTGTAACCTGCCTAAGGTCATACAAATACCGAGACACTGTAGCGCAGGCCGAGAACGCAGGTATCCCAGTCCTGGGCCCTCCTTCCAGTGCCGGGATGAGGAAGAACTGACGGGCAGCTCCGTCAGCACTATGGTAGGTGGGGAATGCCACAGATACTTACAAGTGGACACCTGGAATGCAATTCCCACGTGACCAACAAAAGAACTCTCCCACATGACTTTGGAACGTTCTACTGGACATCACAGAGGTAAAATGTCCATTTATAATTATCTATATCAAGATCCTAACTCCCTTTCTAAAATAAACACAGGCGGTTTTTGCACGATTTTAACACATGCTGAGTTGTCTAGGAACACCATTAGCATGCAAAATGGAGGGGATACTGTACTTTGTGTTCTTTTGAGCTTCACCAGGAATGGTTCAGCATTTTGGAAAGTCACGTCAACCCCAGCAGCACCTCTCCTGGTATTTGAGTCACCCACACAGTACACCTGTATCTTGTGGGTGTTTGTGTATGTTACATTCTCGGTGAGTCTATGTAAAGGTTCAAGCATCTGACTGCATCCTTCTGCCTTCTGTATGGTTGTGCCCAAGCAACCACATATTAGAATACATAATGATGTATTGCTGGGGCTCAGAAACCAATACCTCAAGGTCTCTCTGACCTTCTCCCCACTACCCGTCAACACTCCCAAAGGAGGTTGAAGTTCTCTGAAGTTCTTTTATCTGCCTAAGATCCAGAACCGCCAAAGAGAACAATTGTTTTTTCTTCTCCTCTGTAAGACCAAGAATGTAACCACACCTGAAAACCACCTGAACGCCTTTACAGATTAATCTCTGTTCCCGATCCATTCATTCCTCCCTCATAATCTTTTATTACCCATCAACAGAATTCCTCTTTGCCCCTCTCCCATACCTGGTTTGCCAAGACGTTCTATAAGCTTCTGAGCCACGATGGGGGGTGGGCAATCACTCTGTGGTTCTCCCTGTGCACACATTAGTAGAGTTTATATGCTTTTTCTCCAATTAATCTGAGTTTTGTGAGTTGATTTTTCAGCAAACCTTCAGAAGGCAAAGGGGAGACTTTGCTTTGACCCCTACAGTATTATAACTAACTTTCCCTTTATTTCTTTCTCCTTTAGAGTATGGTTGAGGCATTATACTGACTCTTAAAAACTTATATTTGCAAATATTTACTAAATAAAAGACAGGGCTACCATTTCAGATAATGTGCCCTAAAAGCAAGGGAAACTGCAATGCCAAGAAAGACGAAGGAATGAGCAGAATTAGGGTGGCTTCAAGTGATCAGTCTCCCAGAATAAAGGCAATGTGTTTTGTTGTTGTTGGTTTTCCTTTTTAAGACAGAGTCTCCCTCTGTCGCCCAGGCTGGAGTCCAGTGGCGTGATCTCGGCTCACCGCAGCCTCCATCTCCTGGGTTCAAGCAATTCTCCTGTCTCAGTCTCTCGAGTAGCTGAGATTATAGGTGCACACCACCATGCCTGATTAATTTTTTTTGTATTTTTAGTAGAGACAGGGTTTCACCATGTTGGTCAGGCTGGTCTTGAACTCCTGACCTCAGCTGATCCACCCACCTTGGCCTCCCAAAATGCTGGGATTACAGGCAGGAGCCACTGAGCCCAGACAAGGCAATGGTTTTATTTATTTATTTATTTATTTATTAGTTATTTAATTTTAGAAACAAGGTCTTGCTCTGTTGCCCAGGCTGGAGTTCAGTGGTGTGATCATAGGTCACCATAAACTCAAACTCCTGGGTTCAAGCAATCTTCCTGCCTTAGCCTCCTAAGTAGCTAGGACTACAGGCACATGGCACAACACCCAGGTAATTTCTTAATTTTTTTGTAGATATGGGGTCCTGCTATGTTGCTCAGGCTGGTCTCAAACTCCTGGCCTCAAGTGATCCTCCTGCCTCGACCTCCCAAGGCACTGGGATTATAAGTATGGGCCACTGTGCCCCACTAATGGTCTTTTATTGATATCAACTGGGTACACAGACAATGTAGTCAACCTCTGGAGCTTAAGAAAACTATTCAGTTTGGCACCTTTGGGAAATTTCATTTCCCTGATTAATTCAAATTACACTATATCTCAGCATTTTCCAGCATAGTGACAATAGGTAGAAGACCACAGGTTATCTCTACAGGCCAGGGAAATGATAAATGTTTCAATGTCTGGAGGCAAAGATGTGTTTAGATGAAGTCAAATAAATAGGTGCCAGGCTTGGTCTGTGGAATATCTTCCTTAATGGACAAGAAGATGAGTAAACAGTATGTAAGAGGATGCTTTAGTATATTTATGGAAAATGCTATATCGTGAGGAAGCATGGACAGGAATAGGGGCAGAGAAGTGATGATCCCAGAAGACCTCCAATAGGTTAAAAAGGCAGTGCCAGAAATACTTATGGCTCAGACTCTGAGAAGGGCTGGTTATTTAATGGTGGGGGAAAGGCAGCCTCAATTCCCACAGGCATGACCATCACTGCTAAACAGGGACAAAGGGTTAAAAAAAAAAAGTTATGCCCTTCAATTGACGGGATAGCTTATTCATCCTCCACCATCTGAAGACACCTGGGGGCTGCGGATTAAGGAGGGGAGTGGTCTCCTGGCCAGTGGAAGGTCCAGAAACAGGACTTTTTAGGCCTGGCTCTACCATTGATACTTGTAACTCCCAGTCATAGCTCCTCTACAGTTTTTGCATCAAAAAAGTGAATAAGGGTACAGAGTCTCTGCCCGTAGTCCCAGCTACTCACGTGGGAGGATACCTTGAGCTATGATCACACCACTGCACTCCAGCCTGGGCAACAGAGTGAGACCCTGTCTCTTAAAATAAATAAATAAATAGAAAACAATAGGCCATATGCGGTGGCTTATACCTGTAATCCCAGCACTTTGGGAGGCCGAGGTGGGTGGATCACGAGATCAGGAGTTCAAGACCAGCCTGGCCAACATGGTGAAACCTTGTCTCTACTAAAAATACAAAAATTAGCTGGGCATGGTGGCGGGCGCCTGTAATCCCAGCTACTCGGGAGGCTGAGACAGGAGAATCTCTTGAACCCGAGAGGCAGAGGTTGCAGGTGAGCTGAGCTCTCACCATTGCACTCCAATCAGGGCAACAAGAGTGACACTCCATCTCAAACAAAACAAAACAAAAACAAAAACACAATAGAACACTTTAGATTCCTTTATTGTGCGTTTCTGTGTTGCTTTTATGATTTTCCATGTGCATTTGGATTTTTTTTTTTTTTTTGAGATGGAGTCTCGCTCTGTCCCCCAGGCTGGAGTGCAGTGGCGCGATCTCGGCTCACTGCAACCTCCACCTCCCAGGTTCATGCCATTCTCCTGTCTCAGCTTCCCGAGTAGCTGAGACTACAGGCGCCCGCCACCACGCCCGGCTAATTTTTTGTATTTTTACTAGAGACGGGGTTTCACCGTGTTAGCCAGGATGGTCTCGATCTCCTGAACTTGTGATCCGCCCGCCTCGGCCTTCCAAAGTGCTAGGATTACAGGCATGAGCCACCGCGCCTGGCCTGGATATTTTTTAAAGTTTTAAAACATCCAGTCAAAGCAGCTATAAGAATTAATCGCAAATTGACTCAAATGAGTAGCTGCATCATCTTCCAGATGAAAGTAGAAGAACAAGGTTCATTTGGGATCCAAAGAAACATCCAGGTATAGAAAATGCCTCCAGGTATACTTGGGGGTTAATAATAATAATAATAATAATAATAATAATAATAATAATAAAGAAAATGCCTCTAGGAGCCAGCTGCTCTGCATGAGCTAACTTGGCCTAGGGGCAACAGGTCCCAACTAGCTTGAACGAAATGCAAACCTCCAGCAGGTACTCCCTGCCCTGAGGACACATCAGTTCATCCCAGAGTCATGGCAGTGGAGTTAGGAGAAACGGAGGGATTGTCTCACAGGCTAGAACTAGGGTGAGACAAGACATGCACTCAGCTCAGACACAAAATTTAAGGGAGTGCCAAAATATTTAGTAATCAAGATAAACGATACCTTATTATTTTTATTTATTTATTTTTGAGACAGGATCTTGCTCTGTTGGCCAGGCTGGAGTGCAGTGGCATGATCATAGGTCACTGCAGCCTCGACCTCCTGGGCTCAAGTGATCCTCCCACATCAGCCTCCCAAAGTGCTGGGATTACAGGCATGAACTGCTGCACCCAGCCAAGATAAATGATATTTTAAAAAATCAAGTTGGTAAGCCATGGCCACAGGCTATAGTTATATTGGAGCCAGGGCTGAGATTAGGGACAGGCCAATGAGGCAGGGTCCCAGGTGAGGTTCTGTTATGTTTGAAGAGCCCAAAGACCTGTCCTGCTCCAGTGCCAAAGGCATCTCTGTTGAGGAAGGTCGTATAGCACCAAAGTCCCCTATCTAAGAGCCTTGGAATTCAGAATTCTAAAGATTTTTTAAAAGGTAATGTAGAGCACATATCATAAATTACATAATCCTCACAGCAGGGTCTGGGGCAGCACCCACTAATCAAGCACATTCACGTTTCTATGGTGACATCTACGAATATTCATACTGTGCAATGTGAGCCTCTGTTAGACCAAGTCAGATTCTTCTGTCACTTGAGTGAAAGAAAATCTTTTGGTTTTATAGTGCTTCAGATTTCAAAATTGCAGATAAAGGACTGTGGGCCTTAATAGCATGACGTTAGGTCTCCTAAAGAAAAAAGGCAACAGACTGGGCACTGTGGCTCACACTTGTAATACCAACACTTTGGGAGGCCAAGGTGGGTGGATCACCTGAGGTCGGGAGTTTGAGACCAACCTGACCAACATGGAGAAACCCTGTCTACTAAAAATACAAAAATTAGCTGGGTATGGTGGCATGCGCCTGTAGTCCCAGCTACTCGGGAGGCTGAGGCAGGAGAATCACTTGAACCTGGGAGGTGGAGGTTGCAGTGAGCCGAGATCGTGCCATTGTACTCCAGCCTGGGCAACAGAGTGAGACTCCATCTCAAAAAAAAGAAAAGAAAGAAAAAAAAAGAAAAAAATGCAACAGATAGGACCCAAACTTTTGTTATAAACTTGTGCTGAAAAAAGAACTGCAAAGTCCTTGCTGGTGATCACCCAGAAGGTGATTTCTTTTTTTTTTTTTTGAGACTGAGTTTTGCTTTGTTGTCCAGGCTAGAGTGCAATGGCATGATCTCAGCTCACTGCAACCTCCGCCTCCGAGATTCAAGCAATTCTCCTGCCTTAGCCTCCTGAGTAGCTGGGATTACAGCCATGTGCCACCACGCCTGGCTAATTTTGTACTTTTAGTAGAGACGGCATTCCTCCATGTTGGTCAGGCTGGTCTCAAACTCCCGACCTCAGGTGATCCACCCACCATGGCCTCCCAAAGTGCTGGGATTATAGGCGTGAGCCACCGCGCCGGGCCCCAGAAGGTGATTTCTAAAGGTCAGTCAAGGCCAAAGCAGAGTGACCACAGGGCTTATTTCCCAGCAGCCAACCAACCAACTTTATTAAATACTTTCTGTGTGTAAAACCTTGTACAGGGTCCTGAAATGTATTAAGATTTACAAAACAAAGTTCCAGCCTTTGGGAGCTTAAAAATTAGTGGAGACAATATGGTAAGCAAAACAACCATGGAATATTAAAAACTGAAGGGATATCATCCGGACACACACTTTAAAGATGAAACCAATGTTCAGGGAAGTTGAGAGCCTTGCGTAAGTTAGCAGACAAGCAGATAACCGCACGCTAACAAGCAGATAGTGGCGCTGCACGGAGAGATCAGGATCTGTGTTTGCCAACTGTTGTTCACTGTCCTTTGCATAAAAGCACATAATAATTGTGACCTGGTGACAAAATGACAAGAGGAGTTAAAAGATCCTAACAGAAGTGGTTTTGGTTAAACAAACTTGCAGCAGAGATGGTCTCTGGCTTCTAAAAGGACTACAGTTTGGGTAGGCAGCAAGGCAGGTGAGTGCCCTTCAGGCAGTGGAACAACTGAAGCAGGGGTGGGCGTGTGTATGCCAGATTAGTTGTGCAAGTGGATTAGGCTCTAGGAAAGGGCATAGAAGGATTTCCTGGGGGCGCTGGGGAGATACGTTTGGAAAAGCGTGTAAAGGCTATGGAGAGCTTGAATGACAGGGCAAAGGACGTCAATTACCTCCTAAGGCAGCATTTCCCATCCCTGCATGCCACCTTCATGACTCGGCATGGCTGCCCACTGCCCTGCGGGAAATGACAGAGGGTAGCAGTTTAAAAGTCCACACTCTGGAGTCAGATTCTTTCCATTCAAATCCCAGCTTTGACACCAATTATGTGACTTGGACATGCTGCTTCACCTCTCTGCCTCAGCTTACTTTTTTTAAATTATTTTTATTTTTTATTTATTTATTTTTGAGACAGAGTCTAGCTCTGTCACCCAGGCTGGAGTACAGTCGTGCGATCTCAGCTCACTGCAACCTCCACCTCCTGGGTTCAAGCAATTCTCCTGCCTCAGCCTCCCGAGTAGCTGGGATTACAGGTGCTCACCACCATGCCTGGTTAATTTTTGTATTTTTAGTAGAGACAGGGTTTCACCATGTTGGCCAGGCTGGTCTTGAACTCCTGACCTCGTGATCTGCCTGCCTCAGCTTCCCAAAGTGCTGGGATTACAGGCGTGAGCCACTGTGCCCAGCCTATTTTTTAATTTTTATTTTTATTATTTTTGAGACAGGATCTCGCTCTGTCACCCAGGCTGGAGTGCAGTCGTGCGATCTCGGCTCACTGCAGCCTCTGCCTCCTGGGTTCAAGCGATTCTCCTGCCTCAACCTCCTGAGTAGCTGGGATTACAGGCGCCCACCACCATGCCCAGATAATTTTTGTATTTTTAGTAGAGATGAGGTTTCACTGTGTTGGCCAGGTTGGTCTCGGACTTCTGACCTCAAGTGATGCGCTTACCTCAGCCTCCCAAAGTGCTGGGGTTGCAGGCGTGAGCCACCGTGCCCAGGCTCAGTTTGTTTGTAAAATAGAGAAAATATAAGTACGTTCCTCATGAGGATTAAGTGAGAAAGCATGTTTACTGTACTACAAACAGCAACCTGGCATTATAAGCTACCAATAAATGTCAGTTGTTGTCACTAACCTTTTCATTTAAGTCAGTTTTTTTTTCAGTTATATATGTACTGTAGCCTTGTTCTAAGCAATAATATCCACAAAATCATGGGCTTATTGTGACAATGATGGTTTTGATGATACACATATAACAAGATGTTAAATCAAAAAAATAAATAAAAAACAATAGGCCATGTGCGGTGGCTCACACCTGTAATCCCAGCACTTTGGGAGGCCGAGGTGGGTGGATCACGAGGTCAGGAGTTCAAGACCAGCCTGGCCAACTTGGTGAAACCCTGTCTCTACTAAAAATACAAAAATTATCTGGGCGTGGTGGCGGGTGCCCATAATCCCAGCTACTCGGGAGTCTGAGGCAGGAGAATCTCTTGAACTTGAGAGGCAGAGGTTGCAGGTGAGCTGAGATCTCACCATTGCACTCCAATCAGGGCAACAAGAGCGACACTCCGTCTCAAACAAAACAAAACAAAAACAAAAACAAAAACACAATAGAACACTTTAGATTCCTTTATTGTGCATTGCTGTGTTGCTTTTATGATTTCCCAAGTGCGTTTGGATATTTTTTAAAGTTTTAAAACATCCAGTCAAAGCAGCTATAGGAATTAATCAGCAAATTGACTCAAATGAGTAGCTGCATCACTTTCCAGATGAACACCAAGGTGCACCAAGATGCAACAGGTATAATGCTCGTAAGTGTGACACCAAAGAAGGATGCGCATTTTCAAAAGAGGTGCGCAAGGGCCCCTCTCTCAAGCTGAGGGTATAGAGGGTCAGAATGGGCAGAGACTGGGGAAAAATCTTTGTGGAGGAATTTTGGGGTTGCTGTTAGTGTGCTGTGATATCTCACCCTGTCCCCATAGAAAACTGGCCCTCCTGTCAAGCTGGTGAGAGGGGAATTCACCAGGACCACTCAGGAAACTTGATGTCTGTCCCCTGCAACTGGGAGGACATGGTGGACTGGCATCTGATCACCTCTTGAGACATCCAAAGGGTGGGACACACGTTGGCCATCTGCTGTTGGAGGAGCCAAGGGAGACTGCTGAGCTGGGGTCAGCCTGCCTTCCCAGGTTCACTGTGCCCAGGGATGTGTGATTGTTTCCTTGAACTAATGTGGGCCACATGCACTAATGTGGGCTGGCATGAGGTCAGAGCAGGTCTTCTCTGAGATGGTCTCTTGGGCAGACTGAAGGACCTTAGCTGAAAGAGGCTAGAGGTGAACCACTGGATTTCAGGGGCTGAGGAAGGAGCAATGATCTAGAATAGAGGATAATTTGCTCTTTTTTTTTTTTTTTAAACAGATTCTTGCTCTGTTGCCCAGGCTGGTATGCAGTGGTGCGATCTCAGCTCACTGCAACCTCTGCCTCCAGGGTTCAAGCAATTCTCCTGCATCAGCCTCCCTGGGATTACAGGCGCCCGCCACCATGCCTATCTAATTTTTGTATTTTTAGTAGCGACAGGGTTTCCACCATGTTGGCCAGGCTGGTCTCGAACTCCTGACCTTGGGTATCCGTCCATCTCAGCCTCCCAAAGTGTTGGGATTACAGGTGTGAGCCACCTCACCTGGCTGATAATTTGTTCTTTTCAAGACAATAGAAGTGAGACATCCCAGCAATTGGGAGGGTAAGGAGAGTTCTCTGAGAATCCGATAAAAATATGGACCAGGAAGCTGGAAGCCAGCAGAGTGTACCCAGTGAGCACTTTCCTGCCCCTCCCAGTCCAGTGACAAAGGAGTGGATGTATTTTTATTTTATTTTATTTTTTAGTTTTTTCCATGGGACTCTGCTTCATAAAGCGGGTGTATTTTGTACCTAGTTGAGACTATGCTTGTAAGACTTAAAGTGATCACAGAACCGTCTCCTATGAATAACCAGAAAAGTTACAGGGCCTAAGTTTTCACCCTAGACCAGGGAAAGAACTAATCCCACTGGATAAACATAAAGAGACAGTGGGAGGCAAAATTAAGTTGCTTGATGAGTACATTCCAATGAGTCATGTTTCTTTACACTCATTAGAAACATAGCTATTAAAATGAAATGTTTGTCCTTGTACCAAATGAAATCATCTCTCATCCCCCCAGTAGCATGGTACCCCCCATAAAAATAATGGGGATAGGGGAATAAGAGGTGAGGAAAATGTAAGACAGGTAGGGATGGAAAATATTGGTTTGGTGGGTTCAGTGGGAACTCATTTGCTCCTCAACCTTGAATATGATGAAATGAAAATAGAAGGAATGAAAGAATCCAAGGGTCCTTAGAAAATGGCTTTGTTTGGGCCAGGAGTGGTGGCTCATGCCTGTAATCCCAACACTTTGGGAGGCCAAGGCAGGCAGATCATGAAGTAAAGAGATCGAGACCATCCTGGCCAACGTGGTGAAACTCCATCTCTACTAAAAATACAAAACTTAGCTGGGGGTGGTGGCATGCACCTGTAGTCCCAGCTACTCAGGAGGCTGAGGCAGGAGAATGGCTTGAACACAGGAGGCAAAGGTTGCAGTGAGCTGAGATCGTGCCACTGCATTCCAGCCTGGCGACAGGGCCAGATTCCATCTAAAAACAAAAAAGGAAAGAAAGAAAAAGAAAAAGCCTTGTTCAAAGGGAACTGAAGATAGCCTAGCCATAGCCCAATTCCATGAACAAAGAAGACGTGGTCCCTGAGTTCCTGGGCTGAGTATATGGTTTAGCCTTGCCCTTTCAGGTAGTTAGGGCAACAGAGGGGGTTATACTCTCGCTAACACTGAGTTGCCCAGAAAGCACCAGCTAAATTAGCCAGGTGCTAATATAGGTGGTGCAACTACAGTCCTAGCTACTTGGGAGGCTGAAGTGGGAGGATTGCTTGAACCCAGGAGTTCAAGGCTACAGTGAGCTATGATTATGCCACTGCACTCCAGCCTGGGTGACAGAACAACATCCTGTCTCTAAAATAAACAAAAACAAAAACAAAAAAACATCAACCAGAGACCTCAAGTTCTGGAGACCCAAGTGGCAGAGGAGCAGGGATAGGGGGAAGAATCCTGGACTGAAGCAGACCCTGGAGTCCCCAGGGTCTCGGTCTTTTGTCCAAGCTGGAGTGCAGTGGTGTGGTCACAGCTCATTGCAGCCTCGACCTCCCAGGCTTAAGTGATCCTCCCACCTCAGCCTCCCAAGGAACTGGGAGTACAGACATGCGCCACCATGTCCAACTAATTTTGTGTAAAGACAAGGTCTCACTGTGTTGCCTAGGCTAGTCTTGAACTGGCAAGTGATTCTCCTGTTTCCATCTCCCAAAGTGCTAGGATTACAGGTGTGAGCCACCCTGCCTGGCTCAGTTTAAGTTTTAAGACAAGACATAAAGGTTGCTCCCCATGACATAGGAATGGTGAGTATAAGGGTGTACAGACACCACCTCTCAGCTGCCCCACTGAAGCGGTTAAAAGAGCAATGACTGGGCTGGGCATGTTGGCTCACGCCTGTAGTCCCAGCACTTTGGGAGGCTGAGGCCGGCAGTTCACCTGAGGTTGGGAGTTCCAGACCAGCCTGACCAACATGGAGAAACCCTGTCTCTACTAAAAATACAAAATTAGCCGGACGTGGGGGCGCATGCCTCTAATCCCAGCTACTCGGGAGGCTGAGGCAGGAGAATTGCTTGAACCCGGGAGGTGGAGTTTGCTGTGAGCCGAAGTCACATTGCACTCCAGCCTGGGCAGCAAGAGCTAAACTCCATCTCAAAAAAAAAAAAAAGAGCAATGACTGGTCCTAGTCCCCCTTCTTGAGAAGGGACTTCCTCCAGCTCTGACTTTGTTCCTTAGCTTCCAGTTTGACTTCTTTCTCCTTCAACACCATCTCTTCCCTCCCAACTCTGACTTCTGACAGTTCCAGACCAGCTGAGTTATTTCCTGAAAAAGGCTGGAACCTCAGCCTTTCTCAGGAAAGGCTGGATCATCTAGCATTATTACCTGAAGAGAGGTTAGAGAATATCTTGTCCAAATGATAAGAAAACTAAAAGCCAAAAAACTTGCATCACACGCCCAGAGTCACTGAGCTGTGAGGAGAACCCAAGTCTCCTGACCCCTTGCACACTGTTCCATCATACAGCCTCACGCTAGCTCTCCAAGAGGGGTCAGCTCACCTTCCTTGGACCACCACCTTAACCCTCATTCCTCTTCCATGAATACTTCAAAATGGTGGAAGAGGCCAGGTGTAGTTCTGCACCTGTAGTCCCAGCTACTTGGAAGGCTGAGGCTAGAGGATCCCTTGAGCCCAGGAGATAGAGGGATAGAGGCTTCATTGAGCTGGGATTGTGCCACTGCACTCCAGCCTGGGTGACAGAGCAAAACCTTGTCTCAAAAAAAAAAAAAAAAAACAGAAGACAATTAACTTGCTTGGAACAAACAAGAATGGATCCCAATCTACTAGCTGGTCACCTTTGAATGGAGAAATCAGTGGCTATAAATATTTTCTCAGAAGAACAGAATAATCTCATGTTTGCTGTACTTTGCTCAGTGTAGCTGGGACCCCAGAGTCATAATCAGGTCTCCACAGCTGAATTATAATGATGGGCAGGGAAAGGCCCAGAAACTAGGTTGGAGGATGAGGATTGGGGTCAAGAATCTGCAAAGATAAGCTTCTATGACTAGTGGCAGTAGGACAACAGAAATAAAAATGTTGCCCAAACAGACCGTTAAGCAAGAGGAAAATTTTGGTTTCAAAATGAAATGGGGTTTATGAGATGTATTCCTATGCCAAGCAGAAAGCGTGTTCCCTTTACAGTAACTCCCAGGCCATCTGGTCTACTTCCCTACTGCAGGGTACAGACCTCTCCTTACTGAACATTCATTGAGATGATGTTTTTCAAACAAGAATCTGTACTTCTGTCTCCTTTTAACTAGTTGTGTTTAATCCACATCAACTCTCTCTTTTTTTTTTTGAGACGGAGTTTCACTCTTGTTGTCCAAGCTGGAGTGCAATGGCATGATCTCTGCTCACTGCAACCTCCACCTCCCAGGTTCAAGCGATTCTCCTGCCTCAGCCTCCCAAGTAGCTGGGACTACAGGCACGAGCCGCCATGCACAGCTAATTTTTGTGTTTTTAGTAGAGATGGGGTTTCACCATGTTGCTCAGGCTGGTCTTGAACTCCTGACCTCAGGTGATCCACCCACCTCGGCCTCCTAAAGTGCTGGGATTACAGGCATGAGCCACCGCACCTGGTCAATTCTCCTTTTTATGTGTTAACCTATACTGCCTCCACTTTTACCCTCTCCCCAACATTTGGTCTATTATCTGATCCAAGCTTATAAAACACAATAGATTCAGACTGGCTGGGAGATGTGGCTTATCCCTGTAATCCCAGCACTTTGGGAGGCTGAGGCAGGAGGATTGCTTGAGGCCAGGAGTTTGAGACCAGCCTGTGCAACATAGCGAGTTATAAAGACTCTGTCTCCATATAAACAATTTTAAAAGTAGCTAGGTATGGTGGCACATGCCTGTAGTCCTAGGGAGGCTGAGGCAGGAGGATCACTTGAACCCAGGAGTTCAAGGCTGCAGTGAGCTATGATTGTGCCACTGCACTAAAGCCTGAGCAACAGAGAGAGAACCCGTCTCTAAAAAAATTTTTTTATTAAAAAAAAAAAGAATCAGATAGATCTCAATTCAAATCCCAGTTTAGACACTTACTAGCTGTATGATATGGGTGATCACTTTATCTTGCAGAGCCTCAGTGTTTCCAGCTGTGAGATGGGGATAATTAATAGTAGCTATCTCATTGATATGAGAAAAGAACATATGTAAATGCTTAGCCTAATAAATGGTGATTGTCATTATTATTGCCATGATCACTGAAGCCAGCTGAAGCTCTATTTGTGGAATTAAGTCTCAGAGGGCTGAAATGGGCTGTCCAAGGTCACACAAGTGAGTGAGTCAGGGAGGGATCCCAGATTTCCTGATTCCTGAAGCCTTTGCCAACCATCAGCTCACACACAGACGAATCATTGCCCAATGACCTAGAAATCGGGGTATCTGATCACATCCAAGTACCACAGCTGGTGATTTAATAAGCACTCACCATGTGTTAGAAACTGTGCAGGCTATATGAAAGCTTTATAGCATCTATAGGTCAGTATAAGAAGGTCATCTCATTGCTTATGCCAAACTAAAAGAAAAAGAAAAAGAAAACAAGACAAAAATCTGGAACCGCTGCTTGTGTTGCCCAGTGGTAATGATATTTCTTGTCCATGTGTGTTTTAAGAAAGTAGATGAAAGTAAGACCAATGCTCTGGCTGCCTTATTCCTGGCTTTGAACAGGCCTTTTTGATTGGGAACAAGGGGAAGAGAGATACTAAGGACTTAGGGACTAAAATGGGGTTTGGCCAAGGACAGCAATGAAAAAGGAGATGGGGGTTGTCAGTGGGCTAAAAACAAGTCCCTGTCGGTGCTCTGAAGAATGGCAGTTATTGTCAGCAAGGTGGGCTTCTCGCTGCACCAGGGCCTGTCCCTCCACTGACTGTGCAAGCAATGAAACCATGGAGCCCCAGGAAGCACATTTTATCTTGAAGCATGAATCACCCCTCAGAAGTCTAGAAAAGAATCCTCTCTTTGTGGCCCTTCAATCTCCTTGGCTGGCATCCCTAGCTCCTCAGGGCTGATGTCAAGGCCTTACTAAAACTCAGGGTGAGTGACCTTTCCAATGGAAACGGATCATTCCAGAAGCTCATGTGACAGGGGTGCCTCTTAATAACTGAAAGGAAACAATGAATGAATGGGCCAGCTAGATGGCATTCGTCATTCAAGTCTAACTGCAAAAGCAGTCAGAAGTGGATAATCCAGTATGTTCTGAATGAGGGGCTTTTGGAAAGCAAAGGAATGGCAGAAAGTGATCTCTCCCCTCATCTTTTCATATTTATTAGCTCTCCCTACATTAATTGACAGCTGAAGTCTTATTTAAAAAAACAAAAAAACAAAAAAAACTGTCATGCTTCTAGAAGATGGAGCAGCCGGAAGGAGCAATCTGAGGACCCGAGACCTGTCCGTGTAGATGGTTTGCCCTCATTTCAAAGATGCTGTCTCTTCTATAATACCAGCCACACTGGGAGCCGAGAATCCCGAAAAAAATATTAAACTCCCTACTGGGAAGCCAGCAGAGTAAAGGATGGTGAAAAGCTGGATGTTCAAAAACATGAATTGTCAATGACTTTGGTTGTTCCTCAAATTGCCAGACTGGATTGTGATCCAAAGGTAAGTGGAAGCACCAAAATCAGAGGAGGGTGGAAAGTCGCCTTTCAGAACCATCCTTTGAAGGAGCAGGGGGCCAGCATCACTCTGTGACCTCCGCTCCACTACATTTATACATAGGGGAACTGATGTTAAAATGAGCATGAAGTATAGCCTCACAGGGGAGGAGAGCCGAAGGCCACACTGGGTATAAATGCAGCCTGATGAATGGGAAAACAGGGAAAGGAGCAAACCCTCTTTTCCATCTTGGAAATGTGATGGTTGACTTAGCCTCAGTTCTATCTGTGGATGTGTGTGTCGGGGTGAAAACCACTGCCTTTTCCTTGAATCACAGCAGCATGGGGCATCCCACAGCTCAAAGTCTGAGGCAAATATACGTCTTGAACCAAACACCCTGGTACTGATGTAAATTCTGGTACGTAAATTCTGAGTGCATCTTTATCTTATAGCAGAAAAGTATAACCTATGGATCTACTCGGGTACTTGATTTTAAATGCTCTTAAATCCCAGGAAAGGAAAATTTCCCCAACACATGCATTCTCACACACCACAGCCAGTGTGACAACTCTCAGTGGGACTCAGTTTCCCTAAGGGGAACCAAACCAAAAGTGCCCCCCTCCTACCCCTTCCCTAGAAATCAGCTTACACTTTACTTTTCAAATACAAAGCCTGATTTCTGAGAAGTGATGTAGAGTAAGAAGAAGATCTGGCCAATAGAGGCTGAAATTCCTCAGCTCAGAACATGAGAATCCTGTCTGATATTCCCTCCTTAGCCAGGTGTTGCCACAAAGGGAGCTAAGGCTTTGCCAGGTCAGAAATTATCCTTGCCTTAAAAGGAATGTTCCTGCAATTCAAAAATACACCCAGACCACCTTGTCTGTATATGGGAGGTAGGGAGATGGGGGAGGAGAAAAGTAAAAGCATACAAACTTGAAAACAGCCAGGCTCTGGGAGGGTTAGCTATCCCTTCCCTCCCCTCAAGGACAGCCAGATCTGATACAGTTGCCGATAAGACCAAGCTGCCTCACTCTACTGCCCTTACCCAGGTCTTTCCTTATGACATCAGAGTCCCCAACATCATCGGAGACCCTCCTCAGAAACTGGAAGGTGACAGTCACTAACATTCTAGCTGGAAACTGTACACCAGGAAAAAGCCCACCAGGAAGGAGCTCCAAGCCATCCTGGGAGGTAAGCAGAAAAAAAAGCTTGCTGCCTAAGTGCTGCAGCGAGAGCTTTTCTGATAAAAACTACACTTTTAAAACCAACACTGAGCTTTGCCTATCACAAAAGCTGTAATTTGGTCCCTTCCTGTAAAATGACACCTTTCCCTTTAGAAACAATATGTAAATCTGATACAACCGAAATAAACACAGTATAAGGCTCACTAACTCATTTAATATCTTTCATTCAAGGACTTGAGGGTCTTAAATCACTTTATAAATGTAAAAATTCATGCCTCATCACTTCAAAACAGGAAGTTAGGAGAGTATCAATTTCCCATCTTAAGGTCAGTACATTTGAGGAACATGCCACGGAAAAGCCCATCCTCTAACCACTGGAGGCTCGGAGGTCAGGCCTCCATATCATTATCCTCAGCTCCGAATAAATAGCTTGGGACAAACCAATAAAGCCGCTCCAGTGGGGAATTGAGTGAAATCAATCCTGCCTGCCTGTTAGAATGGGAAGGTCCATAGAAGTGGGCCTAGCTGTGCTTCTCTGGTGCAGTACCTGCATCTGACTTTAGCCACAAATTGCAGGGCCACAAATCTATAGCTCAGGGGACTCAGTTTTCTCCTGCTACTCCTTATTGGTCCTGGAACCTCCGTTGCTCCTGTACCTATAAGTGGCCAAAATCAACACTAAAAAAGCCTGTTGTCCCCACCCAACGCCTGCCATGCTGTGTCCCCAGTTGCCTGTATCTGTCTCCAAACACAAAGCCCCTGATGGGGGCTAAGTGTCATCTCAGCACACCCCTGAGCAAAGTGTCTCTAGAGCAAAGTGTCCTGACAGGCCCACCCTGGCCCAACCTACTTGTATCCTTGTATCATTAGGTCATTCACACAGGCAGGCGGGAGAGTCCTCCACCAGTCTAGGGCCCTCCAGTGCCTTCTGTCTCACAGGGAAGCAGATGTATCTGTCTTCCAAACAGGGAAAAAAATCTGAGCTCCCAAAGGGCTATCCTGCCACAGGATAGGAGCTGGTGGTCACATGTAAGCCAGCTCAGAACTGAAGGCACCTTGTTCCTGGAGACATAAGGCCAAGCACTGGGGACCTGGAACCTGGCCCATTTGTTTTCTAGAGAGAAAGACACTGTACCACCCCCAAGGCAGGTTGCTTGGCCCTCCCTTGATCCCTCTTCCTGGTACAGCAGAGAGAAACCCAGGCCTCTCAATTACCCAAGGCTGATAGCCACAGCAATAGCTCACTTATTACTAGGGTGCTGAGAACACATGAGAATTGGTGAGCAGAGCCCCCAAGGTTACACCAGCAGAAAGCTGCCTGGGGTCCTGCTCTTTCCCTCCAGGGAGAGCCTTGAGCAGTGCCCGAACACTCTGCCCTCCTATCTCCAAGCTCTGTACCTAAGGCAGCCAAACACCCCCAGGGAAACCCTGGGGAAAGAAAAGAGACAGTCCCCGGGAAGGAAGGGAAAGGGGTCCGTTTCTGACTGAGCATAGAAAGAGGGAAAGGAAGATACCTGGGAAAGAGGCCAATGTCTCCCTGCCCTTGCCAGGAACCGGGCTGTAACACTCCCCATCCCAGCCAGGCATCTCTCACGGAGGACCAGAGATCAGGGAGGGCAGGTGAAGAGCTGGCAGCCAGGGGGCTGGGCTGGGCCCCAGGACACGGACCTGGGGAGTGGAGGGCGCCTAGGTGTGGGGTCCATCACCCAGTTTTTCCATGCACCCTGGGGAGAAGGCGGCGGGGTCATTTTGGCAGCGTTCCCTTCCCTTCTGGAAAGTCCTCAGCCTCTAATTCAGGAGGGTCCTTGGTTTCCACTCCCAAGCCCTGGCTCCCCAGCTTCCACCCAGACTGTCACCCCCCTCCACCCTGCTGAGGTGGCCTCCTGGGTGCTCTCCGCCCGGAAGAAGAGGAGGTGTCAACCTACCGCTGCCCCTCGCTTCCCCCTGACACCCCTTTGTTTCAGGCAGGGAAAGTTGCCAACGCGCACCCCCTTCCCCAACACGCCCCCCTGTGCGCCCATCCCCCGCAGGGAATCCAAGCCCCGGGCGCACCACCTATCTAATCTGCGGCTGGATCTCGAACCGGGGCAGCAGCCTCGAAACCGAAAGCAAAGAGGAAGCGGGATCTGCTACAGCCCCAAGTCCGGTCGCCCAGTCTTCCCCTCACCGTCCCCATCGCCCGCGCCCTCCGCGGTCGGAGCTGCCGGCCCCTCGCGGCCACCTCTCTGGGCGGCGGAAAGGCCTCTCTGCGGGCATAGGGGGCACCTACCGGTGCGGGGCCGGGGCCGTGGGTAGGGGCTGGGCAGAGCCGGCCGCCTGCCAGGCGCAGGTGCGGCTAGGAGCGCCGTCTCCAGGGCTGGCTCCCGCTCCTCCTCCCGCGCCGGGACTCGGGGCGCTCTCCTGCACCGCCTGCTCCCCGCCCCCAAGCCCGGCGCTCTGGCTCCCCCCGCGCCGAGTTGCGGGCCGTGCCTCCCCCACGCCGCCTGGCACTCCCGCGCCGCGCCTAGTCCCGCATTGTGTGTCGGCGTCCGCCGCGGCGGCGCGGGGTCCGGGGGGCTGCAGCCGCCGCTGCCCGGGAGGAAAGGAGCCCCCGGCGGCGGCGGCGGCGGCGGCGGCGGCGGCACTCACCCATAGTACGGATGCGCTGCAAACTGCACATGCTCGCGTCTGACAGGCGCTCGCCCTGCCGCCCGGCTTAACTCCTTGCTCGCCCGCTCGCCGGCCCGGCCCGCTGTCCCCTCCGACCCCTCTGCCTCCCGCAGCCCGGGGTCGGCCCCGCCACGGGCGCCTAGGAGCACGCCCCCTGCCAGGGCCGCGGCGCAGGTGGCTGCGGTGCAGGGCTCTTCGGCCCTCCCTGTCCTAGCCAACCCGCCTGCATTTGAGTGTCTGTCAGGCCCGGAGCTTGTAGTTGTGGGGACCAGGCGTGCAACATCCACTGTGGGTACCATTGCAGGCCCGGGCTACCTGAGGGCCACAGACCACGTGGTGTGGCAGACCCACTATGTGCCAGCACTGTGGACCTGCGGTCAGTTCATGGAAACAGCCATGTAAGGTCATTTGTTTATCCCCATTTCCAAGATGGAGAAACTGAGGCCTATGGAAGTTAAGGAATTTGCCTAAGGCAAGGCTTGAACTTCTAAGGCTCACGATTTGCTTTATACCATAAAGGTTACAGAGAATATGTTATTTCAGAAGTCAATCTAGATTCTTTTATTGGGAGGTGGAAAATAATGAATATCATCTGGAAACTCTGGAAATTCCACAATACCGAACGTAGGAAATCGGCAGCTGAGGGCCCTGACTTGAGACAGGCCCCTTGGACTGGTCCTGGGTCCTGCAGAAAGGCTGAGCAGGGAGTGGGAATGACAGCCAGCCCCCATTCGCACGCCAAGCCTAGGTCCTGGCACTGGGTGCCTCAGCCAAGAGGAAAGGGCATTTTGAAAATTTATAACACCCTCTGGGGGTGTCCTTTTGTCACTAACCCATCCGGAGAGGGTACCCTTTCTAATTCTCTCGCAAACCCTATGCATGCCGAGGCCTGATCTGAGGGGTCTAATGGCCGCTTTTCAACCTAGCTGGAGAGGGGGGGAAATGAGGAGAGGGACAACAAGAGAGGCTGAAGCCCTTACCCCTTTTTGTAACATACCCCAGTGACAAACAGCTCTCAGAAGTCCAAGGCAGCACAGAATCTTCTAAGAAAAGGAACCTATGGTTCATCCAGCTGCTCTTGCCCCATTCTGGGCAAGAAGCTGAGCTGCTTTCCTCCTGTCTGAACCTAATACCTAACCCTAATCTGATCCTGTGTCTTCCCCTAATTGTCTGATGGGGCCGTAGGTCTTCCATCAACCTCCTGTCCCTGGCCAGAATATTCAAAGATCAACAAAGGTGCCTCTCAAAGCTGGGAGTAGGAAATATGGACAAGGAATTTCTAAGCCCATCCCCATGTATATCGTGTTCCTGGGCTGGTCAAGCCATTTTTCTCAGAAGGAAAGCAGTGGGTTCTGATTGGGGCAGAGGGAGTCATGTTGGGTTCCTCAAACTAGTACAGGAGGTAGACAGCCACGTGCTACCAGTGGCAGGAACTCTAGACTTCCCCCTGAGTTTGTTTCCTTTTCTGTAATTTGGAGATTTGCCTCATCATAAATATAGTATAATGACCCAAGGACATCATGCATATAATATTCTCAGCACACAGTAGGCTTTGGATAACAGGAAAACTTGTTTTTTTGCTGGAGATAGGTCAGGGAAAAGGGAGAGAGTCAGGGCTACAGGCAGGCATGTGGGCTGTCCTAGTACACTGTCAGAGACGCAGGAGACAGTGTCTCAGGGACACGCTGGCAAGAAGCAGCTAGTCTAGCAGCAAGGCCTACCTGATGAAAAGGGCCATCCCCTGTGCCCCCTTGCCACGAAGGCATAGTACGCCTAATCTCCTTCTCTAGCTGTGGCCGGCGGCTGGCAGCTGGCTCTCCCCCAGGCTCTGGGAGGCAGCATTGCGCAGAGGAAAGCACAATGGGCTGGAAAGGCTTCGGAAGATCTGAATTCCTGGCACCTTATGCATGAGGCACGGTAGGCGCCGGGCTCAGTGCTCACAATATTTTTAGGGACCCGCAAAAATGTATGAATTTCTTTTAAACTCAGAGGCAAAAAATAAACATTGAGGTCAAAGAAAAATGTTTTAATATATAATATTAATATTTTCATCCTTTAGCAGAGAAGCTCTATTGTAGAAGCCAAGATATCAGTTAGAGAATCAGAAAGAAGGGTTAAGATCTAAGGTGCAAGGCATGGCATCATCCAGCCTCTACTTTCTCCAGCTCTCCAGTGAACTTAACTCCATGACCTGGGTTTTCCTCATTCCTTACATTAGGGATCATTTCTTCCCAAAAAAATTTAGATAGTAGTGCCTTACAATTGACATATTTTCTCTCTCTGGGTAGGACAGCTATTTTTATCTCCACTTTATAAATGAGGAAATTAAGGCTCAGAGAGGTTGTATGGTTTGGTCAGGGTTAGAGTGCTAGTAAAGGCAAAATGCAGTTCAAACTCAGGTCTTCTGGTACCCCTTGCAAGCTCCTTTCTGTTTGCACCAAGAACATTTGACATAAGATCAGGGGTGCACAGGGTAGAGCAGTCTGCTGTAGAAATGGACTTTAAAATAGCATCTGTAACAGTAAGGGGCCCCCCTGGCTTTTCACCCAAAGAATGCTGAAACTTACATACAGAATTGTGGGAAGGGGTTGGGAGGGTGACCCTGGGTGCAGGAGGCACAGTAATCATGGTTCTAGTGATTCAAGTACAGGGTGAAGGTGAAGGGGCCTGGAACAAACCACCCCTGCTGCACTAACACACACCAAAGGATACCAGCCCCTGCTTTGCCTTCGTGTCTTGTCAAAGCAAGAGGAGCGGTGTGGTGGTATGGGCCAGGAACAGACAGGCTTTGCTCAAGCAAACTTGGTTTTGAGTTCAGACTCTCCATCCTAGTTGGATGTCTTAAGGAAGTTCATTTAACTTTTCTCAGCCTATTTTTCTCATCTGCAAAATGGAAATGGCAATAATACCCAAGCCCAGGGCAGTTGTAAGAGTAAGTAGGAGAATGCATATAAGGTGCTTAGCATAGTGCCAGACACATAGTATAATACACAGGTAATAAGTGGCAGTAGCTCCACACTGTCATGTAAAGGCCCCGCCACGGTAGGCAGTAAATGGTAGTTCTCTTCACATCTCTCTTCCACCACCTGGCAAGGAAAAGAAGAATCTTTCAAGTATCTTTGTATCTCTAAAGTTCCTTGAACATGTTAGGTCCTTAGACATATATTCTGAAAGGCAAGAACTGTTCTGCCCTTCCCCCAAAGGAAACCAGCCATAAAGGGTTTGCTCTTGTCCCCCATAAGTAATTTTCTTGATGACTTTCAAAGGGAATCAGAAAGATTTCTTTATGCTTGTTAGAGAGAATTGGTTCCCAGGGGCTGCCCTCTGACCACAAGTTAGGAGAGATGTGGCTCAAGAGGGTGATTCCAGTGGAGGAACTGACCTGCAGCCCGATCAGAAAGGGTCTAGGAGGGAGACGGAGCATGGAAATGGGAGATCAAGAGAAGATCACATGAAGTCTGTTGCAGATGCTATGATAAGAAAGCAAGAAGTGAGGTAGAAGCAGAAGAAGCATTGAAGTTGAAGCCAATCTTGAATCTGGAATTATTTGGATCAGCTTTACAGGAAAACAAGCTGGGTAGGAAAGAACTGGGGGATGGGACATATGGATATGGTCTTGGTGAGAAGAGGTCAAGGTAATATGCCAGCATTTGAAAATGGGGGAGTCTCTTTGCAACTGCCCCTTCTCAAAATAGGAAGGAAAGGGGCATAAAGAGGCTAAGGAGTGTAAACTCAGATCACGTAGGATTCTTTGACTGCAAGCAATAGAAACCAACTTTAGCTATCTTAAGTCTAAAAAAGAAATTTCATTGGAAAAGAATATGATCAGATGGCTCGCATATTTAAAGGGAATGCTGGCAAAACAAGCTCGAAAGGACTAGCACAGCACAAGGCCAGTTTTGGGAATCCAGGTAATGGGAAGTAATCGAGGGTCTCCTCGGGGCTGTCCTGCCAGAGCAACTAGACGCCAATCTTTTCATCACTTCTGCTCAAGCATAAAGAGTCAAATTTGCCTAAGTTGAGTCCTGCATTCACCTTCCCTCTTGGACAGGGAAGGGTCCATCCGGATACTCTGGTGTAAGCCCTACTAGGTACTGCACATCGTGATTAGAGGCAGTGAAAGAAATAAGGGACTGTTACTACAAGAAGGGAAAGGCTGCCAAGTACCCCCCAAACAGCGAAAGTCCAGGACAAGGGGAAGCAAGCAGCATAGGGAATTTGTACCTGACTCAGTGGCCCTGTAAGTTTGTTTTTTTTTTTTTTTACTTTTTTTTTGAGACAGGTTCTCGTTCTGTTGCCCAGCCTGGAGTGCAGTGGCATGATCATGGCTTACTGCAGCCTTGAACTCCTAGGCTCAAGCGATTCTCCTGCTTCAGCCTCCCATGTAGCTGGGACTACAGGCGTACGCCACCATGCCTGGCTAATTCTTTTATTTTTTGTAGAGACTGGATCTCCCTATGTTGCTCAGGCTCATTTTGAACTCCTAGCCTCAAGTGGTCCTCCCACCTCGGCCCCCCAAAGTGCTGGGATCATAGGCGTGAGCCACCATGCCTGACCTAGACTTTATTTTTTACAGTGGTTTTAGGTTCACAGCAAAATTGAGAAGAAAGTACAGAGATTTCCCATAGCTCCTGCCTCCACACATGCATAGACTTCCCATTATCAGAATCCCCCACCAGAGTCGTATATTTGTTACAACTGATGAAGCTGCTTTGACATATCATTATCACCCAAAGTCCATAGTTTACATTAGGGTTCACTCTTGGTGTTCTTTTTATGAGTTTGGATGAATGTATATTGACATGTATCCACCATTTAGTATCATATGGAATATTTTCACTGCCATAAATGTCCTCTGTGCTTTGCTAATTCATCTTTCCCTCCCCCTTAACCCCTGGCAACCACTGTTCTTTTCACCTGCTCTACAGTTTTGCCTTTTCCAGAATGTCATATAGGTGAAATCACACCATTTAAAGCCTTTTCAAACTAACTTCTTTCATTTAGTAATATACATTTAAGTTGCCTCCATGCCATTTTATGGCTTGATAGCTTATTTCTTTTCAGCATTGAATAATATTCCATTGTCTGGATATACCACAGATTATTTACCCATCACCTACTGAAGGAAATCTTGGTTGCTTGCAAATTATGGCAATTAAGAATAAAGCTGCTATAAACTCCATGCAGGTTTTTATGTGGACATAAATTTCCAACTCCTTTGGGCGTACCACAGTTTATTTACCCATCACCTACTGAAGGAAATCTTGGTTGCTTGCAAGTTATGGCAATTAAGAATAAAGCTGCTATAAACTCCATGCAGGTTTTTGTGTGGACATAAATTTCCAACTCCTTTGGGCAAATACCAAGGAGCACAATTCCTGGATTGTGTGGTGAGAGTATGTTTAGCTTTATAAGAAATTTCCAAACTGTCTTCCAAAGCAGATGTAGCAATTTTGCATTCCCACAAGCAATGAATGGGAGTTCCTGTTGCTTCACATCCTCATCTTGTCAGTATTTCCACATTTGGGCCATTATAATTGGTGTATAGTGTGGTATCTCATCGTTGTTCTCTGTAAAGTTCTTGGCTATGAGAGAAAGTGAATGGAGAAACAGGTAAGCCTCAAGAAAGCAGCAAGAGGCTCTGAAAAGTACCAGGACAGGAAGATGTAGATTGTTGAATAATATCACTTCTTATGCTAGGGTTGGTATAGAGCTGGGTGACACATCATTATCACCCAAAGTCCATAATTTACATTTAGGTAACTTCATAAATTACATTACAAAGTCAGACTTCTGTATAGCTGTGAGCTATGCTCAGGAATGAGTGCATTGTGACAGGGGAAGCAAATGCAAAAGTTTACTAAGGATGCCCTTGAATATTTATAAAATGTCACAGAGGGATGGAAAGGGGTACCAGTGGAGGGAGAAGAGGCATTAGGCCCAGGAGAAATGATCAAGTCCTGTGGGTTTATCAGAAGATTTTGGTATCCATATGTCCATGTGGGAAAGGGGTAGGTAGGTACTTTCATAGAAGTCTTAAAATAAAGTGTCTTGCTACTTTGGGGATATTTAAAGGTCCTGTCCTCTCTTGTTTTTTCATCATCAAAAAGAAAATCCAGTGGATAAGGACTATGCAGTATTCATGAACACCTTGAGCCTGAAAATGAAGAACTCATGATTCTGTGATCATGTGAATTCATCCATAAAGCATTAAGACATTAATGGGTGTGCACTAAGACAGCCCTGAAAATTAGCACAGGTTGATAAGAAGAGCAGTAAATTAAGAGAGGAAAAGACCAAAGTTAAAAGAAATCAAAGTGAGAATAAGAGCACACATTGAAACCACATCACCTCATACTTTTAAGTATGGGTTTAACTGTGATCGTAAGTCTTTTAGAGGACAGAGTTGACTATGAAAGTTGGGGATTAAGCCGGGCACGGTGGCTCATGTTTGTAATCCCAGCATTTTGGGAGGCTGAGGCGGGTGGATCACGAGGTCAAGAGTTCAATATCAGCCTGACTAACATAGTGAAAGTCGTCTCTACTAAAAATACAAAAATTAGCCGGGCATGGTGGAGCGTGCCTGTTATCCCAGCTACTGGGAGGCTGAGGCAGGAGAATCGCTTGAACCCGGGAGGCGGAGGTTGCAGTGAGCTGAGATCGTGCCACTGCACTCCAGCCTGGGTGACGGAGTGAGACTCCGTCTCAAAACAAAACAAAAAAAGAAAAAAAGGAAAGAAAGTTGGGGATTGTGCGGGAGAGCCCCATTCCACACATATCCCCGTACCCGCTCCTCTCCCACTCTACTGCTCTCATTTCTGACTCAGCAGTCAGCCTAGATGCTGGGCAAATTTAAAAGAATTTCTGCCCTGGAGATTAAAATCCAAACTCCAAGCTGGTCACCTCTCCTCTGTGCTTCCCTTTGCCAGGATACAAGAAGCTTAGTCGTCTGAGGGGGGACAAAGGAGTATTGTTGAGGCGAGCCTGGTTATGAGAAGGCTTTGCAACTAAAAGCTCTTATGCTGCTATCTAAGCCACTCTGCCTGGGGGGACACTGTGTGCCTGTCCCAACTTCACTATATCAGTTCAAAGAGAAATTTCAGCCAGATACAGTGATTGCAGGAGGATATCTTGGGACTTGGCAACATTAATAGGTTAAGAATTTGTATCACAGCATTCTCATCCAAGTCACAGCTAGGTCCTGGGTTGGGGTAGACTGGGAAAATCTTTCTTTTTGTAGATCTGAGTCAAAAGGTTTCTCCCATAGGAGCCGGCTGAGAGACAGCCAAGCCTGGAGCGGGTGGTGAGGCAGTGTGCCCACTGCCTTGCAGAGGGTGGGGCAAACCCCATCTCTATTCTTTTTACCCTCCTTGTCCTGGACCTGCTAGAACCCTGCCACCTTCAGGAAAGGCTGCAGAAGCCCAAAGGGTTGATGATCCCAGAGACTCTATCTTGTCCGGGGAATTAGTTCAATTAGTCTCAGATGCCAATTAATTAACAAATGTGTATTGAGTGTCTTCTCTTGCCTAGTACTGTGCTGTTTTGAGAACTGGGCTCCTGACTTCATGAGGAGCCCAGGCTGGGCGCGGTGGCTCATGCCTATAATCCCAGCACTTTGGGAGGCCAAGGCAGGTGGATCACGAGGTCAGGAGTTCAAGACCAGCCTGGCCAACATGGTGAAACCCTGTCTGTACTAAAAATACAAAAATTAGCTGGGTGTGGTGGCAGAAGCCTGTAATCCCAGCTACTCGGGAGGCTAAGGCAGGGAGAATTGCTTGAATCCAGGAGGCTGAGGTTGCAGTGAGCCAAGATGGCACCACTGCACTCCACCTGGGTTACAGAGTAAGACTCCATCTCAAAAAAAAAAAAAAGAAAAGAAAAAAGAGGAGTCCAGTCCTCAAAACAGTACAGTGCTAGGGAAAAAAAGTCATTCAACTTGTTATTCAATTCAACAACCATTAATGTGCCATGCACTGTGCTAAGGATTATACAGGTAGGGTTATACAGGTAGCAAAGAATGAAACCTAGGCATTTGGAAGATGAGAGCAATGCAAGATGGTCTATAACAAAGCATTACCCTGTGCTCCAAGTAATGGCTTTAGATTCTACACCTCCACGCAGAGGAAGATGTGCGATTATTTGTGTTCTACAATGGGGCTGTTTCTGTGGCCATGCTGTATCTCTACCATGTCTTATTTGTAGGTTAAACTCTGGCTTTGGCTCAAGATTGACCAGCATTTGTAAATACACACTTCTTTTTGTTAAAAGATTCTGCCTTTCTTTCTTGCCCACAGCGTAGGTCAAGGTCTGCTTTCTCTTAGGTCCCTCAGCAAAGAACAGACGTGGGAAGGGGAAACAATATCTTTGGAGGAATTTTTTTTTTCTTCATATCCATGGGCAGTAATGTCAGGTATAGAGCTGTGACCTCTCTAGGGAATACAGTAGAGGGATATGAGGACAGGGAGGGAAGAATAGTGACACAAAGAGGGTTTCCAGTGACACAAAGCAAGAACACAGAGGGGATGAATCCTTTGTTCTGGAACTGCATGTCTGTGTTCTGAGTGGATAGGCTAAGAAAGGAACTGGCCGCTCAGAGACCCACTTTGACCTTGTAAATGCCCTGTAGTTGTTTAATGGGAGATTAATACTCTCTCACAACCTTGGGCTTTTGATATTTATTTTTTTAATAAGTGAAATCTCATATGTTCCCCAAGTTCCCGGGCTCAATCTTCCCGCCTCAGCCTAGTGAGTAGCTGGGATTACAGATGCATGCCACCAAACCTGGCTCTGTTTTTACTGTTTACATCCAAACTCATGTTCTAGGAAGACACTGGGCCCACTGGACCCCAATCCCTGTCGTAACTGCTAATTTTTCACCAGGCTGAATTGAGCTGGCTGGTGCCCAGAACTCTAAGAATGCCAAAGGTCAGGTCATGAGGTCTCTGGTGCTACAATTAGGAGTGTGGACAAACATGGGTGGCTGAGGAGGAGTGAGAAGGGGTAGACAAAGGAACACAGGCTTAGGACTTCTTCCTTGAAGTTATGCCACTCCCACCCAGAACCTCCTGCAGTCCGACCAATGGACCACACCCAGCTAGCTTCATTTTCCTTCTTTCCTCAAATGGAGAAAATGGCTGAATACATCATTTCTCTTGAAAGTTGCGAGATGGGCTTGAATTAGAAGTAGGGACCCAACTTAACTCTGTCCCCAGACTTGTGTCTGCTCCTTCAAGCCTTGGACAACCGCCAAACCACAAGAACATACTGTATAATAGGAATCCAGTAATGCTGTTGTGGTCACAGTGTAATTGCTTTGAAGAGATAATAGGGATCCAGATAATATCAAAAGATGTGAGGCCCCTCTGATCTGAACAGTGATCCCCAACTCCCCCAGGTCCCCATTGCCATATCTCTCCCCGGTATCTTAATGAAGGGAAAGGAGGCAGAACTCAAAACGTTGGCATTAAACTTGAGGAATGGGTGGTTATGGGTGCACACTCTGGCTCTTGGACTGGCAGGTTGTGGCTTTATTGAGTTAGATGTCAACTTCTCTGAATCTCGGCTTTCTACTTACTCATGAGGATCAATACTTTTAAAACATTTTAATAGCTTTATTAGAAAAATGATTCATACTCCTTGTAAAATGCTTACATAATATAGAAAAGAACAAAGCAGAAACTAACAACATTATATCAAATTTCTCCACTCAAAGATAGTCACTGTTAATCTCTGGGAAAAATAATTCTACCCATATTTATATACATAAATATACATATAGTTATATGTATACAGTTTTACATAAAACAAATCATATTCTACATGCTTTTCTAGACATTGCTTCACTTGACATTAAGTAATGAATATCTTTCCTTGTCAATAAATATAATTCTTCATCATACATTTTGATGGCTGCATAGTATTTCATTTTCTAGATGAATCATAATTTTAATACTTTACTTACTAGTCCTAATTGACGGACATTTCAATTGGATCCTTTTCCCCTCTTTTATTTTGCTGTTATTGCTGCTATAAATATTAGGGGCACCCCTCATTCTTCTCCTAACATAAATTGTGAGAAATAGTCACAATTGTAGCTGAAGAAAGGACGCAAGAATCACAACATGCCATGTCAGCGAAAGGAGATTTGGAGTGGGGAAGGTCCTAGTAACATTTTAGTGATTCTTCCCTCTATAAATGGCTTCCAATCTGATGTACATTACTGCATATGCAGTTTATTATGCTTGACGGGAAAATATATTTACAGAAAGTTACTTTGAGTATTCCAGTGGATTTATTTCAACATTAACAATTTTGCCTCCCAAAAGAACCATGATCTTCTCAGGAGTGTCTTTTGTTCCAGAGATCCTGGATTCACACAAGCATGATGCCCTGTGCCCAGGAAATTTCTACTTTCAAGATCAAACCATTCCAGAAGCCATCTGAGAGTTTCCCCAATGGCCAGTGAGGCAATGTGCAGTGTTTGGAAGAAACAGCAGCCCCGTGTCAGCCCCAGAGCAATGCCTACTGGCTTTCCATCCTAGGAATCTGCCTGCTCTGCTCCATCACCAACCTTATATATGAGACCTGTCTGTCAGCTCTACCTGATTCCTTTGTGTGGGTCCACTTTAGTAGTTCCTCTTCCGGACCTGGACTAGGAAATCCAGAACCTATAAATGCAGAATTCCTTTCTGGAAATGCGCACTCTCCATATCACCACTCTGAAAACCCCAGAGCTCACTTCTACATAAGCAAAGCTCCTAATACAATTGGGAGTCGGTCTAGTGCCAGCTCTGTATCCCATCACTTTATCTGTAGCAGAGCAAAAAGGATCCTTGACTTGCAGCTTGGACTTTGTGCAGCGGCATCTCTTCCTGTCCCCTGCCCGTGTAACATGGGTAGGTAAGATGCCTGCTTGGAATGAGTGCCAAGCTGACGGTCTTTGCATGCTGCTTTTGGTCTTGTGCTTTGCACAGTAGGAAAAGGTATGCATTGCTTGGTGCCAGATGCATGGAACTAAGAAAGGGGAGAATATTCTTTCCATCTTTTCCTAGTCTTTTATACATCTCAGTGTTCTAGCCCCCTTCCCTGAAACGACGCAAAATTGAACAGGATAAAAATATGCATAGTTTAAAGTCTCCACTTTAAGCACAGCTTAAATCCCCATTAATCACCACATTTAGAGGTGACCAAAGCATGCAGTGTCAGATCAGAAGGGAATGGATCTGGCCCTACACCTGACTGGGAGCCAGAATGCTGGGGCTCAGGGTCCTTGAAGAAAACAAACAAGCCATCCTGGCCACTAGATGGTGCTGAGAGATAGTCTCCAATGTGCTGGCAGTCATGTCCAGGGCTTCCATACTGAGGGCAGGTTTGTCATCAGAACTCACCCCCTTTTACAAAGAGGGGAGGGCAAAGAGAGCTTCCAGTAGGGTATGAGCCCTGACACACCATCGAAAACCCTGAGCACAACAAGGAGAAGTCCTGACCATCAAGGGAGATAATAGACCTATTGGTTCAGGCCAAGCCACTAGGGGCAGGGCAGAGGGAGCTGCAATGGCTTGGTCAGCTCATTCTATCCATGTGTTTCACTTATTTCCTTTTCTGTGAATCCCAGGGTACTTGTGGCTCACTCATTGCAACCTTTCAGCCTGGAAGGTGCCCCGCAAGGGAACCCACACATCCCTGAGCAGAGGCAAGACCTGAGTGGCTAAAGGCGTGGTCTTTAGAGTCAGGCAGGGCAGGGTTTGTGTCCTGGCTTGGCCACTTGCTTGCTATCTGAGCTTAGCCATGACACTTGGTCTTCGTGAGCCTCAGTCTATGCATCTATAAAATGGAGATAAAAATGGCTTCAGCTCCAGAGAATTGTGAGAATTAAGATGATTCCTCTGTTTCAGCTCGGGAGCCGGAGGTTGCAGTGAGCCGATATCGCACCATTGCACTCCAGCCTGGGCAACAAGAGTGAAACTCCATCTCAAAAAAAAAGATGATTCCTCCTAAAATGTTTAGTGGGTCAGGAACAAAGTCAGCCCTCAATAAATATGGCTTTAAATGTTTCGATTTTTAATTAGGAGATTAGAAAGAAAGATTTCATTTGTTTGCAGTGCCCTGCAATGGCTGGCTGTGTCCCCGGTGTGTTTTGGTGAAGTTGCTTCTATTCCCATTCAGCAATTCTCAGATAAACCAACAATGTGTTTTGTACCGCAGCAGCCCCTCATTCCCCAGCATGACCCTGGTGAAGTGTCCATTAATTCCTTATCTCCAGGCTGAGGATGGCAGCCACGAAGGTCCTGCTTCTATTTTACAGTTAGGTGAGGCACAAAGAGTTGCTGAGATGTCCTCAGATTGCGGAGCAAAGTAGTGGCTGAGCAAGAACTCACTCACAGCTCTGCATGTAGGACCCCACCCCAGACCTCTGGCCTCTTCCTGTCAGCGAAAGTAGTGGCTTTGAGGAGGGGAGGTCAAGGAGCATGAAGAGGCCCTCCAAAGTCCAGTTGCCCTGTACTGAGCCACCTACTCCTCCACGCTCTCCCTCTCCTACAGTGGCCCACTGTGGACACTCGGCAAGCACATGATGAATGTATGAACACAGGACCTCTCGTAGTTCAGCTCTGAGATGGGCTGGTGGGGACTCAGATAGATTGGAGTGTGAGGGTGAGGTAGGGCTGGGAGACTTTCCTTTCTCTTGGCTTGGGTCTGTCTTCTGCTGAGGAGATAATAATAACAACCAGCATCTACTGAGTACTTACTGAGTGCCAAGAACTGAGCTAGGTGCCAAAGCTGGAATTTGAACTCTGGAAGTTGAACCCCACTGTCAGCATGAAAACCCATTGTCTACAGCGGCCACACATGTGTCCCAGAAAAGTAAAGGGTCACTGGCAGCTCTCTGACAGGCCTGGGTTTCCTTGGCTTCTTGGAGCCCTAGTCTCTCCCCACACAGGCTCCCTGGGCTGTTGGAGAACCTGCCACCTACTTAAAGCTGGTCCCTGCCCAGTTCCTCCCTCCCCCAATTGATGTGAGCAGCCATTGTTCTCATCTTTGATGAAAGCTGTTGGAGAAATAAGACAGCTGCTTTAAAACTAGGATGTTGCAAACTCTAAAATGATCTAGAATTGCAGTCAGATGGCTGGATTTACCTGATCCTCATTCCCTGAGCTCCACCAGCTCCCAACTCAGGTGCTCTTTCTCCCTCCCTCTCCTGTCCCTATCCCATTAAGCCCCCATTCACCTGGCTCTCTCTTGCCCGTATAACCCGCAGCTGCAGCGGACAGAGCATTTTGCATTGATATGTGTTGTAATTACATCAGTTCCGCCCTGGCAGTTGCTCTCTGAGAAAAATCACTCAAGGGCATACCAGTCAATACAGACCCCAGACAGGTGCGTGACAATGCAGACTCCTGGGCCCACTGATCTGAATAGCTAGAGGTGGCCTGGAATCTGTATTTTCAGATCAGCATTTTAAGACATGAGGTTAGATTTGGAATCACTGCCCACCTCCTCATTGGAATCCTTCTCCACCAGGCCCTCCTTCCATGCTGCTCCTCCTGGGTACTTTCCAGCTCCCTAGTCTTTGGGCGCCTTGCTAGTCCTTTACACCTCTACACCTTCAAGTTCCCTCCTCATTTCATAATATTTACTAGATTCCAATAATATGCCAGGCACTGAGGCAGGCCCTTTATCTCCATCTTTATAATAACTCTCTAAGGAAGGAATTCTGATTCCTGATTTACAAACGAGGAACACCTTCCCTCCCCTCCCCATCCGCTGCCTGGCTCTCTCTGGCTCCCATACCCACAGGTATACTGAACAGATTATTTGCAGTGAATGTATGTGGTAACTGCATTACTTCCACCCTGTGTCCCCTGGGTGGAAGAGCCAGGATTCAAGGACAGGCATGTCTAGTTCTAAAGCCTGTGCCCAGAGTTGATAGGTCACACTTGCCACACTTTCCTTCCTAGCACAGTGGCTGGAAAATAGCAAGTATTCAATAGATATTTGTTAGTGAGTAACTGAATGAATAAATGAAAGAAGAGTCCATACTTAAAGTTAGGACACTTCCTCCCATCTTTCCATACCCATCTCACATGCACACATATACACGCTCACACACACACTGAGGATTTAGCCACTGGGCCATTTCCTTTCCTTCCTAACTGGCCCTTCTCTGCATGTCCAATCACTGCCTTCCTAGCCCCACTTAGATGGTGACTCTTGACACTCTGCTCTAACCCATGGTTACCTCACCTCTCATGTCCCATGGTGGCTAATCCTGACAATCACCGAAGAGCCAAATTGCTCCCAAAGATTCAGCAGTAGAAGTAACCTCCTGACTTCTTTGTGACCCAAGGCAGAGAGCAGAAGCCTGGACTAGGACTGGCCCCAAGTTTCCTGGGAGTCTGAAACTCCCTTCTCCTTCTTCTCCCCTCTCTTCCCCTTCCAACAGTAACTGAGAACCAGGTCCTGAAGGCAGGAGGAGGGGATCCCTTGATTTGAGGCTTTTTTGGTGATATAGGAGAGGGTCTCTTTGGAGCTCAGAGAAAGCAGGTAGGGATGGGAAGCAGGGTTTCTAGAAGGCTCGTACAAGGGAAGATGAATTGTCAACCATTTCACCAGCTCTCCTAGAGTTATTCCTGTCTCTCAAGCCATCTGCTTATCCATTGCAATCTTGTAAACAGAGATTTACAAGATCTCTCGTAAACTCCAGCCAATATTTGTTCAAAGAATAAATAACAAAAGCTTCCATTTATAGATCACTTGCTGCATGCCAGACAACATACTATCTCATTTAATCATTTCAACAACCCTAAGAGGCCAGAATTATTATCATCATTATTTTACAAACATGGAATTAATTCAGAAACCTTAAGCAACTGCCCCAAGGTCCCACCACCACTTAAGTGATAAAGCTTAAACTGAGCTCTGGCCAGTTCCAAGTTCCCCTTTCCCTCCCATAGTGCTGTCCAAGGAACAAGGCCCAGACTAAGATGCTGTAATATTGACTCTGTAGGAATTTATTTTTTAAACATTCCAGCCTAAACCATGTAGTGTGTGTATATAAAGTGACTCTCCTGTAACTCCTAGAGTGGTTAGTTAGCATCTGAAGTGCCCTAATCAGGAATCCGCACTCCAGAAAATGGTTACATAAGCACTTCAAACAACATCAAAATATACACCCAAGGGCTTAATGTGCTTGAGGGATGCTAGAAATAATCTTTTATTGGTGAAATAAGCAGTTTTCAAAACATGGAGTTGGCCAGGAAGATTATTTGCCCTTGCATGAATGGAGTGTGAGAGCCAGAGCAGGCCAACTGCCCCATTTTCTTGAAGCAGGCTGTGTGACTGTTTTGTGCCAGCTTGCCAATACATGTATATTTGGCAGAATTTGGCCTTAACTATTTTTAATATCCCACCTGCAGGAGATTACAGAAAAGAAGACGAATGGCCTCCTCTCACCTCTCACGTCCCATGGCAGCTAATACAATCATTGAAGGACTAAATTGGCTCAGACCAGTTGACAAGTCCCCATCCCGGCCTCATCTTCTTTCACAAGAATGCCCTAGCATATCCTTCAACTCAGGCACATGATGGCTTTTCTTCCCATCTCTCTGTTCCATCCTCCATTCTCCTTTGTCAGGTCACTTGTAATAATAAGCTAATATCCAAAGAAAGGGGCTCTAGGGGTGATGGTGGGTATTATAGTCCCAGCTACCTGGGAGGCTGAGGCAGAAGGACTGCTTGAGCCTAGGAGTTCTGGGCTGCAATGAGCTATGATTGCCACTGCATTCTAGCTTAGGCAACAGAGCAAGATCTTATCTCTTAAAAGAAAACAACAACAACAACAAAAGTTGTAACTTGCCCAAGTCACATAGCTAAAAAGTGGAAGAGACATAACTGAAACTCAAGCCTCCTAAATTCCTAATGTAGGGTTCAGTCCACCTCTACCACCCTCCCACAGACTGCCAAGGGGTCCTGCTCAGAGTTGGGCAATGGTGAGATGCACTCTATGGCCCCAAACTCATTGAAAGTAACAACTGAGCTGAAAAAAATGTGGAGTCTCTTCTGCCCTCTACAGAAGTAACCAGCTATAGGGGAGAGCATGCTCCTCCCATTCCACTCTCCATGGTGCGTCTCTTTTCACTATATAACAAAGTTATATTAAATGAGTTCTGGGCCGAGGTGCGGTGGCTCATCCCTGTAATCCCAGCACTTTGGGAGGCCGAGGCAGGAGGATTTCTTGAGTCCAGGAGTTTGAGACCCCACCTCTACTAAAAAAAAAAAAAAATTTTTTTTTTTTTTTTTGCTGGGTATAGTAGCATGTGCCTATAGTCCCAGCTGTTCATGAGGCTGAGATGGGAGGATTGCTTGAGCCCAGGAGTTCAAGTTACAGTGAGCTATGATTGTGCCACTGCAATCCAGCCTGGAGAACAGAACAAGAAGAACCTATGTCCAAAAAAAAAAAAAAAAAAAAAGTGAATGAATGAATTAATGTCTTCTTAGCAAAATCCAGAGAACGTGTTTTTGGGCTTCCTTATGCAACTTCTGGAATGTTGAAGTGGATAGCCTGAGCATTGTCCCACAAAATGGGGCTAATCTATCCCAATCCCCACGAGCTATAAAGCTGTTTGCAAGTTCAGCCATTGAAGTCCCATTGGCCCAGTTAAATTCTCACGTTTGGCCTCCTGCACTACCAGCTTTCCTTAGTGTCTGGGCTCTCAAAACTTCTACGTGAGAATGGCCTGGGGTACTTTAGTTAGAGATTCAGATTCAAACCCAGGGTGGGGGTGTTCTTCATGGTGCCTGGGATGAGTCTTCCAAGGACCATTTGGAGAAACAGGCGCTGATGGTATTTTGCTTCTGTTCAGTCCTTCACTGACAGAGAGCCTGCAGGGTTGAGGAAGAAGGCTCTGTTTTGAAGTGTGGATCCCTCCCTGCAATGGTCTCTATTTGCATCTTCTTTACTCCAGGCTCACCTAGCCAAATGTTGAGTTTTCCAACCCCTCTGGGTATGAGATTGCTTTGGGCGATCTGAGATCTGCAAATGTCTGAGAACGAGGAGCACATGGGCACGCTGATGACTGCCCTGCAAACTGCCTGGCAGCCAGGGTCCTCCTGGGCCCTCCTTTAAAATAACATATACATAAGCCGGCCTGGAGGCCCAGGCGGGAAGATCACTTGAGCTCCGGAGTTCGAGTCCAGCCTGGGCAACATAGCGAGACCAGAAAATAAGCAAGTAAGTTACTCTCTGGGCTGTCGTAACTTATTTTTTCTTTTTCTCCTGCAAATTGCAACTCAGAACATTTGGTCTGCCAGACTGAAATATGGACTTCTGTTCCAAATATCCAGACGTTACAGTTCCCACAGGTGGCCAGGAGAATGCTGGAACCTTTGGCGGAGACGGTCTGGTCTTGTCCCGCAGCCCGCGAGGGTCCCCCGCTATTTGGGGTCAAGCAGATCCCCGGGGCGCTCTGGCCACCCCTTGCGGCAGCTGGTGCGGCCTCCTCGGAGAGCTCCGGGCCGGCGCCCGGGACACCCCGCCGCCCTCCCTGCCGCCCCAGGGACGAGCCCAGCGGTGCGGAGAAGTGGGAGGCTGGAGCCTGCTGAGGTCATTTCCTGTGCCTCTCCGCGAGCTGCCTGGAGAGCTGAGCCCAGCGCTCTGCCTTTAAGGAGCGGGCGGGGAGCCGAGGGGAGGAGGGCGCCCGGCGGAGCGTTGAATGGGGCGCAGCAAGGCTCGGCCGGGCTTTGTGCAGCGAGCCCGCGGGCACCCCTCCCGCTCCAGCCTCGCCCCGCCCCGCAGCCCACGACCCCTGCTGCCGGGGAGGGGAGAACCGGCGGCAGCCCGGGACTCCGGCGAGAGCGACGCAAGGTCGGCTGCGGCGGCGGCCCGAGGGCGCCCGTGTGCCCAGTGCGCGGCGGGGACGGCCGCGAGCTCGCTGGAGGTGAGCGACCCGCGCTCCCGCCGCTGTGGTGGGCTGGGGCTGCGCCGCGGCGGAGGGCGTCAGGCTGCGCGCGGGGGACGGCCCCTCGGGCCCAGAGGACGATCCGGAGCAGGTGCCTCCCTACCTGGAAGCGAGCTCCCAGCGGCGGGGAGCGCTGGAGCGCGGGTCTGGCTTGGGAAGCCGGGCGCCCCAGGGGACTCGCGCCGCGAGGCCAGGAGGAGCCTCCCCCGGGAGTACCTGGACTTGGGGATCGGTCAGATCCAGCCGCTCCTGGGAAGGGCCCTCGGAGCGGACGTGCAGGCTGCCACCTTGCTATCGGTGCTCGCTCCCTTTCACCCCTTCCCGCACCCCTCCCCATCTCACCTCAGGTTATTTCTTCTGTGATTTCTGAGTGTTGTCTTTGGGACCCTATGGCTCAGGCTCGACTCCTAGGAGCAGGTCATTCAAGCAGAAAAGAAAACAGGTTGGGCGCCGAATGACACAGAGCATTGTGTCCTAGGAGTCTTAGCGAGGACTCGGTCACCAGGAACCAGGGGCCTTAGTGGGGGTGGCAGAGGCGGTGAAGAGCCTCATCTGGAAGGAAACTCCTCTCCTTGTGGGATTTCTGCTTGCCAGGATATCTCCTCCATAGCTTTTACTATGAATCCACCTCATAAAACTCTTCCAAGACAGAGCCTTGGTTCAGGTAAAACACTTGAAAGACCATTTAAAAAATTCAGTGGGAGAATTATCAGTTCCTTCATCAAACTGTTTGGACTGTCTTCTATGTGACAGACACTGTGTATAGGGCTAGTACCATCACTGAACGCTTTATAGAACATCGGTATTAGTGTTTCTGCATATTATTGGCCCCATTTTTCCAAAGGAGGAAGCTGGGACTCTGAAAAGTTGTGATTTAGGCCAGTTGCAGTGGCTTATGCCTGTAATCCCAGCACTTTGGGAAGCCAAGGCAGGAGGAGAGCTTGATGCCAGGAGTTCAAGACCAGCCTGGGCAACATAGGGAGACCCTGTGTCTACAAATAAATAAAAATTTAAAAATTAGCTGGGTGTGGTGGTGTGGGCCTGTAGTCCCAGCTAACTTGGGAGGCTGATGATCCTGTCTGTTAAAAAAAAAATTGTTGTGATATGCCCATGGTCACATAGCTAAAAAGTGGAAGAGCCATAACTGAAACCCAAGCCTCCTAAATTCCTAACGTATGGTTCAGTCCACTTCTACCACCTTCCCATAGACTGCTGAGGGGGCCTGCTCAGAGTTGGGCAATTGTGGGGTGCAGCCTGTGGCCCCAAACTCATTGAAACTAACAACTAAGCTGAAAAAATGTGGAGCCTCTTCTGCCCTCTTCAGAAGTCACCAGCTGTAGGGGAGAGCATGTTCCTCCCATTCCTGATAGAAAAAAAAAAATCCAAAGAAATGTCTGGCAATTTAAAGTGTACATCATTTACCCCTAAATTCCATTTTCTGGGACTTTATCCTTCAGATATACTCTGATGTATATGAAATGGTGTACATCATTGAATATTCATTGCAGCATTGTTTAGCAAAAGGTTGGAAACAATCTAGATGTCCATCAATAAGGAACCCTTCAATAAGATCATGTAAAAGCCACACGATAGGATACATTAAAGCTGTTATAAAGCGTGCAGAGAAAATGTGGCAGATATATACTTTGATGTAGGAATATCTCTAAGTTATATTGTTGAGTACAGTGTGTATGGTGGGCCACGATTTTTGGGTGGGTGTGTGAATGCCACATACATATGAATGCCTGTAGATGCTCTGAATATCTCTGAGAGAACACACAGAAACCTGTAACAGTGGTTGCCGCTGGGGAGAACTATGGCTGAAGTACAGGCATGGGAAGAAGCCTTACTTTGCACTATATACCCTTTTGTTCAATGTTCTAAAATAACTTTAAAAATCATATGACCTCCTCTCCAGATCTCCAGAGTTAGATCTGGTAGTGAGCACATCTTTTTTTTTTTTTTTTTTTTTTTTTTTTGAGCCAGAGTCTCGCTCTGTTGCCCAGGCTGGAGTGCAGTGGTGCAATCTCAGCTCACTACAACCTCCGCCTCCAGGGTTCAAGCAGTTCACCTGCCTTAGCCTCCCAAGTGGCTGGGATTAACAGGCATGCGCCACCACACCTGGCTAATTTTTGTATTTTTAGTAGAGACAGGGTTTCACCATGTTGGCCAGTCTGGTTGAACTCCTGACCTCAGGTAAGCCGCCTGCCTCCACCTCCCAAAGTGCTGGGATTACAGGCTTGAGCCACCGTGCCCAGCCTCGTGAGCACATCTTTGGGCCACATCTCCTTTTATGTTCTAGATGCTATTGGTTTGCCTTTGTTTGCTGATTACAACAATAACAGTCATTTATTGAGTACTTAGTGTGCACCAGGCTTTTGTAATATCTCCTTTAATTCTCAAAAAGCCCTGCATGATGTGATATATGAAATGGCCATTTTGAAGGTTGGAAAATGGTTAAATGACGGTTTCATATGGTTCAACCAAATATTATTGTCCTGATTTTCAAATATTACTGCCCTCAATTTCAGAATGGAACTGAGTCTCAAAGAAGTTAAGCAAATGGCTTAAGGCCACAGGATTATTTAGTGCCTGAGCTCGTATTCAAACCCAGGCCTGTCAGTGCCAGAGCATGGGATCTTAGGTACTAAGCTGTTTCTCTTTGCTGTTTTTGTTCTCAAGGAATGTTGTACCTGGTTGTCCTGACCACTTCTTTTGGTATTGAGGTTCCTGCGGCCTAGGACATGCTCACCTTCTCTGTCTCCCCGGACATTGTGTGGAATGTCATGTAGGCACCCAGCAGTGGCCAAATGGATGTTGTTAGCTTGATCAGATGACAGTGCTGAGATCAGAGGAAGTTGTCCCTGTGTACACTCACACCCTTCTCCCAGCCTCATCCCCAGAAACGGGACACAAAGCTGTTTCTCTCCCACAATTGACAAGTAGTCAGCCACGTCTGGCAGAGCACTTTTAGAAGATGGTGGTAGCCCCTCACTAGCAAGTGGAAGTCATACAGATACTCACACTCAGGGAATGAACCATACTGAGGCAATATGAGAGAGCCCAGTGGAAACTGTGCATATAACAGAAGCCCCGTTGCCTTCCAATGCCTCCTGCATCCTCCACAAGATAGAGGCAATGAGCTATTTTGAGGCCTGTGGTGACCTCTGACCTCTTTCTTTTAGGGTCCTGTATTGATTAGCTACCTTTGTAGGGAGCTACCAGGATATTCAGGCTGTAGACTTGAGCCTCAAAAGCCACAATATCTTTATTCATCTTTATATCCCCAATCTTGCACACAGGACTCACTTAAAAGTTGTTTGTATTAAACTTAATCTTGGGGTCGGGAGTGGTGGCTCACGCCTGTAATCCCAGCACTTTGGGAGGCCAAGGCAGGTGGATCACCTGAGGTCAGGAGTTTGACCAGACTGGCCAACATGGTGAAACCCTGTCTCTACTAGAAATACAAAAATTAGCCAGTGTGGTGGCATCCGCCTGTAATCCCCGCTACTCAGGAGGCTGAGGCAGGAAAATTGTTTGAACCTGAGAGGCGGAGGTTGCAGTGAGCCGAGATTGCACCATTGTACTCCAGCCTGGGTGACAGAGCGAGACTCCATCTCAATAATAATAATAATAAAATAAAAACTTAATCTTAGGCTGGGTGTAGTGGCTCAACACACTTTAGAAGAATGAGGCAGGTAGATCACTTGAGCCCAGGAGTTCGAGACCAGCCTGGGCACCATGGTGAAACCCTGTCTTTACAAAAAATACAAAAATTAGCCAGTGTGGTGGCATCCACCTGTAATCCCAGCTACTCAGGAGGCTGAGGCAGGAGAATTATTTGAACCCGGGAGGCGGAGGTTGCAGAGAGCCGAGATTGCACCATTGTACTCCAGCCTGGGTGACAGAGCGAGACTCCATCTCAAAAATAATAATAATAATAATAATAATAATAATAATAAAAACTTAATCTTAGGCTGGGCGCAGTGGCTCAACACACTTTAGAATAATGAGGCAGGTGGGTCACTTGAGCCCAGGAGTTCGAGACCAGCCTGGGCACCATGGTGAAACCTTGTCTTTACAAAAAATACAAAAATTAGCCAAGCACAGTGGTGCACGCCTGTAGTCCCAGCTGCTTGGGAGGCTGAGGTGGGAGGGTCACCTGAGCTTGGGAAAGTTGTGGCTTCAGTGAACCATGATTGTGCCACTCACTCCAGCCTGGGCAACAGAGTGAGACCCTGTCTCAAAAGAAAAAGAAAAAAAAGTAATCTTAGCATTTTGTCAGTTTCTGCTCAAAATCCTCAAACTTGCCAGAGAGATCCCAGGTCAAATTTGTGTTTTCTCTGATACAGACTCTGAGTCTGGAGTCACCTAATGACTTCCTGTGCCACCTTCCCACCCATCCTACTCCCAGCCCCTGCCTCTGGGGCATATCCCCACTGACTGCTGTGGCATTTCAGTCCCGGGTGTTGGAGGATTCAGGGGATGCCAAAGCAGGTATCAAGACTATGGCAGTTTTTTGATTCACCTGCCAAGCAGTTTAGCAGGCTGGGTGCCAGCAGAATCAAGAAAACTATGAGTTTCATAAGACTGGCCAACAGCTGATCGTAATTTTAGCGGGGTATTGGGGACAGAGGGACTTATTGTACTATTCTCCCTATTTCTAATGTGTGATAGAGCATTCCAGAATAAAAATAGAAAAAAAAATTGAGCTGAGTTTTGTTTCCAGCTCACTTCCCCTCTCTCATTTCCCCATTTATTTTTTGCCATTAATGTATTTGTGTTAGACTAGCCTGTTAGTATGAGATATCTGCTACCACTACTGAAGCATCATCATGGGAAGAGGACAATTGTAGATATTGGGAGATCAGGATTCTTGGCCCAGTTCTGCTACTCCTTAGCTCTATGCAAGGCTCTAAGCAAGTCACAGATGTGATGAGTTTTCTCATCTGTTCATTGTGACTAATTGTGTTCGTCCTCCATCTCAGGGATAAAGAGAGAAATAACACATGCGTCGCAATGCTTTGACAAGTTACAAACTCTACTGCAAATGTAAGGTATTCATTTCTGCTCATCCTTGTGCATTTTTATGGGAGGTATAAGTGCAAGGTGACTTAGCAGGTGAGGCTCAGCTTACTGGTATCTTCCTTTAACCTCCCTTATTTTATAGCTGTTGCTCTGACCACCTGCTTCTGTCAGAAGAGCCTCTGGGCCTTGGGTTTGGCAGCAGGCACCCTGCTCCTGATCTATTTCAAAACCTCTCTGCTCTCCTCACATGCTGAGGCAAGCCAAGCACGAGTCCCAACCTCCTCAGCAACTTGCCAGGGAGAGGGTGGTTAATCCTCTCCATCCCCAAGGCAGGGAGAGGATTAAACAGACCACTTGATCAGTTCAGAACCATGATGTTACGGAGATGCTTGATTGGGGAAAGCATTCCCTAAACTAGGTATAATCTCAGATATCAGGGCTAGGCAGACACCAGTGACATATTTCCAAAGTACTTGGAGATTTTGATAATTTGGGTTTTCACTCTCCCAATAGAATCTGAGCAGCAGCTTTGACAATCAGTAAGAGGGAATCAATATTAATCAAACTCTTTCAACTATACAAAGGGATTACATTTCCCTTGCCCCTTGCTTTTATGCTTTTACTGTTATTTCTTAGCCCTGAACTGAGTTGCGAGACTCCCAGGTCCTAGTCTCAGATCTGCCACTTTTCCTATTTATACAAGGAAAAGCAAAATCCCAGTAAAGGACAAGGAAAAATCAAACATGAAGCCTCCCGGCCTTCTCTGAGAGCCTTACAAGGTTCTGTTTTGTCTTTTCAGCTGTGATCTTAGCTCAGAGAAGGTCATGTTTTGTTTTTGTCTTTTGTCTTCCTGCCCGTTCCAGTTGGTCCTAGTCTTTTGAGATGGGGATTGCTGGGAGGTCACAATGCAGGGATTGTTTAGATGACAGGGCTGGGAGAGCAGCGCTGAAGTCATGTGTTCTGAGGAACCAAGAAGCGAGCTTACTCGGTCCATCAGTGGTTTAATTGTTGGGCCTTTCTCTGCAGGTCTTATTTTTTAGATGAAAAGTCAGGATACATGGTAAAGGTCAGTGCTTGGGGAGATTATGGTGTCAGAATATTTGAGCCCAAGATGTCTTGGGAAATCTGGGATATAGGTTCATCCTTGTGCTAAGGCTTCTGAAAGATCCTAGAAACGATTTCTGCCATTTTCAAGTCTACCACACTCTTTGTGAAATTGAAATTCTTTTTATTTTTTTTGGATGGGTAAAGAGCACAGAGTGGCAATGAACAAGGAATTTGGGACCAGAATCCCAGCTCCACCATTAACTAGCTGTACAATTATCTGTAAATTACTTAGCTTCTCTGTTCCTCAGTGTCCTCATGTGTGTGTGGACAACAGTGCTTACCTATTGTTTCACAGGTTGTTGTAAGGTTTAAAGAGGCAACACATGCCTGGCATACAATAAAGACTCAATAAGCAATAGCTACTTGTAGTGTATGATGGGAGAAAAATACGAATAAAAGTCACATGCGAGGGGAGAAGCACGATTGGTGATTAGCCCATCAAAGAGAGGCTAACTTTGCACTGTGGTAGTATCTGGCAACAGTACAGGAGGTGGCTGGGTTTTCTGAGGCCATGTGGCTCCTGAGGAAGGAAAAGGGGATTTTGAAAAGCAACAAATTTTTATTATGGAAAATTCCAGGCATATATTCAAGTAGAGAGATCATATAAAGAACTCCCATATACCCATCAGCCAGCTTCAAAAATTATCAACATTTTACTAATCCTATTTCGTATATCTCCTCCCCTACTTACCTCTTACCTTGAAGTATTTTAAAACAAATCCCAGATATTATATTATTTCACCTGTATATCATAAAAATTTTTAACAGATGACATTTAAAAATATTATCGGCCGGGTACAGTGGCTCACACCTGTAATCCCAGCACTTTAAGAGATTGAGGCCGGTGGATCACTTGAGGCCAGGAGTTCAAGACCAGCCTGGCCAACATAGTGAATCTCCATCTCTACTAAAAATACAAAAAATTAGCCAGGCTTGATGGTGCACGCCTGTAATCCAGCTTCTCAGGAGGCTGAGGCATGAGAATCACTTGAAGCCAGGAGGCAGAGGTTGTAGTGAGCCAAAATTGCACCATTGTACTCCAGTGTGGCTGACAAAGTGAGACTCTCCCTCAAAAAAAAAAAAAAAATTATCACCCTAAAAAATTAACAATTATTCCTTAAAATTGTTGACTACTAGGGTGACCATGTGTCATGGTTTGGGACAGACCAAATTTATACTTTTTGGGAAGCATCATTCATCATAATGCCCTATAAGGGGGATTTGAAAAATCCTGATGATGGATGTGTCTCCCAGGCATTCTCTCCTGCTTGCTCTGCCTGTATCCCTCTCTCTCATGCACACTCATGCATCCTTCTTCCTTTTCTCATCCTGCATCCAGTGTTTTTTCTCTAAATATGTCCAGAAGGCATCTGAGTGAATTCCCCTGGCTGGACATACTATAGGTGTCTACTTGATTTGTTCTGAATTTGTACAAATTTTTTTCCCAAAGACTTGTGGCTTTCTCCAGAGGTTGCAGCAAAATATCTAGCAGTTTTCTGGTTTGCATCTTAGAACCTGAAGGAAATGGTGAGAATCTATTCCAAAGTGGGATGGATGATTCGATGATAACAATGGACACAATCCCATCTAAATAGAAGATTGTCAAAGACATTCAAAGCATTATATTTTGTTTCCATTTTTTTCTCATCTAACATTTTATATAGATGAAATAGAATAAGAAATAAACTGGGAACCGGGGTTCTGCCTCTAATTAGCTATGTGACCTTGGATGCATCTGTTACCCACTTTAAGCCTTCCCTAAACACATCCCTCCCACTTTTCCCAGCTCCCATTCCCATTTATCTGCAAGTCACTTGGCAACTATGACTACATTGTAATTAGATTTTCCTAAGAGTTCCTTGAAAAACACAAAGACAAGGAATTTCTCTTAGTTCTGTTTGCATCTCCAGTGCAGAGCACAGGGTCAGGCATATAAGTAGCTGTTTAATGGATAAGTTTGTTGTGTGAATAATGGATAATTGAAAAACAAATGAGCCCTACTTTTCACTTCTGTCCAAATGAGACTAGGTTCTCCTTAAGGTTTCTCAGGTTTCGCGGTTTCCTGAGGCTCTCAGCTAACTTACAATGGAGCGGGACACACTGAGCTGAGGAAGGCAGGGAGGGGCCCTGGGGATCAGTGACCAATTCTCTTCCCCAGCCCTGTTTTCTCTTCCCCAGCCCTGTTTTCTCTGTCCTTTGGTCCCCTCCCGTTCTTTCCCCACAGAACTCTTCCTCACACGCTTATTTATCTTTTCCTCTTTCTGCATGCTGGTTCTTAGGGCTCCCCAGAATAATCCAGAAGTCGATTCCATCATGGCAGAACTCAAGGTGGAGGCGCCGGCCAGCGTAGACTGGCAGAAACGCTGCCTGACCCTGGAAACTCAGCTTTTCCGGTTCCGCCTACAGGCCAGCAAGATAAGGGAGCTGCTGGCTGACAAGGTGAGTCCCTCAGAGCAGGGAGCTGCCTCTCCACACGCAGAGGTTTATGGCAGGGAGGGCCGTGTGAGAGAGGGAGAGTTGCGGAAAGTCAACTTTCAGTAAGATGCTTTTCCCCATATGCAAAATGAAACCCAAGGTAGTTTAAGACCAAAGTCCGAGCAGTTTACTAAGCTGTTATCTTGCTTGCGTCTTTGCTCGCTCATTAAGGCACACCAAAGACATGCTGCCAATCTTCTCGGTCCCCCATCACTTCCGGAGTCACCTGTGGCTGCAGCGGAGAGGTTCTATTATTCCCTTAACGTTTCTTTCTCAGTGTGGGGAAGGACGGTGTTTCGGGAGAAAACAGAAATCTCTACCCTTCCTCTCACCCTTTGTTAAATAAATGAGCTACAGGAGGTGTTCTGCTTTCCTGGTAACAAGGACACAGGCTTTGGAGCCAGACCTAACTTGGCTCTGCCACTTACTGGCTAGATGACCCTGGGCAAGTCCCTTCACCTCTAAGGCAAAAAAACACAAATGTCTACTTCTAAGAGTTATTTTGAGAATTATATCAGATCACATATGTAAAGGTCCTGACATAGAATAGGTCTTAAATGGGAATAATTATTTTATTTACAGGTTTGGGTGGGCTGGTCTGGGAAACTGACCACCTTTCCTAATGTTTCTGTGGGAAGATAACATTCTATTTTATTTTATTTTATTTTATTTTATTTATTCATTTATTGAGATGGAGTTTCGCTCTTGTTGCCCAGGCTGGAGTGCAATGGCGCCATCGCAGCTCGCCACAATCTCCGCCTCCTGGGCTCAAGCGATTCTCCTGCCTCAGCCTCCGGAGTAGCTGGGACTACAGGCATGCACCACCACGCCCGGCTAATTTTGTGTTATTAGTAGAGACGTGGTTTCTCCATGTTGGTCAGGCTGGTCTCGAACTCCCAACCTCAGGTGATCCTCGCCTCAGGTGATCACCTCAGCCTCTCAAAGTGCTGGGATTACAGACATGAGCCACTGCGCTCAGCTGGAAGATACATTCTAAACTGCTAACTTTCAGAGGCATTCTGGAGCATAACCCATCTAGAGAGTGAAGACCTGCACTTAAAATTAAGTGAATCAATCATTATATGTATAGTTTTGTTTATAGTATCCATCTGCTTAGCAAACCCTTCTTTCATAAGTACAAAGGGAAAATTCAGCTCACACCTCTCCAAAGAATGTCAAAGTCTCAATTAGTAAAGCCCAAATGGATGACCTGTTTTATTGATAGCTGGAGTCCAGCAGGACAAATCAGTGGCATCACCATGGCTAAGGGGAGTGGTCCTGGACTAGTCTGGACTAGAACTCTTGAACCTTGGGTCTGTTGACATTGTTGTCTCCTAACTCAGACTTTGCAAAACAGAGATGTGCAGGGTACTGCCAGGTACTGCCGATAGAAAGGAATGAATATACATCAGGAAAGGGCAGCAGACCTTAGACAGTGATTCTCAAAGTGTGGTCAGAACCGTTTGGCCAGAACCACGTAGAGTGCTTGTTAAGCATGCATATTCCTGGGTTCTACCCCAGTCCTCTCAATTGAAGTCTCCTGGGGGGTTGCTAATAATCTGCATGTTTAACAAGCGTCCAGAAAATCATTCTGTACACTATGAAGTTTGAGAACCCTGACTTAAGCTATGGTGTTGGAGGAGGGACGAAAAGGAAGGAAAGGATAAGTAGGGATTGACTCAGCCAGGCAGTCTGAGATATATCTCGGAGGGAAGAGACTTCTGTTTCTAGTAATATGGACAACAAAATAACAAAAAAAAAACCCACTATGAATCACCTGGAAATACTGGGTTAAATATTTAAAATATTCATGTAAATGCAGAGCTGAGCACAGAAAAAAGTAAGAAAAGTCCTCAGGTAACAAAATGAAGAGGGGATAGCCACAGTGGTACTCAACTCTGACAGCTGATTGAGGGGCAGGTGGTGTGTGACTGGCCTCCCTAGAGTAATGTAAGGTTTGAAGTTAGAGTTTTAATATCTGTGGGGATAGAAATGAGGACTGGCCAGCTGGAGGTTGGAGCTGAAACAGACTTCTGCATCAAGTCAGGACTATTATTTCTTTTGATTAGTGTCAGTATGAACAAAATTTAAAAATAAAAAATGGTCAGGAATATTAAAGGGCTTACCCTAAATAACAAGGTAGACAAGGAAAGGAAAATCATTCACTGGCACAGGAGATGACAATAGCTTCTCAGACTTAGTTAAGGCTCTGGGTAGAAAAACAAGAGTAGAGTCTCCCCTGAGAACCTGACGATAACACTGGTTTAATGTTAGGATTTATACTACCTGTGTGGTTTAGGAAACCCAAGTTCTGGGCCAGTGATACCCCTGGGGAGCCTGGTAGGGACAGAAACAAAACCTCTCTGGAGACACAAGACCTCAATTCAGATCACACAGGATCCACACAGAAAAAAAGCCTTAATGAAGAGGAATATATAATCAAAAATGACTAAATACTTGAGGAAATAATCTACAATGAGTGAGTATCCACAGACACAAAAAACAATTAGACTAGATCCCCAACAACTTCTAATAATGGAACTGTTGGCAAGAGACTATGAAATAAATGAGTTCAAAAGTTTTGAAGACGTAACAAAGAAAATGAAAGCATAAGACAAGAACAAGACACTACCTAAAAAGATCAGGTAGACTTGAAAACTAAATAGAACTTTAATAAGTGAAAGTGTTTTTATTGAAATTAAAATGTATTAATGGATAGATTAAACATCAGATTAGGCACCATGGAAGATAGACTTAATGGACAGGAAGACAGACCTAAGGAAATCATCCAGAATGCTGCCTACAGAAATACAAATACAGCAGTTGAGACCTGGATGTTAGAATGACAAGGTCCTGTATCTATCAAGTAAGATTCCATGAAAGATAGTGGCTGAAAATTTCCAAACTTGATGAAAGATGTGAAGCCTCAGATTCAGGAAACAGAATGAGTCTAACCAGGGTAAGTTTTTAAAAATCACAGTTTGGTTAGATCATTGTTTGGCTGCTGTAAGAAAGAACCTCAAATAACAATGGCTTAAACCAGGCTGATGTTTCTTTCTTTCTCATGTAACCTTCCAGACATAAGCAATCAAGCTCTAGGGTGATGGTCTCTGGATATTTGAAGATGGGTCATCTGATAGTCACATTCCAGCCCCTTCCCTTTAAGTTAGTGACTCGGAGGTTTCATACCTTTCTTCTGCTGATATGCCACTGGCCAGATCTTATTCACATGGTTATACCCAGCTACAAAGAAGGTTTGTACATTTCTACAAACAGAAATGTAGTCTTTATTCTGAATAACTATGCGCTCAGCTAAAAGTTGGGGGTTCTATTTATATGAGAAAGAAAGAGAGGATAGATAATAGGGAAAAACCAGCAGTCTTTAAGTCTAGACTAATAGGAGGGATAACAAATAGAAACAGAGTATTCATACCTCAAATCAGTAGAGAGAGGAAATGAAAAAAGGAAAGTCTATTAAATACAGATAGGGACAAGAAAATAATATATCAAAAAAAGGAGTAAACAGAAAGGACAAATGAAGTGGCAGAAATAAATCCAAATATATCTGTCACAGGGTGACATATATTGCAGCATTGATGTATGAAAATTTGGAAACATTCTAAATGTCCATCAACAGAGAGATGGATAAACATATTCAGTGTATTTGTACAGTGGAATACTACATTGCAATTAAAAATGAATCAAGTAGAACTACATTTGTAAGATCAGTAAATCTCAAAAATCAGCATTGAATAAAAAACATCTGAAGGATATATACAGCATCATACAGTTTATGTACTTCTAAAAACCTTCAAAGACAGTACTAATTGTTGTTTCTCATCCCAGATCCGTGCTCATGGATTTTATATATTTGGGAATAAGCATCTGATTTCAATTGAACAAAAGCTCTGCTGCTAAAAAAAAAAAAAAGTTGAAAACACTGTCTTAGATTACAACAGTTAGAACCATTTAATGGCTAACCTGGGGGTTGCAAAGTCAAATGCTTACAGGTAAGCTAGATAAGTGAAAAGAGCCAGGTGGATTCTGGGAGAACATGAGGGGACATGTTGAAGCCACTTATTGCCATAAGAAAATGTAACCCAGGTATTTTTACTATATACAAATGAGGTAAAAATATAAAAACAACCAAGTGTAGGGTCAACGCCGGGGGAAGGGGGTAAAATTGGAGAGAATTATGCAGGGCTTCAACTATATCTGTCATGGTCCATTTCTTAAAGACAAACATCAGAAGCAGATGTGACAAAAATTAAGGGTTGACGAAGCCGAATGGTGGATATATGGTTTTTTGGGATTTTTTTAAGACAAAGTGACAAGTGACAGGCAGATACATGTGTTTTTTGTTTTGTTTTTGTTTTTGTTTTTGTTTTTGAGACAAAGTTTCTCTCTTGTTGCCCCGGCTGGAGTGCAGTGGCCCATTGCAACCTCCCCATCCTGGGTTCAAGCGATTCTCCTGCCTTAGCCTCCCGAGTAGCTGGGATTACAGGCGCGCGCCACCACGCCCAGCTAATTTTGTATTTTTGGTAGAGATGGAGTTTCTCCATTTTGGTCAGGCTGGTCTTGAACTCCCAACCTTAGGTGATCCACCCGCCTCAGCCTCCCAAAGTGCTGGGATTGCAGGCGTGAGCCACCGTGCCCAGGCAGCAGACACATGTTTTTAAAAAATTATTCTCATCAGGCATGGTGATGCGTGCCTGTAGTCCCAGTGACTTAGAGGCCAAGGTAGGAGGATCGCTTGAGCCAAGGACTTTGAGGCTGCAGTGAGCTGTGATCACACTACACTCCAGCCTGGGTGACACAGCAAAATCCTGTCTCAAAGGATATATATATATTTTTTCTCTACATGTTTCTGTTTGCCTAAAGTATTTCATAATAAATGTTTTAGAGTGTGCCTGTCTACCCTATTCCTCAGGGGCCAACAGAGTGACTGGAAAGCCTTAACCACCTTATAAACACCATACCTTCTTTCTCTACAGCCCCTGGAGTCTGGGTAAACTGAACTTTCATAATATTGACACCTTCTTGTCTTCAAGTCTGTCTCTGATCCTCATGTAACCAGAATGTCTTCACATGGAAATGTTAGGGGTGCATAGTGTGATGAGTCAAGAAAGGGGAAAGGCATAGACACGGGAGGAACAACTGGGCATGTGGGAGGAAAGAGGGGAGAGACACAGATCTGGACTAGGGACCATGGGGTGGGAGACTTAAGAAAAGGGCTGGGACCTGAGTCCGACACTGGACCTCTTGGCAGGAAATCTTAAGGCCACAAACACCATGTTGGTCAATGTCAGGATTGTGTCTGTCCTCTGCAATCATCCCTAAACCAGTAAGACAGGTCCAGCAATTCATGAGATGCTTTCCCTAGCAGAGCCAAGACAAGTTATAGATCGCAGGAAGAGATGCCTTGGGTTTCTTAGGAGAGCTCCTGCTGGGGCCAAGAATCATGGCCAGTTGCTACACGCACTGGGAGGAGCCATGTCAGTTGAGTCTCTGGCCAGCCCTCCCACCCATCTGCTCCCCTACCTCTCTACCCAGCTGGCCCTGGGACATTACATGGGCTGATGACTGCAGGCTGCTCACTGCTGGCTATCCTGTAGGGTGAGCAAAGCCTGGGTGCTTCCCTGGGGGACCATCTCTGCTTAGGATCAGACCTGCCTGTGGGCTGCGGAGGCTTGGAAGAATGCCCTTCTTCCTACCTTGACACAGTCTACTTGCACCTGACTCCCTCGTACAAAATTGTCATTCTAGTCAGGGAATAATCTGTGCTAAAAAGAATTTTTTTAAAAAAGCAGAAACATCAAGGCTCTTAGATAATCCCTCACCTAAGGGAGAGAGAGCCGGATGAAGGGAGAGGAGAGTTGAGACTGTGCCTTTGCTGTTACACCTCTGGGTCTGGTGTGCTATTGCCATGGTCACCCAGCCTGCCTGGGCCACCCCATTCTGGAGCCAGGTTAGCCATGGGTTCCCTTTTCTTCCAGTAGAGGAGGCTGAGGGAGTGGCTGATGACTTGAGATTCACATCTCGCCCTGCTTTGCTCACATCATTTTCCCTAGCTGTCTTTCTTGGCCTGCTAGAGAAGCCACAAAGGCTATTCAGACCAATTTAAAAATTGATACTGTTCTGAGAGGCCACATAAATGGATATTAAAATGTGATTCTTCCTTGGACTTTTTCATTCTTGCTAAACCTGTTTCTCAGTTATCCTATCAGAAAAGTGGGAGCATAGTATCTATCCACAAAAGAGCTTTGTAGGAATTATCATTATGACTACATGGCATCAATATTAGAACTAATACAAGGTTTTTCTTTACTCCCTATCTGCTTCTTTATGCCAAAAGGGCTTTGAGGGTATTAATAAAAGAAGAAATAGGCCAGGAGTGGTGGCTTACACCTGTAATCCCAGCACTTTGGGAGGCCAAGGCGGGCAGATCACCTGAGGTCGGGAGTTTGAGACCAGCCTGACCAACATGGAGAAACCCCGTCTCTACTAAAAATACAAAATTAGCCAGGCATGGTGGTGCATGCCTGTAATCCCAGCTACTCTGGAGGCTGAGGCAGGAGAATCACTTGAAACCGGGAGGCAGAGGTTGCGGTGAGCCAAGATTGTGCCATTGCACTCCAGCTCGGGCGACAAGAGCAAAACTCTGTCTCAAAAAAAAAGAGAGAAGAAATAATGTGACAAAACATTATTCTTTTTGTAGCTTAAAAACTTCTAACTGAAGCAGCGTTTACCAAGTCCAGTTCCAGTGCAACCATGTGTACTTTCGCTCTGTCACAATCGCTTGCCAGTTTCACCAGCCAAGGTTTTGGAGTATAACTCAGTTTTTGATCTACCTACCAAAAATTTGTAGTTCAGAAATTTTTCTGAGTGGATAAATGGTTCTGTTTACTCCCCTTAAGCAAGAGAACAATGGATGTTGCTCCTTCCACCTCATATGGATTATACAGAGGCAGCAGTTCAGCTTAAGTGCCAGTTTCACAACATATGGGTAGCCCAGAAAAACATATCCTAAAATATCTCATACTTTGTGACAAGGCCAGGTACCATAAAAGGAGAATACAAGGATGAGTTGGAAGTATGTTGAAGTTTGCATAAAATCATCATGGAATGGGTCTTAGCAGGTCTTTGTGCTCACAGATCTGATTTGTTTTGGGAGAAGATGCCTTCTAGGGCTTTTATTCTGTGGGGTGTGTGTGCGTGTGTGTGTGTGTAAAAGAGATTTTTAATTTTTTTTTTTTTTTGAGACAGAGTCTCACTTTGTCACCTAGGCTGGAGTGCAATGGTGTGATCTCAGCTCACTGCAACCTCCGCCTCCCAGGTTCAAGAGATTCTCCTGCCTCAGCCTCCCGAGTAGCTGGGATTACAGGCACATGCCACCACGCCCAGCTAATTTTTGTATTTTTAGTAGCGACGGGGTTTCACCATGTTGGCCAGGCTGGTCTTGAACTCCAGACCTCAAGTGATCCGCCTGCCTCGGCCTCCCAAAGTGCTGGGATTACAGGTGTGAGCCACTGCTCCCGGCCTTAAATTGCTTTTCTAACCCTCTATTTTTATTATAAGGCTGCCCTCCTGCTCACCATAGTATTTCTCAGGAACCATGTATGGATGAGTTCTGTAGTGCTCGTGAACCATTTGAGAAGGGGTGCTGATGGGGCTACGGCTCCAGGCTGCATCCCTGAAGGAGTCAGCTTTGTTTTGCATTCTGTGGCCAGGCTACTGTTTCTTACAGTGTGGTCTGTGGACCACCACCTTCATCCACAAGCGCTTTCTTTATAAGCACTTTCTGGAGCTATGTCTCTGACTTGCTAAAGAAAAGCTCTGTGGGCAGAGCCCAAGAATCTGCATGATGACAAAGCCCACATGTGATTCTTACGCCCTTGAAAGTCTCTCCTGCAACTAACCTCTGCCATGGCCTTACCCCGGGCCCCATTCACCTGTCTTTCTAGTGGATCCCTGGAGCCCCATGTGGCCCAGAGAGGTTCTGGGGTTGTGGGGTACAGTGGAGCCCACAGACAAGACTTGGAGCCCTTTCTCTTCCCAGCTCCGTATTTGTGTATTTTATGTATTTGGAAATAAGCATATGATTTTAATTGAACAAAAGATCTGTTGCTAAAAAAAAAAAAAATTGAAAACCATTGTCTTTATATTTTTTATTTTTTGAGGCAAAGTCTCACTCTGTTGCCCAAGCTGGAGTGCAGTGGCACCATCTCAGCTCACTGCTACCTCTGCCCCCGAGGCTCAAGCAATCCTCCCACCTTAGCCTCCTAAGTAGGTGGGACCACAGTTGCACACCAACATGCCTGGCTGATTTTTGTATTTTTAGTAGAGACAAGGTTTCAACATGTTGTCCAGGCTGGTCTCCAAGTCCTGAGCTCAAGTGATCCATCCGCCTCGGCCTCCCAAAGTGTTTGGATTACAGGCGTGCACCACCGCGCCCAGCCAAAACAATTGTCTTTGATAACAAGAGTTAGAACAATTTAATGGCTAAAACTGGGGGTTGCAAACTCAAATGTTTGCAGTTAATTTACATAGATGAGACAATGAAGAGAGTGAGAGGTTCTAGGAAAACGTGAGGGGAAGGGCTAAAGCCACTTACTGCTATAGAAAATAGAAAATATAATGCTAGTGTGGCCAGATCTTTTGATTTTTTAAGAGAAGATGGAAACAAGATGTATATGGAATCTGGATTTTTATGTGACATGTGAGATTTGGATGTGAGAGGCAGTGTAGTATAGTGGCTGACAGAATGTACTCTGGAGCCAGTCTACTTGAGTTTGAATTCTGGCTTTGAATCTTAGTAACTGTGTGACCTTAGGCAAGTTACCTTACCTCTCTGTTTTAGTTTCCTGATCCACACAATAGAGATACTAACAGTACCTGCCTTCTGGGGTTGTTAAGAAATGTAAATGAGTTAATGCATGTACAGTGCTTATGACAGTGGCCCTGTTTAGCTACATAAGTGTAGCCTAAATATCCTACATGTATATACACACAGCCCTACACAGACCAAGTGGTCCTGTTTAGCTATATACATATAAGCTAAATGCCCACAACACAGTGTGAGTCTTATAGGACACTCTTTAAATTAATAGTGGGCAACCTCTGGCTTAAACCCATTCTTTCTGTAGGTGAATCCTAAGTAGTCCGATCATATAATCTATCACCTAAAGCAGGACACTCTGGAGAGAAAGTGAAAGGAGGCTGTATTACTAGTCATGCTGAGACAACAGGTGAGCATCACACTGTCCCGGCCAAACTGGTCTCCCTGCTCCTAAGTGCCATCTTTGTATAGGACAAAAGCCAACAAGCAGCTTTTACCTATAAATTTCTGAATGCCAAGCCATGCACATGTACTTTACATGGGGCAGCTTGTGGAATCTTCACAACGATCCTAGGAGGTGTCATTATTATTATATATATATATTTTTTACTGATGAGGAAACTGAGGCACAGAGAGGTTAAGGAATTTGTCTAAAGCCACACTGTGGTGGAGTCAGTGAGGTTCCACTGCCTTACCTCTTAGCTGTGCCATTCTCTCCCGTGGGTGCAAGGCAGCGGTAATAATGTTGAACCTTTCACGCCTGTAATCCCAGGACTTAGGGAGGCCGAGGCAGGCGAATCACATGAGGCCAGGAGTTTGAGACCAGCCTGACCAGCATGGAGAAACCCCATCTCTACTAAAAATACCAAAATTAGCCAGGCGTGGTGGTGCACGTTTGTAATCACAGATACTTGGGAGATCGAGAATCGCTTGAACCTGGGAGGCGGAGGTTACAGTGAGCTGGGATTGGCCACTCCAGCCTGGGCGACACAGTGAGATTCTGTCTAAAAAAAAAAAAGAATGTTGAACCCTTTTCTCAAAGGGATCATTGAGACCCGGGATGGTGTGGCTCTTGGCTCAGGCCACTGCTCGGCACAGCAGGACTGTGCTGGGAGTACAGGAGAGTCCCAGGTGCTCCTGCCACTGTGGGCTGGTATTTCACAGCATCTCACAGCGTGTGACAAGGAGCTGTACACTTGGGGGTTAAATACCAGATTGGTGCCAAGTGCACTTCATCAGGTTGCTGCAGCCAGTTCTAGGGCAGCTTATGTGTCTTATGTGCAGCTGGTGAAAGTAGATCCCTGTCAGCCACCTAAACCTGACACCTCCTTGGCTGGCGTGTTACCCCAGACCCACACACTGAAAGGACAGCTGAGGACATGGTCCTAGAGGACCCTGGAACAGCCAAATAAGGGTTCTATAGCACCAGCTTTGCAGAGCTCCAGGTGTGGCCTTTAAGCAAAGGTGAAGAAGAAAGATCTGCCCTCGTGAAAAGTGTTGATGCTGGGGCTAAAGTGTTCAGACATTAGTTTTAGAGAAAAAAGAATACTGCAACATAAAAGTGAATATGAAATGCTTTGAGTGTCAAGTGTCCTTGCAGGGTGGATAAGAAGGACTGGCTGGGTGCGGTGGCTCACGCCTGTAATTCCAGCCCTTTGGGAGGCCGAGGTGGGCGGATCACGAGGTCAGGAGATCGAGACCATCTTGGCTAACACGGTGAAACCCCGTCTCTTCTAAAAATATAAAAAATTAGCTGGGCGTGGTGGCGGGTGCCTGTAGTCCCAGCTACTCGGGAGGCTAAGGCAGGAGAATGGCGGGAACCCGGGAGGCGGAGCTTGCAGTGAGCCGAGATCGCACCACTGCACTCCAGCCTGGGCGACAGAGCAAGACTCTGTCTCAAAAAAAAAAAACAAAAACAAAAAGAAGGACTGGGAGGGTCGGCAGTAATGAGGACCACCTGGCAGTGACAGAGGGTGACCCAGGGCTGGGAGGATACCCCAGGGGAGACCCCAGGCTCTGAAAAGTGCCTTGCCATTCAATCTACTTCAGTAATAGCATGTGCATGGGATAGATAATAAAATCCGGAGGGGAAAAAATGCTCGCTGTGTTGTCAATAACAGAGCGATTTCTGGTTCTGACCAATGTCATTGACTTATCACTCTTGACCCAAATGGAAATGCCTCCATGAGAGGTAAGACCCAAGTTTATCCTTTACTCCACCTTGGTCTCCATTTGCAAAAGAGCAAGACAAGTTTTTCCATCAGATGAAGTCAGAAAATATCAGCCAATCGTTTCAGAATGTCACAAATATGAATTATCATTTCTAATGGAAAGCCTATGCCTTCTTCTGAGCTACAGAGCAGATTAGTTAGGTCTCAGTAGTCCTGCTGAAGTGCAACCTAGGAAACTTATTGAGGGACCAGGGCCTTCCCGTTCAGTATTTCATTTTATTCTTGAAAAAGAAAATGCTCCTCATCATTGCATTCATTAGATTATTTCTGTGTGGGTAAAAAAAAAACCCCAAAACCCAACTCTGTCTGGCTTAAGCAAAGGGGATTTATTAGAAGGATCCTGGGGCAGCTCACAGAACTGAAGGAACTATCCAGCAATCATGACTTGGTGAGGTTTGTGCACCTTCTCCAGGGCACCTCCCTGGCTCCAGCCTCTGATCTCTTGATTCCAGATTCCTGGAGAGAGAGAATCTGGCTGGTCCAGTTAGGTCTGGTGTCAAAGAGGGAAGGGTTATGCAGTACCAACACTGGGGGCCACCACTATGTATCAACCAACCCCCCACCACCAAGGAGAATTCCTTTTGCACTGGGCAACCACCCCTATAAACATAATATTGATTTATGCTGTGCTGTTATCTGCCCCGTGGCTGCATGGCAACTGTGTGAAGGTCAAGGAACTCCTCTGGGACAGGCCTGAGGACTGTTTGACTTAGGACAGTCCATCTGGCTCAAACCGATGCCTGAAACTGACCAGAACCAACCCACCCACTCAGCTTCCATCTAGAGGTTTCAGTAGTGTTACCGCAAGAGAGGAAGGAAAGAAGGGATGTGGGTATCCTTGGCTTGAACACGTGAATGCCTGTCAGAGGGGGCCCTATCCATGGGAGCACCAGGGCATTTTTGTCCCATATGGGTTGTAAGTCTTGAGTTTTACTTGGGATCTTCGGATGAGCATAACTCTAACTCTCTGTCCAAGGGAATGTGCCCCGAAAGCATCTGTGTCTCCCCAGTCCCAGAAAGGAGAAAAAAATGGATGAGGGAAGGCCACCCTGAGCAAAGAGATCCCCCAGGTTCCCAAATATGAACTACTGCTTCCATGTAACTTTCCTCTCACTGTCTAGCAGCAGGCTGGGGGGTCCTGCTCATCTACCTTTTAATTAAGGAAAGCAGAATTTCAGCTGAGAGATTGGGAAAGAGAGAAGGATTGATCAGTTCACTGGTAAATATCAGCTAGGGTCCAGGCTGAAGGGAGAAGGTTGAGTAGCCAGAGAAGAGGCCAAATCCTTAGAGAGGAGGTTGGGCTGGAACTTGGGAAGTGAGGGGCACTGGGCCTGTCCAGCCTCGTGGAAGGCGTGGCTGGGATGCAACGCCTCTGGGACATGTATGATGCATATGTGTTACTCTGGGACAAGGCAGGCTGGGGAAGGAAGCAGCAGCCCCAGCTAGGCTTGGCACATGGTGTTAGACATGAGAGCGGGATGCATGAATTTGCTCTGCTTCTGCGGGTCCTCCATGTGATGATGTCCAATTGGGCAGCACACGGTGGTGCCCTGGCAGGGGAAGAATGGGAGCTGACATCTAACGCACACTTCACTTGCCAAGCCATGAGCTTGAGAAGCTGCAAAGAGATGCCATGTAGGCTGTGGGCTCGTGAGCAGCTCTTTAGTCTTCAGCTTAGGTCTGGTCCCTGAAGAGCCTCCACGTACAAGAACTTCAGTCCCTTTGCTTGGGCCACTTGGTGTAATATCCAGAATTTCCATGCTCCTCAGCCTTGAGTGACATGCCTCTACTGGCAGCAAGACAGAATTTTTACTTTTTTAAATTTTTTTTTGAGACAGGACCTTGCTGTGTCACCCAGGCTGGAGTGCAGTGGTGCCATCTCAGCTCACTACAGCTTCAACCTCCCAGGCTCAAGTGATCCGCCTGCCTCAGCCTCCTGAGTAGCTGGGACTACAGGCGCACACCGCCACGCTCAGCTAATTAAAAAAGAAAAATTTTAGTAGAGATGAGGTCTTGATATGTTGCCCAGGCTGGTCTTGAACTCCAGGGCTCAAGTGATCTTCCCGCCTTAGGCTTCCAAAGTGCTGGGATTACAGGCATGAGCCACTGTGACCAGCTCGCAAGATAGAATTTTGAAAAATGTATCTTGAGCCTCTCTTTCTCTTTCTAGTTCTTTAAGATTCAAGAAATCAAATAAGGTGATAGCCCTGAAGCCCTTACAGGCAGAGGTGCCCTCGACTGTGGGTGAGGAGGTATTCATCCCCAACCAGTGAGATATTCTGAGTGGGGAGAAGTGTTTTCTATCGATGACACAGGGTGGGCCCTATGGGAGCAGCAGCATGGCCCCACCTTCGACCCAATGCTGAGAGGAAAGGGGCCTCAGGAAGGGGAGACTGAAGCCAGGACAGGGTGGGATGCTCAGGAAGAATGACAGTGGAGCTGCTGCCCTCCCCGGACACCCTCCATCAGGACAAAAGAGCTGGGCCTCCACTCCCTCAGTAGAGAGGACAGCAGCCACGGGCTCTTCACCTGCCCCATGAACTCAGGATTAGGGAGCTGAGAGTTGCCTTGAAAATCCTTACCCTGACACTCTCGAGCCACTTGAGATGGGCACTTGAAGTCTGGCCTGTGTGCAGTGTGTGCACAGTTCTCTAAAGTGGCCTTGATGCCGTGTTCACAGTAGGGACATGGCACCTACATCTCCCCTTTCTCTCTGGCCAAGCAGATGCAGGAGCTGGAGCAGAGGCTGCTGGAGGCAGAGCAGAGAGCAGAGAACGCTGAGACCCAGGTAACCAGGGGAGGGGATCGGCGGGAATATGCAGGGGAATGACCGTCGGCCCTTCCAGGCCCTTCCCACGGACACAGGTGGACACATACATCACCAGCAGTACTGTGTTATACCTGAACAAATGAGTGTGCGTGGAGCTTTCTGTGGGAGTAGAGTCTCTGGGTAAAGATCAGTGTAGCAAGTGGGCATAGTAGTCCAAATAGGCTAGACTATGCTGTGGTAACAAATTAAGTCTGAAGTCTCAGTGGTTTATCACATTTAGTTCTCACTCGTGGAACCTGTCCATTGAGGGTTAGCCAGTGATTCCGCTTCCACAGTCACTCAGGAATCCAGGTTAAAGGAGGCTTGCCTATCTTATAGCTGGACCACTTGGAATGCGCAGCCTTCTTGGTTGCCATGGCAAGGAAAGAAAGCTGGATGTATTTTTTATTAGAGATGGGGTCTTGCTATGTTGCCCAGGCTGGTCTCAAACTGCTGGGCTCAAGCTATCCACCTACCTCAGCCTCCCAAAGTGCTGAGATTACAGGCGTGAGCCACTGTGCCTAGCCTTATTTATTTATTTTATTTTTTAAATAGAGACAGGATCTCACTATTTGCCCAGGCTGGTCTTGAACTCCTGGGGTTTAAGCAGTCCTCCTGCCTCAACCTCCCAAAGTGCTGGGATTACAGGTATGAGCCACCACACCCACCCTGCACCAGCTTTTAAATACTTAAGCCCAGCGGGGTGTGACGGTATGCACCTATGGTCCCAGCTACTTGGGAGGCTGAGGCGAGAGGATCTCTTGACATCAGGAGTTTGAATCTAGCCTGGGCAATATAGCAAGATCTTATCTGTTTTAAAAAAATTTTAAATAAATATATACATACATACATACTTGAGTCTAGAAATGATGCACCATTTCCACTTGGACCCCATTGGTTGGATCAATGACATGGCTCCATCTAGCTGCAGAAGGGTTGAGAAATATGGGTCAGCACATGGCTGTCCAGTGAACAGTAAATATCTCTACCACGGTGGGGTTGGGACAGTTGCTCTCCTAGGCTGTTTGTCCTGCCCAACTCATTCCTCCTGGGATCCACAGAGGTCAATGGCACAAGACCCAGCTGCTTTTTCCACTTATCGTCTCCTCTGCCCTCCTCTTACCTATCTCTCCATTACTAACTATGACCTAGAGTGGCCAAAATGAGTTTCTTCTTTGTCAGTCCTTCTTTTGCTCAGATTGGAACTTAATTGAATTAATTGGCTCAGACTGCCCTGGGTAAGGGCTGTGCCTGGGAGTCACAGCCTGGGGCATCAGACGGTGTCCCATCCCACGTTACTGGCCACTGCACACCCCGTGTGAGTGATGGGAAGACACTATGAGATCATTGTACTTTTCAGGTGGGTGTCATGGAAGAGAAGGTAAAACTATCCAATCTGAAGAATGTGGACTCTGAGGGGAGCCTGCACCGGAAATACCAAGAATTGCTGAAAGCCATAAAGGGCAAAGATGAGCTCATCAGCCAGCTAGAGGCTCAGCTGGAGAAGCAGGTAAGGGCTCATGCGCAAGGGAGCACCATGCCCTCTTCGACATCTGTACTGCTGGCCCCCAGCTTCCTGAGCTGTTCCGCTCAAGCCCTCTAGTGCTGGGGAACTCGCTCCCTCCTGAGCCTATTCTTTTATGTGAAAATTTAATTATAGGAAGGACTGTTCCTCCCACATCTGCTCATTAGAAGCCAGGCAGGGGATAGAGTAGAAAAAGGAGCTTGGAGGCAGACTGATCTGGGTGTGAAGCCCACCTCTAGCACCTGCTGCCTCTGACAGTGGGCAAAGTGTTTAAGTCACTGATTCTTATTTTACACATTTATAAAAGAAGGGTGGAAACACCTCATAGAGCTGCTGGGAGAGGCAACCTATGTGACCTGTGCCTAGTGTCAGGCACGTGGTCAGTACTTGGTAAGGAGAACTTTTCTTTCTCCATTCTGGCCTTGTCGTGCCCTGCCAAGATGAGATACTTGATACTTGGCTGTAGTATGATCAGAGCTGCACAGAGCTGGATGGTCAGTCGTGGCCAGCTGGTTGCCCAAAGTTTCTTAGTGAAGCTGAAGAGGCAGAGACCAAAGTTGTTGCCTCCTCAGAAAACCAGGGTCTTCCCTTCTGAGCACATGGGAGCCCAGGAGAGGCCACTGCCCAGCATTTCAGCTCCACTTGGCACCTTTGCTCCTGAGAGGACTTCTGGAACATCTACCTGCCAGTTCCTGTGTCCTGCCTTCTCCCCTTCACAATCTCACCAACTCCATCCCAGTTCTGTCCCTTTCCTCTGCCACTGGCCTTACCTACCCAGCTTTCCCCTCGTGCCAGAATGCCATCATTTCCAACTAAACACCCCACAGTCTGGACAGATGACTTTTAATTTCCTACACATGCCTTCTCCATGTAGGAGAAGCCGATCCTGGTGGTGCCTTCCAACCATAATGGGCAGATTCATGTTTACCCATCAGCATTAACCCAATAGGCCCTTAATGGAGGTGCCTTTGTATGCTGTGGGGTACCATGTGCTCCTGAAAATTGATGGAAGAATAGAATTTTGACACATGGAATCTCTGATCAATTCTTCCATTGATTTTAGACATACCTTCTCTTCTGAGTAGCTCATAGTTAGAAGTGGCAGCATCTTGGGGGTTGGTGGACAAAATGACTCCTGCTAAAGCTCCTTAGGTCAGAAAAAAGGTCATTTTACAATTGGAATCAGTAGGTCAATCTCATAAAAGAAAAGGCACTGTTTTGTGAGTCAAGAGACCTGGTTTTAGTCCCAGCTGTGCCATGAATGGACAGAGGCAAGTCACTTCTTGCCATAGCCTTAGTTGCCACAGAAGCACAAAGACAATATCAAACCAGGTCAGGGTTGGCCGACTTTTTCTGTAAAGTCCAGGTAGTAACTATTTTATGTTTTGTGGGCCACAGGTCTCTGTTGCAACTGGTCAAAGCTGCTGTTGTAACATGGAAGCAGCCACAGATAATACGTAAATGAATGAGCATGGCTGTATTACAATGCAACTTTATTTACAAAAACAGGTCTGGGTGGGGGCAAGCAGGTGGAGGACTGGATGTGGCCTGAAGGCCATTGTTTGCCACACCTTAAACTAGATGACCTTTAAGGTCCTTCCAGCTCTGAAATACTGAGAGTCTGACGTTGTCTGATGCTGGGATTATAGGCATGAGCCACCATGCCCAGCCAGGCTGCTCCTCTTCAGATGCCAACCTTTTCAATCATCTCCTCTTTTGACTACTTTGATGGAAATACCTCAGTTATCTGCAATTTTGCCTTATTTTTTTGTTTTTTAACTATAAAGGTAACACATGCTTATAGTTAAAAATAAAAAAACGGCCAGAGGAGTATAAAATGACAAGTCACCTCTCTCTCCCTCCCCAGTCCTTGATTTCTACTCCTCACTATTAACTTTGCTTGCATATGGAGGCACAGCGTTCTCCTTCCATGTCAGGGATATGCCGCGTTTATTCAGCCAACCCCTTCGTGGTGAACACTTAGACTATTTCCAGTTTTGAGTTTTTAAATTTTGTGTTACCTTATCAAATAATATTTCAACAAACGATTTCTGCTCACTGGCTTTGCGAGGTCAGTGGCACGCACACTTGGCCTTTCTTGGGGTTTCCCACCTCCAGTCAGTCACTCTCCTGGTGATTGTTGGGATTAACGGAAGGCCCTCTCTTTCTTGCAGAAGCAGATGAGGGCAGAGGAAGCAAAAACTGTTCAAGAAAAAGCTGCAAAGATCAAGGAATGGGTGACACTCAAGTTGGCAAAGGTGGGTTGGAAACTCATCTTGGAGGCCTGCCAGAGGCATGGCTGGGCCTGCCCTGACCCCCGGAGTTTCCTGCCCCCTACTGTCTAGGGTGCCTCGGCTGACCTTCATTCTGTCCAGCACTTGTTTTGCATTCAGCCTCCATGCTGAGACACCGTAGTTCACTTCCCCTTTCCTTTTGTCTTGGTTGGGTCTCCCTGGAGCTCCTGACTAGCTTGGTGCTGGATTTAAGTTTGCGAGAAGGAATGTGTCTCACTTCTGAAAAGCCCCCTCAGTTTCTTTCTAGGAAGCCCACACAGGCCAGTGTCCACTCTCTCCACTTTCTCTTTTATTTTTATTTATTTATTTATTTATTGGAGACAGAGTCTCGCTCTCTCGCCCAGGCTGGAGTGTAGTGGCGCAATCTCGGCTTACCGCAACCTCCGCCTCCCGGGTTCAACCGATTCTCGTGCCTCAGCCTCCCTGAGTAGCTGGGGTTACAGGCACGCACCACCATGCCCAGCTAATTTTTGTATTTTTAGTAGAGACAGGTTTCACCATGTTGGCCAGGCTGGTCTCGAACTCCTGACCTCAGGTGATTCACCCACCTCGGCCTCCCAAAGTGCTGGGATTAAAGGAGGGAACCACCGTGCCCTGCTACTTTCTCTTCCATCCTCTTCATTCTTTTTAACTATTTGTGTGTGTGTGGTAAAATATACATAAAATGTACCATTTAAGTGTACAATTCAGCAATTCAGTGGCATTAAGTACATTCACAGTGTTGTGCAGCCATCACTGCTATCTATGTCTAAAATTTTTCCAAACAGAAACTCTGTACCTGCTAAACACTAACTTCCCATTCTCTCTTCCCCCATCGCCTGGTAACCTCTATTCCACCTTCCCTCTCTATCTATCCATTTTTGTAGTTTATCACGTGCTGTACCTTTATTTAGGAAACTCAGGACTTGAAGCTACAGTGCTATCACCAACAGACAGAAAACAACCTCCTTCTAAATAAAAGGAGTGGGAATTGCAGTTTGGAAAAGGATGAACATATATCTTTTTTTTTTTTTTTTTTTTGAGACGGAGTCTCGCTCTTGTTTCCCAGGCTGGAGTGCAATGGCACAATATCGGCTCTCTGCAACCTCTGCCTCCTGGGTTCAAGCAATTCTCCTGCCTCAGCCTCCTGAGTAGCTGGGATTACAGGCACACGCCACCACGCCTGGCTAATTTTTGTACTTTTGGTAGAGACGGGGTTTCGTTATGTTGGCCAGGCTAGTCTTGAACTCCTGACCTCAGGTGATCTGCCCGCCTCAGCCTCCCAAAGTGCTAGGATTACGGGTGTGAGCCACCACACCCGGCTGACAAACATACATCTTTTCCTCTGTCCTCACACAAGTGGTTCACACCTGCAGGAGGGTATCAGCTCATTTGGCCTCCTATCCCCTTCTTTGGATGTACATCTCAGGTCACCTGCTAGACTGCAAGTTCTTGGAGACAGAACTGATGCCTGGCTTACCTGCGTATTCTCACAGTCCCAACCCTTGCTAAAAGATACTCAATAAAAGTGTGTTGGACTTAATTTAAAGGAAAATGCAGGCTGGGGGCAGTGGCTCACACCTGTAGTCCCAGCAGCACTTTGGGAGACCTAGGCGGGTGGATTGCTCGACACTAGGAGTTTGAGACCAACCTGGCCAACATGGCAAATCTCTGTCTCTACAAAAAATACAAAAATTAGCCGGGCATAGTGGCGTGCACCTGTAGTCCCAGCTACTCGGGAGGCTGAGGTGGGAGGCTAAGGTGGGAGGATGGTTTGAGCCCTGGTGGCAGAGGTTGCAGTGAGCCAAGATTGCACCACTGCACTCCAGCCTGGGTGATAGAGCCAGACCTTGTCTCAGAAAAGAAAAGAATATGCAGCAGCCACGCTCAGTGGCACATGCCTGTAATCCCAGCACTCTGGGAGGCTGAGGTGGGCAGATCGTTTGAGTCCAGGAATTTGGGACCAGCCTGGGCAACATAGCGAGAGCTTGTCTCTACAAAAAAATAAACGAAATTAACTGGGCCTGGTGGTGTGTGTCTATGGTCCCAGCTACTCAGGAGGCTGAGGTGGGAGGATCAGTTGGGCCTGGGAGGTCAAGGCTGCAGTGAGCCAAAATTGCTCCACTGCAATTCAGTCTGGCCAACAGAGCAAGACCCTGTCTCAAAAAAAAAAAAAAAAAGAATTGAAAAAATACATCTAAACCTGTAGGCTGGGTGTCCTAAATCTTCATTTTTCTTTTTGCTCAGCTTGAGATGGAGAATCAGCATCTGAAAAGCCATAATCAGCGCCTGGTGGAGCAGGTGGGATCCCTTCAAGATGCGCTAGAAGGTAGGCAGGCCAGGGTGTGCAGGTGTGCAGTACGTGTGTTTGGTGGGTATGGGGCTGAGCTACGGGAGCTCTCAATGTGACTGTTTTTACCCGAATCACAGCTATTCAGATAGCTCCTTCACGGAAGCTGCTGGTGCCCCCCTACGGAGCTGCAGAGCAGGATTCTGTCCCTTCAGAGCCGGGAATCCAGCCTATGGGCCAGGACAGTGGCTCCCAGGCCCAGGGTCTGAAGGCAGCTGTGCTTGCACCTTCCCCAGGTGCCCTGCAGAGCAAGGACTCTGTTTCTGAAGCAGCAAGCCCCTTGGAGGATTCTAGTTCCAGCACGGTCCATTCTGGGGAAACAGTAGAGGCCAAGCCCCTTCAACCTCATCTGGGAAGAGAGAGCCCTCCCCACCAGCCATGCATGAAGCTTCTTACCTTCAGATGTAGTTCAGCTTCCTGGGGTGAGGGTCTGGTTACTGCTCAGAGAGGGATGCTCCCTGGGACAAAGACCTCTGCCAGGGAAGGTGGTCCTGGCAGCAGTCTGACCCTACCAAAGGTGCGGGCTCCTGGCACCCCGCGGGACAGCATCCAGTTGGCCAAAAGGCACCACAGCCAGCCCCAGGTGGGCCATGGGCACTTTGGCCGTGTGGTGAACATTGAGACTGAGGCCTTCTCAGCCCTCCACCCCTCTGGCCTTCCTGAGCTGGAGTCCCGAGCTAGGTCCCGGGAGGAACCAGAGAAGATGGAGATGGAGGAGCCACCCCCAGCAGGGAAGAATGAGGAAAGAGAGAGCCCAAAGGCCCTTGGAGCTGAGCTGGAGGAAGTGGAGCTGGGTAACAAGCCACCTACACCCCCGCTGCACCAGTTTTCATCCTGGGTAAGAGGCAACCTCCGGGCTGGGCAGAGGAGCAGAGCTAATGGCAAGAACACTGCTGGCTGAGCACAGCCATGCACTGAGCAGGAGAGGAGGCTGCTGGCATCCTCATGGTGGCCCTGGCAGGCAGGTACCATGGAGCCTGTGCAGACCACACAACCAGTGAGGGTCAGCGCCAGAATTCAGAATGATGTGAATGGCGGTTGGCTGTCATTTCCTGAGTGCTCACCGTGCACCATACATTGAGCTGGGTGCCCTGCATACCTTTTCTCATTTAATCTTTGTGAGTCTTTCAGGTGGTCTGGTATGATGGTCAAGAGCATAGGCCCCAGAAGCAAACCACTAGGGTTGAACTGTTAACTACGTGACCTTGGACATGTTACTGAACCTCTGTGCCTCAGCTTCCCTGTCTATAAAATGGGGATAATAGTACCTACTTTATAGGGTTGTTGTGAAAGTACTTACAGTAGTGGTTCACAGTAGGTGGTAGGTAAGTGTTGGCTATTTTTCTTTCTTTGTTTTTCTTTTTCTTTTCTTTTTTTTGGGGGGTGGGGGTGAGGGGGCAGAGTTTCACTCTTACTGCCCAGGCTGGAGTGCAATAGCATGATCTTGGCTCACTGTAACCTCTGCCTCCTGGGTTCAATCAATTCTCCCGCCTCAGCCTCCCAAGTAGCTGGGATTACAGGCATGCACCACCACGCCCAGCTAATTTTGTATTTTTAGTAGAGGCAGGGTTTCACCATGTTGGTCAGGCTGGCCTCAAACTCCTGACCTCAGGTGATCCACCCTCTTGGGCCTCCCAAAGTGCTGGGATTGTAAGTATGAGCCACTGAGCCTGGCTTTTTTTTTTTTTTTTTTTCGAGACAGAGTCTTGCTCTGTCACCCAGGCTGAAGTGCAGTAGCACGGTCTCGGCTCACTGCAACCTCCGCCTCCCAGGTTCAAGTGGTACTCCCACCTCAGCCTCCCAAGTAGCTGGAATTACAGGTGTGTGCCACCATGCCCGGCTAACTGTTTTTTTTTTTTTTCTGAGACAGAGTCTTGCTCTGTTGCCCAGGCTGGAGTGCAGTGGCACAATCTCAGCTCACTGGAAGCTCTGCCTCCCAGTTTCACGCCATTTTCCTGCCTCAGCCTCCCAAGTAGCTGGGACCACAGGCACCTGCCACCACGCCCGGCCAATTTTTTGTATTTTTAGTAGAGACGGGGTTTCACCATGTTAGCCAGGATGGTCTCGATCTCCTGACCTCGTGATCCGCCCGCCTCAGCCTCCCAAAGTGTAATTTTTATATTTTTAGTAGAGTCGGGGTTTCACCATGTTGGCCAGGCTAGTCTCAAAGTCCTGACCTCAAGTGATTCACCTGCCTAGGCCTCTCAATGTGCTGGGATTATAGGCAACTGCGCCAGGCCAGCTTCCTTACTTGTAACATTGGATAAAATGTCTTGATATCTGTCTGGTAGAAATACTTCAGAAGCAATGATCTGGTTGGTGGCCAAGGGTGGGGACACAGATGAAGCATGACTGGCCACACATCATTAACCTTTGCCAAGCTGGGCGATGGGCACGTGAGATCATTCTTTTTTTAACTGAGACAGGGTTTTACTCTGTCGCCCAGGCTGGAGTGCAGTGGCGCAATATTGGCTCACTGCAACCTCTGCCTCCTGGGCTCAAGCAATCCTCCTACTTCAGCCTTCTAAGTAGCTGGGACTACAGGCATGCACCACCATGCCTGGCTAATTTTTGTATTTTTAGTAGAGACAGGGTTTCACTATGTTGGCCAGGCTGACATTTTTTTTTTCTTTTCCTTTTTTTTTTTTGAGACAGAGTCTTGCTCAGTCTTGCCCAGGCTGGAGTGCAATGGTGCAATCATGGCTCACTGCAGCCTCAACTTCCCGGGCTCAAGCAATTCTCCCACCTCAGCCTCCCGAGTAGCTGGCACTACAGGCATGCACCACCATGCCCAGCTATTTTTTAATTTTTTGTGGAGATGGGCTAACACTATGCTGTTGCCCTGGCTGGTCTCGAACTCCCAGGCTCAGGTGGTCCTCCCACCTTGACCTCCCAAAGTGCTGGGATTACGGGTGTGAGCCACTGTGTCTGGCCCTGTACCTGACATTTTCCATGATAAAAAGTTAAAATAAAAATGAGACAGGCTATAAAAATGACATTTCACAGGTCACTAGTGAAAATGGCATGTGGGTATTAAGGGCTTCGCACGGAGCCTGTGGGAAGGGCTCCTTTCCTTGCAAGGAGTAAGGTGTGGTTTCTCCCTTTTACAGGTCAGGAAACCACTGTTCCCCACAGACTTAGGTACTTGCCCAAGGTCATGTAGTAGTTAGTGAGGGAGCCAGGCTTTATTTATTTATTTACTTGAGAGACGGTGTCTTGCTCTGTCACTCAGGCTGGAGTGCAGTGGCACAATCACAGTCCACTGCAGCCTTGTACTCCTGGACTCAAGGGATCTTTCCACCCCAGCCTTCTGAGCAGCTGGGACTACAGGTGCACACCACCACACCTGGCTAATTTTTTAAATTTTTTGTAGGGATGGAGTATCCCTATGTTGCCCAGGCTAGTCTCAAACTCCTGGCCTCAAGTGATCCTCCTTTGTCAGCCATAAGAGCCACCTTACCCGGTCTGAGAGCCAGGCTTTAAATGTAGTTCCAGCTGCTTTGAAGCCCAGCTCTCACATTCCAGCTGTACTTCCTCTTAAGGGACATTGCCAGAGCTAAGGTCAGTCTTTGATTCATGGGCAGACATCCCCTCCACAGATGCTGCTGGGGTGTGTAGCAGTACCATGGGGGACAGCTAAGCGTTGGCTCCTGGCAGCAGGAGGAATGAGGTCACTTGGGAGAGGGGGTGACATCAGGGTGGACTCACCCCACACCACTGCTCGGGAGACCTGTATTTCCAGCAGTAACTCCCAGGGCCTCCTTTTGAAATGCTGGTTCAAATCCGGGCTCAGTAGCTTATGCCTGTAATCCCAGCACTTTGGGAGGCTGAGGCAGGCAGATCACTTGAGGTCAGGAGTTCGAGACCAGCCTGGCCAACATGGCGAAACCCCATCTCTACTAAAAATACAAAAATTATTTGGGCATGGTGGTGCACGCCTATAGTCTGGCTGCTCGGGAGCCTGAGGCAGTAGAATCGCTTGAACCCAGGAGGCGAAGGTTGCAGTGAGCTGAGATTGCGCCACTGCACTCCAGCCTGGGCGACAGAGGAGACGATCTCCAAAACAAAACAAAGAAATGCTGGTTCGGGAGGCACACAGCCCTAGACTTTTGGGCTATATCCTTGGCAGTGACTGTTGATCAGCTTCTGGTTGTTTCAAGGACACCTGTAAGACTGGAGACCCAGTTGAGCCAAGAGTGGGGCACATCAGGAAGACTAGGGGATGGAAAAGCACTGGTCCCCCTGGGCTGCTGGCTCTCTTCTTGCTCTGGAGTCCAAATGCAGAGGTTGGGAGCAGGAAGTAGTCAGGCAAGGAATGTGCAGCTGCTACCAGAGAGAAGCGTTGCTCACTTTGCCATTTTGCCAAAATACAGCCATTCACTGTGATAGCTTAAGAGTAGGTCTTGAGCCGGGTACAGTGGCTCACACCTGTAATCCCAGCACTTTGGGAGGCAGAAGCAGGTAGACTGCTTGAACTCAGAAGTTCAAGACCAACCTGGGCAACACGGCGAAACCCCATGTCTACCAAAAAAGATACAAAAATTAGCTGAGCATGGTGGCACATGCCGGTAGTCCCAGCTACTCAGGAGGCTTAAGTGGAAGTTAAGTTTGAGCCCAGGGAGGTGAAGGTTGCCATGAGTCAAGATCTTGCCACTGTACTCCAGCCTGAGTGACAGAGCCAGACCCTGTCTTGAAAAAAAAAAAAAAAAGAGTGGGTCTTCTCTATCTGAACAGGTTAAGTGTATGTGTGTGAGAGAGAGGGTGGAGGAGGAGAGGAGGAATGGGGAGACGAGGAGTTATTGTCTCCTCTTATTCTGTATAGAAAATATATCAGATGACGTTCTCCCCAGGAACCTCAGCTGAACTCTGGTGATGAAGGTATTAAGGGGATTAAGGTATTAAGGGGCAGCGTCAGGTCTTCCCACAGAACCTCCCTGCCCCCAGCTAGGCCCCAAGGACCCAAGAATCAGCCAAAAGAATGTAAGGAGATCTCATCCTGTTTGCAATCCCCTTTGTAACTTGCTCCTGGGGAAAACAAGACACAATGCTAGCTCCTTCCCAGGCCCCTGAGGCATGATCACTCGTGTTCCGTGTTCCGGGGAGAGCTTAAGAAATCACAGTGGCCAGAAGCCCAGCCTCTCTCTCTCCCAGGCAGGACCAATGGGGCAGTAACCATCTGGGGAGGGCGGTGGGGGAATGAAATGTCAGAGAACATTTCTCAATCTGACGGTGTGAGAAATACTTATGTATCTTAGAGTTTGGAAAGCCCTTTTTTCAGTTAATCCTTAAAACAACCTTGTGAGTTAGGCATTAGATAACATTTTGTCAAACAGTCATAGGTTTCGTTTTACCTAAATCCTTCAAACTTCAGTTTCATTTCCTCTGCAAAGTTAGAGGCTTGTCCTTGGTTAAATTCCATGACCACTCTGGGCAGAAATAATCCTTTTTATGCCGAATTTTACTTGGGCTCGATGTATCTGCCCTACACGAGCACAGAAACTCCCTGCCCTGCTGCAGGGCCCTCCTTGGCATCCTTCCTCACCGCCCCTCTGTCTCCTGCCGCCCCTCCAGTGATCTCAGCGTCTCATGGCAGCACTCATCAGCTCTGCCCTCTCTCCTCCCAGTTGTCCCAGGGCTGCTGCTCCCCTCTGGGATGACACCCTGATAGGCACCCACCTCCCTTCCAATGCCATCTCCTAGCCCATCTGACCCCACCAGGTGACAGCACATCTAGCTACCTCCCTGAGCCAACAGGGCATTCCTCCAAAGGCTGGTCAACCTTCCCTCGTCAGCCTTGGTGACTCACGTCACCTTTGTTTTCCTTTAGGCTCAGTGGAGCAAACAGATCCAGAAGGTGCAGGGAACCCTGTGGGTTGTTTATGAGCAGTCAGGGCCATTAGGAAAAGCTCCTTTGGCCTGTGGCCTACTTCAGACCCAGGGGCCCCCTCAGGACGGGCATTCTCCCAGTGTCTTCTGCATGGGGGTGCTGGAGTCCTGTTGGGCTAAATAGGCTTTGTAGATTGGCCCTGAAGCCTAGCCATGATATGACATTATTCCTGCAGGGGAAAAAACGTGCCCTAAGTTCCCACATATGTTCATCACAGCACTACTCACAATAGCAAAGACATGGAATCAACCCAATGCCCATCAATGGTAGACTGGATAAAGAAAATGTGGTACATATACACCATGGAATACCGTGCAGCCATAAACAGGAATGAGGTCATGTCCTTTGCAGGGACATAAATGGAGCTGGAAGCCATTATCTTCAGCAAACTAACGTAGGAACAAGAAAACCAAACATTGCATGTTCTCACTTACAAGTGGGAGCTGGACAATGAGAACACATGGACACAGGGAGGGGAACATACTTAGTGGGGCCTGTCAGTGGATGGTGGCGGTGGGGGAGTATTAGGGAAAAGAGCTAAAGCATGCTGGGATTAATACCTAGGTGATGGGTTGTTAGGTGCAGTAGACCACCATGACACACGTTTACCTACATAAAAACCTGCACATCTTGCATACGTACCCTGGAACTTAAAAAACAAACAAATTATTTTTTAAAAAAAGAAACAATAGAGAATTTTTTAAAAATGTGCCCTAAGTTCCAAACAACTGGCTTACAAAAGAGCCCTTGTCGTGTGGCCGCAGTGGCTTCCTCATTACCAATATCCCCAACTTCTGGGGGTTAGATCTTGAGACCCAAGGGTCTCTAAAACGGGTAGGATTCAGAGCAACAGTTTACTGACCCATCTTCTCTTGAACCTCCTTTGCCCCAAAGGTGAAGGGTGGAGGCAAGAGAGGGAACTGTTGGGCACTGATTATATTCCAGGTGTTAAATGCTTATGTTAAGTATTTCATTGATTCTCACAGCAGCCTGAAAGGTAAGTATTATTACCTCCATTTAGAGCAGAGGAAAATGAGTCTCAGAAATGAAGTAACTTGCCCAAGATTTGTTAGCCAGTCACTGCCCCCCACAGGTCTGCCCACCCCCAAAGCCATGCTTTTTCCTGCACATGCCTGGAGGGGGTGGGATGGGCATCATGCCGGGCCCTGAGCTTCCTGAGACCTCTTGTTTCAGGAGAGCCGGATCTATGCTGTGGCCACATCGGGCATGCGGCTCTCAGATATGTCTCCCAGAAGTAATACTGCATGCTGCGGTGAGTTCCAAGTGAGGCTTGGAGGCACCAAACACCCAAGGTGGGCAGGGTGGGCAAGCGGGGAGGAGAAGACTCCAAGCAACACCCAGGGCCAGGGTTGGCTGGCCTACCCTGTTCCCCTCCCCAGCAGGTGAAGTTCAGGTGAAATCACAGCAAGTCCCACCTAGGAGGGAAAGGGAAGTCGTACAGGTTCAGCCCATCACAGGAAAGTAGCCAGTCACAGAGCTGGAAGGGATCTGAGAGGGGGCCTCCAGCCCAGCCTCCCACCTGCACAGGCTTCGCTTCTGCAGTGCCAGGGCCGTGGGTGGGAGGAGCCACAAGTGTCCTGATTTACATGAACCCCACTCACTGGCTCCTCTCCAGCCAGCCACCAAATCTCCACAACGAGGGCTGTGGGGTGGTCCCATAGCCGTATGATTTGTAACTCACATCTGCAACAGTGGAACACTGTGCAAGCCTCATGGAGGAAAAAATGGTTAAAGGTAAGGCTTTTGGATTCTTTTGTGAGGGATCCTTTACCACATGGAGATCATGGTCCCCAAAGGGAGTCAAGGGGAGAAGATGAACAGGGCCCTGGCCCCCCTCTTGAGATCTGTCACTGGCCTGCTCCTGGAGGGAATGCCATCTGCCCAGTTCTCTGCTTCCCCCACACCCCTTCCTGGGTTATGCCCTTGAGTAATCTCATTCCTCTCTTCCCTGCTCAGCTTCAAGCCCTCCTGCCCTTGTTTCCCCTGGGTCTTTCTCTGGCCTGGTCTACAAGAATGTCACTGTGCCTGTCTACACAGCACTGAAGGGGGTAAGAAACTGCTGCACAAAGAGGGGGTGTCTCATCAGGAAAGGCCCCTGGCCTCATCATCCAATGACTGGGGCGGGGCTCTAGGGCCAGGCTTCTGCACATGGTGACCCTGCCCAGGGAGCTGAGCCCAGCACGTGTCATTTTGTTTTATTGTTTATTAGGTTATTATAAAAATTCCACATTTACAAAAATGTGAATCAGTATGAACGTGGACAAGGTAAGAAGGTTAAGCCTATGCCCGCTTTACAGCTCTCCCCACCTTTTCTCATGTCTGCCTCACTCCTCAGGTCCCAGAGGGCAGTGGGGCTCCTTCTAGAATTACTGAGGTATATTCCAACTTATATTCCCGTAACGTCACTACATTTTAAAAACAAAAATCAGATAGAATTGCAATATTTTCATACACATTTTTGTCTCTGTTACTGGTTTTTGAATAATAGTAATACTTGATAAAATTTTTTATAGAAGAATAAAAAACCAAAAGTGAAATTTCCTCTCACGTCGCTTTTCCCTAATTCCTAAGCCCAGAGGAAGCTATCATGAATGGTTTAGTGTTTATTCAGTAAGGCCTTCCGATGCATTTATAAATATGCAGCACACTCTCACTGTCTCCTGTGTGCACACAAAAGGTGCTCATATACATGTCATTCTATGCCTTGCTTGTTCCCCTAACCACGTGAATAACCACGTGTCAGGTCATCCTTCCCTACCTCCTCCTTTTTATTTTTCCGAGACAGAGTCTGGCTCTGTTGCCAGGCTGGAGTGCAGTGGTGCAACCTTGGCTCACTGCAACTTCCACCTCCTGGGTTCAAGCGATTCTCCTGCCTCAGCCTCCTGAATAGCTGGAACTACAGGCGCGCACCACCATGCCCAGCTAATTTTTGTATTTTTAGTAGAGACGGGGTTTCACCATGTTGGCCAGGATGGTCTTGATCTCTTGACCTTGTGATCCGCCTGCCTCAGCCTCCCAAAGTGCTAGGATTACAGGCATGAGCCACCATGCCTGGCCCCTACCTCCTCCTTCTATAGGTGTCCAGTACCCTTGGTATCGAAGCACCATAACTATTAATACCTAAAGCTTTCCTCCAATAATAATTTAGTCTGTGTCCCTGTTTTTCTCTAAAATGAATGTTGCCATGAACATCACTGTGCACATATATCTTTGGGAACTTATATCTACATGTGTCTGTAGGACAGAGTTCTAGAGGTGGGATTTCTGGGCAAATTATATACATGTTTTAATTTTTGACAGGTACTGCCAAATTACCTTCTAAAAATGCCTTACACACTAGAGTTTTTTCCCCCATCTTCTCCCCATACTCTCACCAACACTGAGATAGTCAGTCACTTTAAATGTTTGCCAATGGAGATGCAATCATTGATTGTTGCGACGTCCCCACACATTTTTAAAGCTCGCATGGCACACTTAGTCTGTGGTGTAGCTTTCTGGCCCCCTAGTGGCAAGGAGCGAGGGTCACAGTGGGCAGGCATTCAGTCGTGATGGGCAGCTGCTTTGGGGACCACAGAAGATGGTGTGTGGGAAGGGAGGCCTGAGAAGCATGGAGGTCATGACACAGGAGTGAGGCCAGGAGGGACCTTACACTGGACAGTTGTCTGTTCAGAGTCCCGGCTGGGGGTTGGCCACACCATGGGCACTTGGACCAGGAGTGCAAGCTGCAGGGTTGGGAGAGGACTGTTTTGCAGCCTGAGCTGCAGTGAGGGAGGGGCCTGTCTTGCAGAGAGCTACACAGATCAGCAACATGCCCTTTATGGACGAGTCCTCTGGGTCTGACGATGACTGCAGCTCTCAGGCGAGTTTCCGAATCTCGGTCCCCTCCTCTGAGTCCAGGAAGACCAGCGGACTAGGCAGCCCCCGGGCCATCAAGAGAGGTACAGAGAAGGGGAGCAGGGGCAGGGTGCAGCAGCAAGGAGCCCCTCACCTCTTCCCATGGGCACTTGAACATGGGCGTCCCCACTTGATCTGAGCTCGTGACCCCCCAGCAGCTCCACCCCCAGCCCCAGAGACCGGGTCCCGGGTGGGTGGTCAAGTCTCAGCAGCTCCTGGGCTGCGTGAGTCGGGGAGGTGTGGGACCCGGGCCTTGACTCCTCCTCCCTCGGCAAGGCGTCTCCATGTCCTCACTGAGCTCCGAGGGTGACTACGCCATCCCCCCGGACGCCTGCTCACTGGACAGTGACTACTCAGAGCCTGAGCACAAACTGCAGCGCACCTCATCCTACTCCACCGACGGGCTGGGCCTGGGCGGGGTGAGCCGGGAAACGGGCGGGGGCAGGGTGGAAGCAGAATGCAGCAGAGGCTGCTGGGGCCCTCAGCACAAGACATAGGCAGTAGCTGCCTGAAGTGAGGGGTCCCTAGAGCTGGGGGATGGGGGCAGGGGGCGTGGGCTGGGGGGGTGTACAGTTATGGAGTCAGACACACAGACCCCACAAGGAAGGAAGGAGGGAGCCCAGAGAGCTCCTGGAATACCAGCAATGGCCAGTTACTGAGAGCCTACTGTGGCCCACCAGGCCCCATGAAGAGTTTTCCATATATGACTTTGTTTTATCACCTGGAATACTAACGCAAGCTAACATTTATTGAACTCTTGGCACCAGGCACTGTGCTCAGTTTCCAGGCATTGTCTCATTTGTCCTCACAATCCTCTTGGGGTCATTAGCCCATCTTATGGATGAGAAGCCTGAGGCTCCAAGCTGTGCCACTACATGCCAGGGCTAGCATCCACTCCCGATGTAATTCCGCATCCCTCGCCCCACACCTCTCTGCTGCCCCATCATCTCCCTGGCTCCATGACCCTCCAGTCCTGCCTGGCTGATGTGTCCAGGTTGCCCAGACCTGCCTTGCCCTCTCCCTGCTCTGTGCTGCCTGGAATGGTCTTCTTCCTCCTCTCAGTCTTTGAGGGAGAGGCTGAACTATCCTAACAAGGCCAGCTCAGGGCCGGCTCTCTCCTGACGCTCTCCCTGGCCAGGCTCTCCCTCTAGCAGCCCCTGCTCTGCTACCTTCTCATAGTGAGGTCTTCCCCAGCTAGCATGGGAGCCCTTCCTTGGCAGGACCACCCATGTTTTATTTAGTCCTCTCTGAACCATAGCAGGGCATGGTACTCTGAAAATACACTGAGTAGGTACTCAATAATTTTGTATTTAATTGATGACCGAGTAGTGAGGCAGCTGGACCACTTGGACCTGTGTGATGTCTAGGAGCCCTGAGTGATTTCCCCTTTCTTCATCTACACCCTTCCACCCCTCAGGAGTCACTGGAGAAGTCGGGCTACCTGCTGAAAATGGGGAGCCAGGTGAAGACGTGGAAGAGGCGCTGGTTTGTCCTGAGACAGGGACAGATTATGTACTACAAGTCCCCGGTGAGAGTCTCCCCGCCCAGCACTGCAGTCAAAAGGTCTCCACATCACACCCTGGACTATGTCAGATGGGACGGAGGAGGGGGAATGTGGCCCAAGGCCAGAGGGCAAAGGTCTGGCAGGTGGGGAGAGGCAACCTCACTGGGCCCCTGAGGCTTTGAGCCACACTTGGGGACCTAAGCCTGGCCGTGAGTTTCAGAATGAAATAGGGAGGTTCTCAGAAGGACCCATGTTCCTGATTAAGGTTCCATTTAGCTATAACCAGAATCTAGAATAAGTCACCCATCATAACACAGCCAGAATGCTGGGAATCATGTTTCCCTTTGCTTATGACGTGGAGGAAGATCTGAGGGTAAATGAGGTGCTCCGGAAAGGCTCCACATTCAGTGGCTCTCCTCTCCAATACTTTCTTTACAGAGTGATGTCATCCGGAAACCTCAAGGCCAAGTGGATCTGAACTCCCGCTGCCAAATTGTTCGAGGGGAGGGTTCACAGACGTTTCAGGTGAGCACGCTCCTGGCTGCTAGTATTTTAAACAGAAGAGGTGCTGGGTTTGGATATGGCCGTGAGTGAGACAAAGATGGGGCCAAATGAGCATGAATGAAAGACTTCAGATCAACATTTGGACGTGATCCTAACTTGTGAGTACAAGAAAGGAAGATGAGACAGAATATGAGAGATGGAGTGAAGGAAGGAGAGACAGGGAGGAAAAGATGAGGAGGAAAAGAAAGGAGGGAGCACTAGGGCAGGCAGAAGGCCAGCCCCTTGGGTTCAGGGACAGGTGCCACCTCGGAGCCAGGTCCTGGTTACTCCATTCTCCCAGCGTGCTGCCCCACCCCCATATCTCGCCCTCCACAGCTCATCTCTGAGAAGAAAACCTACTACCTGACGGCCGATTCACCCAGCCTGCTGGAGGAGTGGATCCGAGTACTCCAGAGCCTGCTGAAGGTGCAGGCCACCGGGCCTCCAGCTCTGCTTCGGGGTGGCACCAAGCCCACCGTGAAGGGCTGGCTGACCAAGGTAGAGGGTGGGGCTGATAGGGCAGGAACATGTGCCTCCTGCGAATCAGGGGAGCCAGGATTGGGGTGCCGAGGGTGGTGGGTTCCCCCTTATACGGGGCTCCTTTCTCTGGGAGCCTCCTCACAGTGACTCGCTGGCCAGCCCTCAAACGTGGTCTGGCCACACAAGGTGATGGCGAGTGATTCCCCGGAAACAAATCAGGGTTGTTGGAACAACTATTCTCAAGAAAGAGAAGGGAAGGGACTATCTTGTATCCATTTTGAGGTCATTAGGGGCTGTCACCCACCCCCACCTTATACCTGCCTCAGTGTTAATAGTGGGAGGAAGAGGCCTGGGCGAGGTAGGTATGGCTCCTCAAAGACTTAAAGTATCCCAGGCCTGCCCTAAAGACATTTTTGTTAGGGCTCTTCTGGTTGAACAGAGCAGAGAAGCAGTTGTTAAACCCAAGAAAATGGAAGTTAACAAGGAAGTACATTAGCTAGACCAGAACACCAGCAGGAACCAAAGCGACTTGCACTCAGCAAGCTCAGGGCTGGCAGGCTCGCTGTGTGGCTCTGCTTCTCGTTCAATCTGTTTATGTCATTCTCCTTCGCCCGTGTGCAGCTTCTGTTCCTTCATGATGCATGGTTGCCCAAGGGCTTCAGCCTGCTGTTTTCCCTCCCTCCCTCCCGGCACCCTGACAACTGTGGCTTCTGCCACCTAGCAAGTTCTTCCTATTTTCATATGCCTGGAGGGGACATCTGATTGGCCTGGCTAATCGTTTCATGGCAGGTCATAGGTCACTGAATAGCCCATGATGGCTGGGGTGCCACAGGGTGTCATGGCACCCTCACTGTGAAAGGGGTGGTTCCATTAGTAGGGAGCCCAAATGGCATCTCCATCTCTACCATAGGTCAAATCTGTCTCCCTGTGGCTTCTATTTGCCAGTCCTGGATTTACTTCTAGAGTTACCTAGTTCTCATAATGCCAGTTCATTTCTGTCTTACAGGTAAAGCATGGCCACTCCAAGGTGGTCTGGTGCGCTCTTGTTGGGAAAATCTTCTACTACTATCGGAGCCATGAGGACAAGGTACTTCTCAGCCTCCTCACAATACCCACTCTCCTGCTTCCCCCGAAGCACATGACTGCCACTCTATGTCCTGATGAAAGTCCCTACCCCACGTAACCCCACAATAAATACAAAATCAGTTGGCTGGATCCCTCCAGAGTGTGAGATTCTGCCTGTCTGGGTCTCTGGTGCTTCTCCAAGCAAGCCTCATTCTGCTGCCAGCCTGGCTGGGATGCTATAGTCTCCACCTCCCCATCCTGTCATCGGTCCATATCCACGATTCCCAGCTTCACGGAGCCTATGTATTCAGAGAGAGGAGACTCCCTCATCCCCCACTGGCTCTCCCATTCATGGAAGACTGCTGTCCACAGCGACCCCTGGGCTGCCTGCCTGTGCGGGATGCGCACATAGAGGAAGTAGATCGATCCTGTGACTCAGACGAGGACTATGAGGCTGGAGGAACCAGACGGTTGCTTTCCTCCCACTGCACCCTGGTGATCCACCCCACAGAGCACAGCCCCACCTACCTCCTCATTGGCACCAAGCATGAAAAGGTAAGGAAGAGGGCTGGGCCTCCAGGGCCAAGCTTGGACCTGTGATTCTGATCTTCCCTTCTCTCTTTCTCCTGAGCTTCCCAAAATTCAAATTTATTTCCTTTTGGACACTTTGGCAACTAATATTCTCTGAATGGGAATATTCCTTTATACTGAATTTATTCCCAGTGACCAACATTGCTTCACTGAGGTCATGTAATAGAATCGCAAATTTGGAAAGTTGGGTTCATGTTCACCTGATCCTCAGTCTTTCCAGGTAGCCCTGACTCATGCCAACCAAACTAGCTGAACCCCACATGGGCTTGGTCCCTTCAAGGAGTCCTCCTTGGAGCTCTTGCCTCCACTCTTCCCACCCCGTCCCCATCCGATGGCTTTCCGCCCTCTTCCAGGATACGTGGCTCTACCACCTCACAGTGGCTGCAGGTGGCAGCAGTGCCAAGGTGGGCACTGCCTATGAGCAGCTCATTGGAAAACTGATGGATGGTGAAGGAGATCCAGGTAAGGCAAGGGTGGCCACCACTGCTTGGGTTGGAGGGTAGTGGCTTGGTGACTATTGGTCAAGATCCCAAAGAAAGCAGTGTTGTACCCTGAAGCTGTTTTTAAAACATCTAAGCCACAGAGGGGAAGTTCCCATCCAAGCTCCAGGGCCCCTCTGTCTCCGGCTGAGATACTAAGGTGACCACTCTGCATCTGGGGGAGTTTATCTGGGAAGCAGGCTTTCCAGGGACCTGGGTAAATGTTTTACTTGGATCAAGCTGCCCCGTTGCTGGCTGGGCAGAGGGCTGAGGAAAGAAGGTAGCTGGTTAATCTATAGTTAGAGTTTGTAAATCAACAAGTGAAGCCTAAATTGGGATCGGACTAACCTGTTTGGAGTCTTTCTTTTGCTACTGATTATCAGGGCCCTGAGGAACTAATTAATGGCATATACCACACACACCCCTTTACTACTGCTCTGAGGCTTGTTTGTTTCTGACCAATTCATATGCCCCTCCATCCAGACTTGACACAGTAAGAAAGAGGCCTCCCCTGCACACATCCACCTGCACTCAGACACCCACAACCTTGCACACTCACCCCTACTGCCATTCCACGAGAAAGGCCATGCTTATATGAGGGTGCTCATTGCAGTGCCCACCTGTACACCCCACACTCTATGGATGATAAACCCAGCACAACCCAAGTGTTGACGGAAGATAAACCACTATCTTCCCCATAAATTAAAGATGGCGGTGAGTGGGAGATGAGTCCCCTCTCAGTAGTAACTGCCCTTGCTCTCTGGTTCCGTGCTTTGGGCAGATTCGCCGCTCTGGAGGCACCCCATGCTGTGCTACAGCAAAGACGGCCTATACGCCTCCCTCACCACCCTGCCCTCTGAGGCCTTGCAGACGGAGGCCCTCAAGCTCTTCAAGGTAAATTGGGGTGGCGGCCAGGCCCACCGCTGGGATACTTGCAATACTTGGGTGGAGAAGGCCTGTGCAGTTGGGGACAACCCACAGAGGGATCTGGAGAGGAAGGGAAGGAAACTTCCCAGGGTCCCTATCACTTCCTGGATGGCAGGAATGTAATCCTGTCACTGGGAGGGAAGCAGCTCTGGAACGTCATGCACAAGTCCTTGGGAAATGCCAATGAAAACTCTCCCTGGAGGAGCTCCCCTCCTCCTGTAGTTAAGCAGAAAAGGCGAGGTTTATGTTGCTTCTGGACTGAGAGATTCGGACCTATTTTAGCATGTCCTTTGTGAATGTTTGAGTTTTCTGTTTTTGTTTTTGTTTTTTTTAAGGAATTTGTCTTGTTTATGTAATGTAATGAGAACATTTTAAAAAGGAAACTTCTATCCCAAAGTAGCCCATAGCCCCTTTTAGTAAGCAGAGATGCCCTCCAACAGTAGCAGTGCTCCCTCTTAGAAAGGGCTGTCAGTAAACTCTAACCTCCCTGGAGCCCTTGGAAAATGGCCAAGCCGTTGAGTTCTCTGAACCCAGGGGATGCTGGTCTGCCTGTGCTCACTGCTGTTCCCTCCCAGTCCTGCCAGCTCTTCATCAACGTGCCGGTGGAAGCTGCCTCGGTGGACTACCATGTGTCCCTGGCCCAGACCGCACTGCAGGTCTGCCTGGTTCACCCCGAGCTGCAGAGTGAGATCTACTGCCAACTCATGAAGCAGACCAGCTGCCGCCCACCTCAGAAGTACTCCCTCATGCAGGTAGGCATGCCAGGGGTGGAGCAGCTGACAGAAGCCATTGGCAAGGGCTGCCAGGTGGGAAAGGTGGGAGGAGGTGACTGGGCAGGTATACGGTGAGCCCAGCCAGCGGGCAGCCTCTGTGCTCCAAGCTGCATCAGTACGGCTGAGCTGTCTATGCACAGATGGGTGATTGCATTCTGGACACAGCCTGACCAAGTTGGCCATCCCAGCACCCAGAGCAAGTTGGGGGCTCTGGTTTGGGGAAAGAGTGCTGAAGGCTCTGTAGCTCAGGGCTATGAGGACAGGTGGTGCTGTAGGCCCAGCACTCACCCCACGCTGTCTGTGTCCCTGGCAGTGCTGGCAGCTCCTCGCTCTGTGTGCTCCACTTTTCCTGCCTCAGCATCACTTCCTCTGGTATGTCAAGCAGCAGCTCCAACGCCATGCAGATCCCAGGTGAGTGAACCTGGCCGTTTCCTCTGCCACTTGAGCACTGCCAACTGCCGCATGAATAAGAGGGATGAGAGGAGTCTAGGGCAGACCAGATCACTCCTGTCCTCTGAAACCGCTCAGTGGTCGTGGAGACTTCACCCATTGCCGTGTGCACAAATGGGCACGTGTGGATCTGGGCATGCTTAAGCTTCTCTGCACGCCAATCCATGTATCCACGGATGTACTGTGGCAACTCTCACATGAAGCCACACTGCTCCCAAACTGTCCCCAAGTGCTATTCTGTTGTTATGTCCTCTGGGTTCTAGAAGAAAATATCCATGCCAGCAACCTGCTATATAAAGGTCCTGAATGACAAATTAATGTCCCAGACCAGAGTCTTCAGGGCTTTTCTCACAACCTGCCCCAGCTACAGTTTTGGTCCTGGCTGAGTCTAGATAGGGATCCGGGGTGCCAAAGTGGCAGAGATGAGCAGAGCCCATAATACTCCCCTCTTCCGTCTTTTTAGAAGTGAAACTGGCCAGTATGCCACCTACTGCCAGCGGGCAGTGGAGCGGACCCTGCGGACCGGGGAGCGGGAAGCCAGGCCATCGCGCATGGAAGTGGTGTCCATCCTGCTGCGTAACCCCTTCCACCACTCCTTGCCCTTCAGCATCCCCGTGCACTTTACCAACGGGACTTACCATGTGAGGAGCTGGGCGTGCTCTTTGCCCCGAGTCTTCTCACGTCACCATCCAGAGAATACCCCTGGGCCTTAGGCTCAGGCTTGGCAGATTGTTCACTGTTGCCCCAGAAGTAGATATTATGAACTCACTGCATGAACAGGGAAGCTGAGATGCTGACCAAGAAATAAGAAAGGGCCTCCAAAAGATTGTTGGTAAAGGAGGGACCCAGGTATGCCCAGTTCATTTACAGTGGATAAGCTCACATCCCTCATGCACTGGCCCTTTGCCTGTGAACACAGAAACCAACTTGCTTTGGCCTTTTGTATTTGCCCTTGCTCCTTTCCACCTGCTGTATCCAGACACCTCCACCAGCCCTAGTGAGCTCCTCTCAGGAGGTTCACTCAGGGTTGGAACTCTTCTCCCGCCTCAGGTGGTTGGTTTTGACGGCTCTTCCACGGTTGATGAGTTCCTCCAGCGGCTGAACCAGGAGATAGGCATGAGAAAGCCATCCCACTCTGGCTTTGCCCTCTTCACGGACGATCCCTCGGGCAGGGACCTGGAGCACTGCCTGCAGGGAAGTGTCAAGGTGACAGCCTCCCACTAAGCCAGCTGAGCCCCTCCCTGCTCAGGGATATTGGTGGTGGGGAAAGAGCCCATCTGATGGGTGTCTGACTGTTTGGTAGCTCATTTGGTGCTGAGCCCAAGGTGCTGCCCTAGTCAGCATTTCTGTGCCATCCTAAAATGTACCTGGGCAGGGAGAAAAAAGCTGTTGTGTGCCCTTGTCTCTGGAGACAAGATCGCTACACACCTACTTCCCTCGAGTGGCTGTGCAGCGTCCAGAAGAAAAGCCTCTTCTTGGCTTGGTGTAGGGACAGTGAGGCCCCACGAAGCCACTGCCTACACGTGCCCACTCAGAGGCTCACAGCTGTGTGCTTGGACCCCCTGGATGTCAGGTGGTACCCAGCACCTCACTTTTACCCTTTCTTTCAGGGCCTATGCCATGCTTATAGGTTGAACCACACTTTTAAAGAGGCAGGTCCTTATGGTGCTCCTATAAGTAAAGGCCGTTGGATGGGATTTAAGATCAATCTTGTATTGTGGTCTGGGATTACTGTCCTGGGGGATAAGTGTTTGTAAGAATGTGCTCTAGCACTTTGATGCATATTTGGCTCCAGTGTTTGCTTGTCTTTAACAGGACAAAGGCTTCTATGGTCTTTTAACATTGCCTGGAAAAACTATGCCACATACCTTCTTTGCCAATGTCTGGGCATCTGTGAGGCTTTGTTACATGGTAGCCCTCTGGGCATATTTGTTGAAGAGGAGAATAGCAGTCAGTGGAATGGAAATGGAGCTGGTGTTCGAAGGCCATGGGGCTGCCTAGCCTCTGGGGAGGCCCCTCAGCTGGTGACACCAGCAGGGCAGATTTCTTGCTTTATTGCTCACCCTGTCCAGGGTTCCCTCTGTTTGTGAGGGAGCTGCTGCCACCTTGGGTCCAGGAAGCATGAAGCTCCGCAGGTCAGCCTCCTGGTGGGAGGACTTTTCCTTAGTTTTCTTTGCTCTTCTGCTCTGAGTCCAGCCCTGGCTGGACCTTGATCCCTTCTCTCCTTATCAGGAAATTTTCTGACTTTCTTCTTTTGCCTTTTCAAGATCTGTGATGCCATCTCCAAGTGGGAACAAGCCATGAAGGAGCTGCACCCCGGAAAGTCTGAGGGTGGGACACGCGTCGTGAAGCTGATGTACAAGAACAGGTCCTAAGCACTGCACGAGGGTGGGGCCAAACACAAGGGCTGCCACTGGGTGCCAGCTCATCGCCTCCTCGACTAGACAGCCTATCCAGACGGGGGGAGGGACCCACAGATATAACACTGCCTGGCAGTCACTAGCTGGGGTGCAGGCGGGCTCTGCTGCTGATACTCTGTGAAACCCTGGGCAGCTCAGGCCTTCTGTCAGCCTTCCCTATACTGCGTGTGCGTGTGTGTATATGCACACACACACACACACACACACACAAACATCTGCCAAGAAAACAGACCAGACCACCCTGGGCAACATGGCAAAACCCCACCTCTACAAAAAATGCAAAAATTAGCTGGGCATGGTGGCATGTACCTGTAGTCCCAGCTACTCAGGGGGGCTGAGGTGGGAGGATCACTTAAACCTGGGAGGTTGAGGCTGCAGTGAGCTGAGATCACGCCACTGCACTCCAGCCTGGGCAACAGAGTGAGACCCTGCCTCAAAAAAAAGAAAAGAATAGAAAATAGACCAACCTCATGGGATGGCTAAGTGTGTTACTTTATGAGAGTGAAATTTTGTATAAGCACCAGCTAGTTATAGCTAAAGACTAAGTACTTCCTATACCAATTCCAGGAAATACAGAAGTAGACATCCTGACTTTCTATCAATTTGAGTAAGAAAATCCCATCCCTCCATCTCAGTATGTCTCCAGGCAAATAGTTTCCAGTAGTCTCTTGGACTCTTACCTCATCCAGTCCCCTAATCTATAACTCCAGGTACCAGATTTCCCTTACTAAATCCAGTAAGCTTAATGGTATCTTCAGAATGAACCATGCCCTCCTGTTGGTATGAGATCAGCATGACCCTGCATCTGCTCTGTGTCATACTCGGTTATATGTTTCTGGAGGCAATACAAAATAGGCTCATAAATAGTGGGAAAAGAGTACTTTATCTTTTTGGAAATAAAGGTAACAGACCCAGAGAAAGCCCCATCCCTGTTTGGAATCCCTGCTGAGTCCTGGTTTCTTATTCTCTTCTTTGTAGGCTGTACTTTCGCAGTCAAGTCAAAGGGGAGACGGACCGAGAACGGCTGCTCCTTGCCTCTCAAACCAGTAGAGAGATAGTGGCAGGGAGGTTTCCTATCAACAAGGAATTGGCTCTTGAGATGGCTGCCCTGATGGCCCAGGTAAGGTTCTGTTCAGGAAGCAGGAGGGTCGGGTTGCCAGCTTAGAATGAATGCACCATGCAGCCTGAAACACAGGAGAGATTCTGCAGATCCTGTGGTGCTCAGGAGAGGGCAGCTTTGCCATCTCTGGGATGGAAAGCAGCTGACTTCTACAGATCAGAGCTCCTCACTCACCGCAGATATAGGATGCGTGCAGATGGCTGGACTTGGAATCCAGAGACCTGGGTTTGAGTCCTATATACCTTCCAACTATGAGGTCTTAGCCAAGTCACTTCACTTCTCTATGCTTTAGTTTCCTTCTCAGTATACCAAAATAAAAAATACTTGGCCGGGAGCAGTGGCTCATGCCTGTAATGTCAGCACTTTGCGAGGCCGAGGCGGGCAGATCACCTGAGGCCAGGAGTTCGTGACCAGCCTGACCAGTGAAACCCTGTCTCTACTGAAAAAAAATAAAATAAAATAAAATAAAAATAAAAATTAGCTGGGTGTGGTGGTGGGCGCCTGTAATCCCAGCTACTCGGCAGGCTGAGGCAGGAGAATCACTTGTACCTGGGAGGCAGAGGTTGCAGTGAGCCAAGATCATGCCATTGCACTACAGCCTAGGCGACAACAGCAAAACTCTGTCTCAAAACAAAACAAAACAAACAAACAAACAAAAACCTCTGCCAGCCTCCACAGGGTTGTACTAAGTATGATACCTGGATAATTGTATCATGTAATGTATGTGGTAAACTTCATAAACCATCAGACCTTCTAAGTAGACTTAGGAAGAGGAACACACATTCAGACTTGGACTCTCCTTCCCATTATATTTAGAAGGCCATCTTGCCAAAGGTATCTGGGATACCTTCATGACTCCCATAAGAGAGTCTGACACCTACTATATACCCACAAAAATTAAAAATTAAAAATTTTTAAAAAAGAATAAGAATCTGGATTTACATGCTGGAAAGGAAGAGGAAACAGTAATAGTTGATCTTTATAAATATCAATAGGAATACTCTCTAGGAGGCCCTGTACTAAGCATATATGCATCCTCCATTGTAGTTTTTATTCCCACCTAATAGATGAGGAAATTGAAGCTCAGAGAGTTTAAGTAACTTGATCAGGGACACAAAGCTGGGATTTGCGCCAGGTGTCCAACTCCAAAGGCCACATTTGGAACACTCTGCTGTACTCTAGGATCTGTAGCATCTTCAATTCTATAGCCCATATTTTTGGACTGGAAGCCAGAATTTCCACATTGTTTTCCCTTGTCGGCTACCAATTAACTGTGTCTTTGGAAAAGGCACTTCACCTCAGCTGCAAAATCAAAGTTGGTCGGTGATCTCTAATATTCGAGGGCCCTAAGTTTGTTTCTCTAGTGTCTATAAAACTTGAGATGAAGCGTTTTTCTAAAGTATTTTTCACAACCACTCGCACCCCACCAATAGGGTAATAAAGAAATGGTTTATTTCACCTCTCAACAGCCCCCACCTGGCCCATCCACTGTCAGATTTTGACTGGTCTCTTCATATGCTTCTACCACAGGTAGAATATGGGGACTTGGAGAAGCCTGCCCTGCCAGGCCCTGGAGGCACATCCCCTGCCAAGGCTCAGCATCTTCTCCAGCAGGTCCTAGACAGGTTCCACCCCAGGCGCTATAGACATGGGGCCCCCGCTGAACAGCTGAGGTAGGTAGGCTACAAGGTCTTGCAGCAAGTCACTGTGGGGAGGTCTCAGGCCTGGAATGAAGACACGTCGGCACTTCATTGGCACTATTTCTCTCCATCTGCCCACACCAGGCACCTGGCAGATATGTTGACCACAAAATGGGCAACATTGCAAGGATGCTCCCCTCCTGAGTGCATCCGCATCTACCTGACCGTGGCCAGGAAATGGCCTTTCTTTGGTGCTAAACTTTTTGCTGCTCAGGTAAGTGCCAGTGGAAGGAGCTGCCCACACCCTTAGGTGTGTCCCCAACTGCTCATGTTTGAGCCATACCAATTTGCAGCCCCTACCTCCATACCAGTAACCACCAGAGGTCACTATCCCTCCACTGTTTCTGGCCTAGTCCAGCTTTCCACAGTCCAGAGCAGAATTGTGATTGCTTATCTTCATTTGTCCTTTGTTGACTGCCCCAAAAGAAAAGATGTGATCAACTAATTCACACACACAAAGATTCAGACTTGAAATAACAGCCCTCTCAAGAGTGCTTTCATTTTTTTTAAAGTTTGAAAGAACAATGTATAACCTAAACAAATACATCTCCACTGGTTTGACATGGCATACAGGGGAATCAAATTACTTAGCCAACAGTTAATTTCACCTCTGTATGAAGGCCAGGTGGCCAACAGTAATTTCAGAAGGAACTTTTCTTCACTGGGTGTCTGTTGTGCATAAACTTTATAGATAATTACAGCTCAAAGCTGGGCAGTGATCCTGTTTACTGAAGCCACAGATCGGAAAATGGCCATTCATTCATTCAACAAATAGTTGAGCTCCTACTATGTCCAGTGCTGGTTGTTTGAGGTTATAAGAAGTGAGAAAATCAGACACAGTCCTTGCCTTCCTGGAGCTTCCCATCTAGTGCAGGAGATGTATATTCATCAAATAATCGTATTCATTTTTTTCTCTATGTATTTAATATATATTTATAAGCCATCACAAATGCTATGAAGATGTACAGAGGTGTTATAAAGGCATATAACAGGGACCCACTTGGTCTGGGAGCTTAGGAAAAGCTTCTGAAAAAGGTGGCATGTCCAATGTCTATCTGCCTCCCTTTGGGTTAAGAGAGAGATTTTCTGGATTACCATACTGTAGTCCTGGCAGTGAAAATTAGTCATTACAGGAATGTCCACTAAATAGTCACTTTCTTACTGATAGGGCCTAAAGCCACAGGACTGCATTCTTGCTTTCCTATTTCTTTTACAGCACCTAGGAGATTGGCTGAAGTCAGAAGCACTTCGGCTTGGAGACTATAGGTGGAATGCCGTGTTTCCAAGACTAGGAGAAAACCAGCTGTTCCCCATTCCCCTAACAGAGCAGCTAGGGCTGGCCTCTATTCTGTAGCACAGAGCTTTCCATCCAGTGTGCTGTGGCAGCATGGGTTCTAGGGACATCAAAAGAATGATCGCCTCTGCCTTTGAGATGGTTAGTAGGTGGCCAGAGCCCCAAGGCCAAGGGTCTCCTGTCACAAGCAGCCTTGTCTATTTCCTGCATACACTGTACAAATATCATCTTTGTTTTCCAAGATGAGGTGGCTGGAAATCACTGCTTAGCAGATCCCTGGATGTGCCTTCTTTCTCAGAAAGTTATTATAGTTCAAAATCTCTAACTATGGATATATCTGATGGGTTGTTTCTGTTTCCCCAGCCTGCCCAGCTGTCTTCCAAGGAGAACGCTCTGGTGTGGATTGCTGTGAATGAGGATGGCGTCAGCATCCTGGACCACAACACTATGGTATGAAAGGATGCAGGCTGCTCCCTGACCCCTCCTCTTCCTCAACATGGTCTTTTCTTCTCCTCTGTGGACTCAAAAGCCTGAACCAAGTGACCATGGCTGCCCTACCCCCACTCCTGCCCAAGCACCAGTCCTCTAGTCTAGACACTGCTTGTAGATATTCAAGATGGAGATCTCCAAATTATGACCACTTGGGAGTTCTCCTTTCCTGTGCCTAGAAGAGACAGGGGATGCTGGTTCCTAGCTCAGGGGACAGGTGGAAAGTTTCCCCACAACTGACTGGTTCCTTTCCACAGCAAGTGCACATCACTTACCCCTACTCTTCAGTGACAACGTTTGGTGGCTGCAGGGATGACTTCATGCTTGTGATTAGATCTATCCCAGACAAGAGCTCTGGAAAAAGCCACATTGAGAAGTTGATCTTCCGGATGGCTGCTCCCAAGGTAGGTCTGACAGCTGTTAAAACGTTCTACTCTGGCAAGATGTGGTGGGCTTGGAGCTTAGAAAGGAAACTGGGGTTATGCTAGTGCTCTGCAAGGGCCCTGCCCAGATAAAATTGTTGGTCTTGTCTGTAATTAGTATTCCAAAGGTTCAGGTGGTGTTGCATCTCCGTATCAATGTTCAGCTAGTAGGTAAAGGGACATATTTGGAGGGAACTAACTCTGGCCTAGCTACTATTATGCTCTTCACTTTTTCTTTTTTATTCTCTCAAGCCCCAGCATCATGCAGTCCTCAGTTGGGTGCTTACGTGCTCTTCTCTTCCTTGCAGCAGTCCTCAAGGCAGGGCAGATTCCTCTTTAAGGTGCTCGCATGTTACCCCTGGGTTCTGCTGACCCAACATTAGCTACAAAGTGGGACAGTCCCACAGTGCTCCCTCTTCCTTGTTGTGGGGAAGACCGCAAAAAGACCTCTTTTGCTTTAGTGACTTTGTTCCTACTCAATACAGGAAGTGTTGACCAGCAAAAATAATAATTACAAAGGCTAAGTTCTGATTTATTGTTCCTGACTCCCGTGTGATTAACTGGAAACCCTGTTGTTCTCCTTTTTAATCCTAAAGTTAGAGTTTGCCAAACCTACTCCTCCTTTAATACCACCCCTGCTAAAGGGGAGGATCTCCAGATCCCTTTCTTAAGAAGGCCCCTTCCCTGGTTGTAGAGCTAACCAGAGCAGAACACTGGGCCTCCTTTTCTCAGAAGGGCACTGTGCATCTGAGAGGATCTCCAGACCAACAGGAGCCCACACCACTGGGCCTCTGAACAGCACAGTTATGATTCCCTTTGGATATTTTCTCCCAGGTGGGTATTTTAAGAGATTAAATAAACTGAGGCCCAGGAACTCAGCATAAGAGCTAATAAGTAAGAAAGCCAGGATTCAAGCCAAGGCTAGTTCAATTCCTTCACATCTCTGACCTCCTCTTAGATTGCAGAAGCTACCTTCATCATGGCCAGCTATATGAACCATTGCACTACAACTGTGAACCCCCCCACCAACCCACCCGGAGCCTGCCAGCTGTGGGAACTGGATGGACGACAGTTCTTTTCTTCTGTTTCCTGTGCTACCAAGGGGCCAACGTTGCTGTGAATATTTCTCCTACCCGATTCCCCAACACCACTAGTGCCTCTGGATTTAGAGATATATATCCTAGGGTATGATACTACTGTGACGGGTCTAACAGCCCCCGGCTACTCTTGTTCTGTGAAATGTGTATTTTAGTCTCTGTGAAGCCTTTACTCTCTAGGTGCCTTATAATGTTTCAGGGCTCAACTTTTTAAAATCCAGACCCAGTGTTAAAACCATTTATTCCTTTTTTCATAAGAATAATGACTCCAGATGCTACCTGATTCTAGACATAGACAGGGATGATCCACTGTTACTGAGGGCATCAGTGCTATAAGTTAAGGCTTTCTGCACTGGTACTCTCAAGGAAGCTAATTTTCTTTCTGGGGGGGGCGGGGGACACAGTGTCACTATGTCACCCAGTCCACAGGGTTCAAGCAATTCTCCTGCCTCAGCCTTCGGAGTGGCTGGGATTACAGGTGTGCGCCACCATGCCCGGCTAATTTTTGTATTTTTAGTAGAGACGGGGTTTCACCATGTTGGCCAGGCTGGTCTCGAACTCCTGACCTCAGGTGATCTGCCCACTTTGGCCTCCCAAAGTGCTGGGATTACAGGCATGAGCCATCGCCCAGCCCAGAAGCTAATTTTTTAATATTGTATATGGTCTTATTTATACTTGAAGTTTTGTGAACGTCGCTAAACAGGATAGGACTAAAATTTCCAATTCTCCTACACTCTGTCAGAAGCCTAGAACTCACTAAACTGGGCTGCCTTTCCCAAATGGGAAAGGTGCTGACAGAGTTGGAGAAAAAAGAATAGACTCATTTTTCCCCATTATTGGTATGTAGGCATTGGTACAGCCCCTTCTGGGGCAGTCTTTGCAGGATAACATGCTATACCTGCTAAGATTCAAGCTGTTTTCCTCACACTGGACTTTAGGCCAAACCCAGTACCACGCAATGTGCAAGCAAGGGCAGGAGGTAGGTCCAATCTGACCCCTCCCTGTCTCATTTTAATGACTGGACAGCGCTCGGTGAAGGCTGTGTTCACTGTAGTGGGCCATCATTTGTTTCCTTCTTCTTGTAAAAGACCAAGCAAATGCACTCTGCTTTTTGCTGCTGTAAGACCACCAAAAATGAGTCAGAAACACAGAAGACTATTTCAGGCATGTGGGCCTGGATATGCTCCTTGAGACTTCTGGCAAACTTCTGCTGGGAATTAGTTTGAGGGTGAGGGTACATATGTGACATTTGCCCTAGCCTAAGAGTAGCAGGTAAAAAAAAGTTTCTTTCATCTTTTGCCTTACTGATAATACCATAATCCCCCTCAATTCAGACCTTCTGATTGAGTGCAGAGGAGACTAGACAGTCTCCTCTAGACAGGTTGTAGACACACCCTCCCCTAACAAAAACAAAACGAAAGAGTTCATACTCTGATTTTCCAACATCTAGGAAACTGAGTTTTATTTCCTAGCTCTAAGGCAGCCTTACTATATGTCAGTAAAGTGCTGAAAACTGTATATTTAGCAGTAGCACCCAAAACCAAGCCTTTAACCCCAACAATGTGTGTATCTTTTGCACAGCAAAAACTGCGAGGCCAGAACTAGTTTATCTGAACACCTCAGCTGCTGTAAGCTTCTCCTCTCTCACCCCGTAAACTGACAAGCATGATGAAAAAAGAAGCACATCCAAGTTTCTGCCTCTTTTAAATGTACTTGACTTTGCAAGGCAAGTAGTTTTACAGCCATTTCTGTTCACACTTTTCACCCCACAACTTGGGGATCTAGCTGAGACATTTCTACCTCGAACAAGTCACATGTACCACAGGTTCCTGAATAATTCCTGCAGGGCTGGTGACAGACATAACAGCTCTGGTTTTATAATATCTTGGGTATCTCTAAGGCCAATAAGGATAACATTATCTACCCAGAGAGTTTAGAAGAAAAGTAGGAGTCCAAAGGAAGAGTAAACAAGAATGGAGCTGTGTTCACACTGAATTTGGGGTCAATCTATTTCCCCCACCCTCTCTCCTCCCCAACCCTTCAGGAACCCTTTAGTTTATTAATCTTATACAGAAGAAACTAACTTAGAAACAAAGGATTCAATATTTGCTTATTTATTCTTTGTTAACATGAGAGTCCCATGTCTGAAAACCAAAGTCCAATTTCTGTCTGGCCTTTTGTCTCATCCTTCTTGGCAAAAGTAGCTTTTGAACTGATATAAAAAAAAATGCTGAGTAACAGAAAAGTATTAATGTGCTTGACACCATGACTGAAATACTATGATCTTGTTTGTCAATAAAAAGCAGCTATCTGTGAACCAGGTAACTGTGTGTTTTGGAAGATCTGTTTATTAACAGTAAATAAATAAGCCCTGTACAGAACACAGGCACTAGGTTGACAGACTCGTCTTTTGTAGGACATTTCTTCCTGCTAACCAGTACTGAAGGGCTTGTTTTTTTCGTAACTTTACACAAGGGGTACTATTGGAAAATATAGCTTTCTCAAGACATCTGATGTCAGTTTCCCATTGTTTTGCTTCACAAACATCAACAAAGTAAACCTGAACATGCTTAGCAATTTCCGAAAGTGTTCTTTGCTGACATTACTTTTGACATACTGTGTCAAAATTCTTAAGGTCTCCCCTCCTTTGGTAAAGTAGGCAAAACCTTACAAGGAAAACACTATAATACACGGAAATATACTGAGTTAGATTTCCAGTCACCTGCTCTATGGCTCTAAGATGCACTACATCCATAATGGTTCCTAGGACTGTGTCCACCTGATGGTTTGGAGTACGGAAAACCAGCCCCTATGGCTTAAGAGTCATCTCCCATGGAAGACAATGCTGGCCTTCTGAACGCTGGGGCTCATGGGCTTGTTGATGTGGCTTTCTGGTGTGCCAGGATCTCCTGGCAGCTCCTGTATACTTCAATCAAGCAGTCCAGCCGGGGCTTGGCACTCTGAATTCCAAAGGGGAGAAATGCGGAGTCAAGGTGAGAATATAAGGGAGTGCAGTGGTGCTGCATCCACTTGCAAATTTTTTTTTTTTTTTTTTTTTGAGACAGAGTTTTGCTCTGTTGCCCAGGCTGGAGTGCAGTGGCGCAATCTCGGCTCACTGCAACCTCCGCCTCCCAGGTTCAAGTGATTCTCCTGCTTCAGCCTCCCGAGTAGCTGGGATTACAGGTGCTCGCCACCACGCCCAGTGGCACAATCTCGGCTCACTGAAACCTCTGCATCCCGGGTTCAAATGATTCTTGTGCCTCAGCCTCCCAAGTAGCTAGGACTACAGGCACGAACCACCATGCCCAACTAATTTTTGTATTTTTAGTAGAGACAGGGTTTCACCATGTTGGCCAGGCTGCTCTTGAACTCCTGGCCTTAAGTGATCTGCCCACCTCGGCTTCCCAAAGTGCTGGGATTACAGGCTTGAGCCATGGTGCCGGGACCACATGCAACTTCAATCTCTCACCCACATCAAGGGGTATAAATGACACAGCAGTGAGCTCATGGAGTTAAGAAGTTTAGGCCTCAGCACACCTTGCTGGAAAGAGTCCCAGCTAGGCTTACAGCACAGCTTGTGAACTATGCGAGGTGGGAGATCAAATGATAGCTTTTTAATCTGTCTAAATTTCATGAACTCCATCTCTAAGAATAAGCAAGAGGAAAAACAAAATGGACCCTTGAGAAATGTCACAAGTTGTAAAACAGCCCTCAAACACAAGAAGTGCAGTTTAATATGTAAATATTGAAAAATGTTTTACACAATGAAATGTAATAACCAAAATTAAAAGAAAAGCCACAGAATGGAAAAAATATATGTGAAAGTATATTTAATAAAAGTGCACTACCTAAAATATATAAAGAATTGTTAAAAATATATAAAAATAGATACAAATACATAATATTCAGATTCTACTTGACTAATAGAGAAGATAGGTAGTTTAAAGTAAGAGGAAATACTGATAGGTAATACAAGGAAATATGAAAAGCCTATCATTTAAAGAGATACAAATTTAATGCCTTTACCTACATATTAAGCTAAAAAAGCTAAATCCACTATTAGCCAGGATGGTAGAAAAAGAAGTACAAAATCCCCAAAGTATGATAAAGTTGTCCAATCTCTGGAGCCCGATCTTAAACACTAGAAATCTATAAAACTATTCATAAGCTTTAATAAAATAATTTTGAATTACAATGCAAAATAATTTTTGGCTTATCTTAAATCCTTTGTGAAAAAGGTCAGTGAGGCAGGGTTAACTGTATACATAAATACATGCATAAATACCTACCTCTAAATTTATTATTTTGTAATTTATTATGTTTGTATAATTTTTGTTTTTTGAGATGGGGTCTCTTGTCACCCAGGCTGAATACAGTGCCATGATCAAAGCTCACTGCAGCCTTGACCTCCTGGGCTCAAGCAATCCTCCCACCTCAGCTTCCCCAGTAGCTGGGACCACAGATGTGCACCACCATGCTCAGCTAATTTTGGTATTTTTTGTAGAGATGGGGGTTTTACCATGTTGCCCAGGCTGGTCTCGAACTCCTGAGCTCAAGTGATCTGCCTGCCTCAGCCTCCCCCACAGTGTTGGGATTACAGGCATGAGCCACTGCACCAGCTGATAAGTGTTTTTTTTTTTTTGTAAGAGCAAAACAAAAAAACCCAGGCATGATTTTAAAAGCTGGCAAGAGTGGCTAAATAAACTGATATTTCAATATATTATACAATTATTTAAAATAATAAATATAATGGCCTTTGTAGGATACATACATATTAAATTATTTACAAAGCAAGACACACAATAGTGTACAATGTAAGATCAATTACCTCTATCTAAAAAAAGTGTACAGTAGTAGACTGACAGAGTCAAAGTAGATGAATGGTGATTTATAGGCAGAAGTTGCTATATATTTGATTGTGTTCTTTAAAATGTGCATGAGGCCAGGTATGCTGGCTCATGCTTGTAATCCCAACACTTTGGGAGGCTGAGGCAGGAGAATTGCTTGAACTCAGGAGTTCAAGATCAGCCTAGGCAACATGGCAAGACCTCATCTCTACTAAAAATAAAAAAAAAAAATTAGCCAGGCGAGATGGTGCACACCTGTAGTCCCAAGTTCTCAGGAGGCTGAGGCAGGAGGATTTCTTGAGCCTGGGAGGTGGAGGCTGCAATGAGTGGTGATTGTCACTGCACTCCAGCCTAGGTGACAAAGTGAGACTCTGTCTCTAAAATAAAATAAAATGTGCATGAATATTTTTAAGGAATACATTTGCCTCAGAGAGGAACTTCTCAAATAACTGAAATCCTAATTATCACTCAAAACAGCTGTCAGGTATCTTCCAATACTCTGACAAAAGGAATTTACATTCCTAATGAAAAGGTTGAGGAGTAATTGGAGAATGGTAAAAGTATTCTATGCTCACCTGGAAGACGGGTACTACTTGGGATATCCCATGTGGTTCCACTGGATCTTTCAATAAGATGCAGAGGTAGTAAATCACCTTCTGCTGTAAGAAAATAAATCAAATAGCAAAGTCTAAGTGAAACTCATTTTGCATTCTTTTTTTCTTTTTCCTTTATTTATTTATTTTTGAGACAGAGTCTCTCTCTGTTGCCCAAGCTGCAGTGCAGTGGCGCAATCTCGGCTCACTGCAACCTCTACCTCCCAGGTTCAAGCGATTCTCCTGCCTCAGCCTCCCAAGTAGCTGGGATTACAGGCGCTCGCCACCATGCCCGGCTAATTTTTTGTATTTTTAGTAGAGATGGGGTTTCACCATGTTGGTCAGGCTGGTCTGGAACTCCCGACCTTAGGTGATCCGCCTGCCTTGGCCTCCCAAAGTGCTGGGATTACAGGCGTGAGCCACCACACCTGGCCACATTCTATTTTTCTAAGGGAAGGCTCAACACTTTTTCACAAATGTTTAAGTAGTAGAACACTTGATAGCTTTTGAAGTGGAAGAAAAGTATATTCTCATTCTTTAAATGAAAAAAGACAGGGCCAGGCGTAGTGGCTCAAACCTGTAAACTGAACACTTGGGGAGGCCACAGCAGGAGGATGGCTTGAGCCCAGGAATTCAAGACCAGCCTAGGCAACATAGTGAGACTGCATCTCTGCAAAACATAGAAAAAACGAGCCAAGCATGGTGGTGCATGCCTGTAGTCCCAGCTACTCAGGAGGCTGAGGTGGGAGAATGGCTTGAGCCTGGGAAGTTGAGGCTGCAGTGAGCTGTGATCGAGCCACTGCACTCCAGCCTGGGCAACAGAGTGAGACCCTGTCTCAAAAAAAAAAAAAGAAAAAAGATAGAAAGAGAAGGAAAAAATGCCAGTGATAATTTTGAAGTTGGTCTTGAAGATAAAGTTGAAATGCTAATTCCCTATCCATGAAAACCTGCTGCATCTCTTTAAAAATAAAGAGATTTACCTTTTAAATATAAGTCTCACTTTTACGGTTTTAGTTTAAATCTGGGAACATCCCATGGGCTGGCTACCTCCTCCAGAGAGGCCTGTAATACTTACCTTTTAAATACTTACCATGTAAATGGCCTCATTGATGACAATATCCTTGACCTTGCCCATTTCTATGAAGGTAGTGCTTTCTTTGCCTGAAGCATAAGATGAAGTCATCTGAATGCCAAGGGAATCAATGATTAACAGAGTCTCCTGATCAATCTTCACAAAATGGAGATAACCAAGCAGACCTAAGAGGGTGATGAAGATGGCAGCAGAGAGGATCATGCTGTTCTGAAGAGAGAGCCAGACACAGACAGTAAGATTACCAAGTGGTACCAGTCAACTCCAGGCAATGAGGGGAACATGCATGGAGGAAAAGGAAATTGCTTTTATTTGGGTTCTAAGGTGCTATGAAAGTATACAGTGAAACAGATCCAGACAACAAATGGATAGGTCTAGGGGAAACCTCCATCAGCAAAATGTCCATCACAGCAATCTCAGAAATTTTTCTTCCAAAATTCCAACTTTAGGGCCTAAATCAGCTGAACGCAGTAGCTTGCACCTGTAATTCCAGCTACTAGGGAGGCTGAGGCAGGAGGATCGTTTGAGCCCAGGAGTTCGAGGCTGCAGTGAGCTATGATCATAGAACTGCACTCTAGCTTGGGTACCAGCATAAGACACTGTCTCTAAAAATCGAAAGGACCCAGCCGAGTGAGGTGGCTCACGCCTGTACTCCTAGCACTTTGGGAGGCCAAGGCAGGTGGATCACAAGGTCAAGAGATCGAGACCATCCTGGCCAACATGGTGAAACCCCATCACTACTAAAAATACAAAAAGTAGCTGGGCGTGTTGGCACGTGCCTCTAGTCCCAGCTACTCTGGAGGCTGAGGCAGGAGAATCGCTTGAACCTGGGAGGCGGAGGCGGAGGTTGCAGTGAGCCGAGATCGCACCACTGCACTCCAGCCTGATGACAGAGTGAGACATCTCAAAAAAAAAAAGGACCCCAAATCTTTTCCTTTCACACTCCCTCAGCAGAATACAGGAGGGAGTTATGTCCTGATAAACCCATTATAAGATGAAAATGCATTTAATATTTAGTTCTAGCACTCAAATAAAAAATTAAAATTAAAAAATGCATTTAATATACCTATCAAGCATCAGAGCTTAGCCTAGCCTACCTTAAACGTGCTCAGAACACTTACATTAGGCCGGGCGCGGTGGCTCACGCCTGTAATCCCAGCACTTTGGGAGGCCGAGGCGGGCGGATCACGAGGTCAGGAGATCGAGACCACGGTGAAACCCCGTCTCTACTAAAAATACTAAAAGTTAGCCGGGCGTAGTGGCAGGCACCTGTAGTCCCAGCTACTCGGGAGGCTGAGGCAGGAGAATGGCGTGAACCCAGGAGGTGGAGCTTGCAGTGAGCCGAGATCGCGCCACTGCACTCCAGCCTGGGTGACAGAGCGAGACTCCGTCTAAAAAAAATAAAAATAAAAAAAATAAAAAAGAACACTTACATTAGCCTACAGTTGGGCAAATCATGTAACATAAAATCTGATTTTACAGTAACGTGTGGTAAATCTCATATAATTTATTCAATGCTATACTTAAAGTGAAAAACAATGTTTGTATGGGTACTTGAAGTACCGTTCCTACTTGAAGTACCGTTCCTACTGACTTTGTATTGTTTCCGCATCATCCTAAAGTCAAAAAAATCCTAAGTCAAACCATCGTAAGTTGGGAACCATCTGTATATAGTGCAAAATCATAGACTGAACAATTATAAAGTGCTTAGCACAGTGTAGCAGATACTATGGCTTGCCTAATAAACAGCCACCCACCAGCCCCAATTGAACAGTGAGTGAACCATGATTGGTTCCCACTCCTTCTGCCAATGACTGCTTTAAAAATTGGCATGTGACACAACTCTGGCCAATGAAATGTGAGGGGAGATCTGCTGGAGGGGCTTCTGGAAAACTTGAGTTTATCTTTAAAAATCTGCAGAAGAGACGTTCCCTTCATCATGAGGTTTAGATACCTGGAACTACTATGGCCTCTGCCAGACCCAGTGGAGAGCTAGTAGAGGACAACTAGAGGACGCTAAGGGTGGAAGTGCAGTTTCTGCACTTGGAGGACCAGGTGGAGGACAAGTAGGGCACACTAAGGGTGTCAGCAGTAAGATGACAAGAGCCGGAATCAAATGAGTCTCCACGTGAACTCTGGAGCCCTCCTACCTTATGACTTCTTGTTAATATAAAAGGTCCTTATCTCTTAAGGCTATTTTAGTTGTTCTGTGTTACTTACAGTTGACTAAGTGATGTGTTAAGGGCTCAAAAAATGGTGTCTATTATTTATTCCCTTGATTCTAAGACCAATGTATAATCTTTAACATTTCTGAAGTTAAAATGTGTTTTCCTATTGGTGTGTGTTTCTTTCATGTGGCATTGTTTTATCTTTTTTCCCAGAAGCTTGCATTCATTCATTGATTCGAGACAGAATTTCACTCGTTTCCCTGGCTGGAGTGCAATGGTGTGATCTCGGTTCACTGCAACCTCCACCTCCCGGGTTCAAGTGATTCTCCTGCCTCAGCCTCCCTAGTAGCTGGGATTACAGGCACCCGCCACCACGCCCAGCTAATTTTTTTTTTTTTTTTTTTTTTTTTAGTAGAGATGGGGTTTCACTATGTTGGCCTGGCTGGTCTCGAACTCCTGACCTCAGGCAATCCACCCGCCTCAGCCTCCCAAAGTGCTGGGATTCCAGGTGTGAGCCACCGCACCCGGCAAAGCTATGATTTAGAAGACTGGCACAGGAAAAAAATTATTGATGACCTAGAATCAAAGAAATTTTGTAATTTTGGACTGCATTCCTTGAGGGCAGGAAGTGTCTTATTATTCTTTGCACTGACAAGATGCCCTCCTTTATCTACTTCTAGTCAGGTTCCTCTAAGCTGTCTAGGCCCTGACCTTGACATCTTTGTTGGGCCTGCACTACCCACCCAATTGTAGCAAGAATCTTGCTGAATCAGTTTAGAAAGAACTCCCACCCTTGGTATTTGATCAGCCTGGCATGCCTTCAGCAAGAATCCTGTCAAGTCAATTTAGCCAGAATCCCACCTTGCCCCTGATGTTTCCTTTGGGTAATTTTCCATCCACTGACTCCCACCTTGCTCCTTGGCTATAAATCTCCACTTGTCCATGCTATATTCGGAACTGAGGAAATTTGGAAGTCTATACTGAAGTCTCTTTTCCCCTACTGTAATAGTTCCTGAATAACATCTGGTTTTTGTACCACTTCAACTACTCACTAGCTCTGGTTTTCTTTGATGGTCTCTTTCTACTTTTTCATAGTTAACCCATAGTGTTAGATCAGGGATCTGTAAACTATTTGGGCCTGTGGTCTGGTTTTGTCTGGCCCATCTCAAGCAAAGAATGATTTTTAAGTTTTTACAGGGTTGTAGAAAGAAAGAAAAGAATATTATGAGACAGACCCCACAGAACCTGCTATATTTACTATCTAGTCTTTTAATGAAAATGTTTGGGCCAGGCATGGTGGCTCATGCCTATAATCCCAACACTTTGGGAGGCCAACATGGGGGGATCGCTTGAGGCCAGGAGTTCAAGACCAGCCTGGGCAACCTAGTGAGACCCTGTCTCTACAAAAAATACAAAAATTAGCCAGGTGTGGTGGCACATGCCTGTAGTCCCAGCTACTCAGGTGGCTGAGATAAGAGGATCGCTTGAGTCCAGGAGACTGAGGCTGTAGTGAGGGGTATTCACACCACTACACTCCAGCCTGGGCAACAGAGTGAGAACCTGTCTCAAAAAAAACAAAGAAACCTGTCTCAAAAAAAAAAAAAGTTTGCTTATCTCTGTGCTAGATAATTATTTGTTGATTGATGAATGGAGGATTCAGTACTGGGTCTCTGATGATCCAGAAAGATCTAATTTTGAGTTAATTAATTGCATTGAATAAGCATTAAGAAGAATGGAGAGGAATACAATTCAGCCCTGACCCTTATAGATGTATTAAAGGCAAGATTAATACATAGAAAATATTCTGGAGGATACTCTGATACTGACTATAAGTGCCAAAAGAAAAGTTTAAAAAAAAAAAAGACATTAAAGCACACAGGAATATCCCATCACATCCAAGGAAACAGGATTTAATTGGTGTAGGGGAAGTGGTGGTTAGTGACCAATATAATTAGTTGAAAGGGAAGGGGGAAGAACATTCCAGGTTGGAATAAACAAGGGAACAACCTGGAACTTTAATAGAACTGTGAACTCAAAAACAAGAAGGAATGAAGGGATGAAGAACAATAAATCCTTAAGGATTTGATCCATGTCAGCTTTCCAATAAAAGCAATCCGTGCCCTACTATCTGCATTTTTTTCAACTTCATTTTTCTGTGTAGAATTCAAACAATTCAATATTAATTTGGGTTGGGGTTAAGCTGTATGTTTGAATGAATTCCTTCAATCAGATTTCTTCTCATTCCAGATATTCATTACTCTCATAAACAGTTTTGAATAGGAAAGGTAAGAAATTTTGGCACACAGAGCCCTTAGAAAGTGTTGCAGTAGAGTTTAAAGGAAGATGCGGTCACTGATTCCTCGGGTACTTGATGGGGGTAAGCAGAGTACACCGGCATGAGAGAGACAAGTACAGAAGGGACCTGGCATAAAAGCAGGCTTTTGTTTTTAAATTTTGCCTAAGATCAGCTATACAATGGTATAAAGGAAAAGAAAGGGTCTCAGAGTCAGAAAGCCCTTGGTTTGAAGCCCAGATCTGCCATTTACTGCTTTGAGACTTTGGATAAGTCATTGCTCTTTGTGAGCCTTGGTTTCCTTCGTTCTAGGGCTAAAGTAAGGAATTCAGTAAAGCATCTGGCAGTCAGTGGGCATTTAATAAATATCTATTTCCTCCTCCTCACATGACCACATACATAGGCTATAAGAACTCAGGCTAGTACTAAAATTCAACTATACAATAAATTAAATTTTAGGGGGGCTATCAAGTCAACTTAATCATCATTTTAACTGACTTATGAACAAACTTTTTTTTTTTTTTGAGACAGAGTCTCCCTCTGTTGCCCAGGCTGGAGTGCAGTGGCGTGATCTCGGCTCACTGCTACCTCCACCTCCCAGGTTCAAGCGATTCTCCCGCCTGAGCCTTCCGAGTGGCTGAGACTACAAGCGTGCACCACCACACCCAGCTAATGTTTGAATTTTTCGTAGAGACGTGGTTTCACCATGTTGGCCAGGCTGGTCTCCAACTCCAGACCTCAAGTGATCCGCCCGCCTCAGCTTCCCAAAGTGCTGGGATTACAGGCGTGAGGTACAGTGCTTTGCCTGAACAAACATACGGTTTAGATAGTTAGATAGTTTCCTGCAATTAGGGCAGTCTTAATTCTGCATATTTCTATGCTAAATTACCATGCTCTGAAACACGCTTTGACAGCAAAAAAGCGAATGGATGCAGTAATGGAAACAATATCCAAGTTACAAAAATAAATAGCCCTGCTGTACTTAGCTCTGATTAGATCACTTCTGGGATAATACATTCAATTCAGGCACTACATATGAAACTAGAACTTATCCTGAAAATTAGGATAATTCTTTTTATTTGAGAGCTGTCACAAAGTTACTGCATTTAACCCTCACAATATCATGAAGCTGGTATGGCAGGCATGAATTCTATTTTAGAGATGTAGAAAATTGAGGCTCAGAGAAAACAGGAATGAATCTGGAAATTGAGCACAGCTATCACACACGTCCAAAATTTCATAAACCTTTAGAAAGTACTTGAAATTGGGGAAGGGTTTGGGAGGAGGGAGGGTTAAAAAACTCCCTTGAAAAACAGAGATTAGGAAGAACTATAACACTCTATCTATACACACAGATAAACACACACACTTGTGGAGGCAAAGACAGTTTGTGGAAGTCTACGTAAAGTATTGTTAGCAGTACTACTTTGAGGAGCAGAAGGGATGGACGAGGAAGACCCACTTAGTAGTTCCTTGAACTCTTGGAATTAAATTACTGCGCGCCTATACTACATAGAACACATGGCAGTTAAAGTTTTAGGCCGTCGCGCAAGAACTAGATGTATGCTGAGTGAACCCACGGAGCAGAGCACAGCCACGGAAGGGGAATGTACTATCCAGGAGCACACATTTCACTAAACGTCATTTAAAGAGCTGTCCAGCAGCGGAATATCGTCCCCAGAACCCGTGAGTTCCCGCCCTCCTGTCCTATCACTGTAGGAGGGGCCGACCAGAGGTCCGGGCTCGACCAAAGACCCCAAAGACCCTCCCAAAGCCGAACCCCCTCCTTCGAGCGCGGGGAGGGGCCGACTTGCCATTACCTCGCAGAGGGTGAAGAGTCCGTAGGCCGCCAGCCACACCGTGCAGGTGACAGCGGTGAGCGAACGCAGCGAGAGCCGAGGGCAGCTGAGGCAGAATTCCCGGCAGGACGGGGAGTAGTAGCGGCGCTGCAGCGCCAGGCGGCCGCCGCAGATATCCGAAAAGCTCCGCTCATCCTCCATGACGCCCCCACTCGGCCGCCCGCACCGCGCGGCGCTGCACTGCGCTCGCCGGCCCTGGCCGTCTCGCCCGCTCCAGACCCGCTTCCGGCAGCCGCGTCACCACGCCCCGCCCTAAGCCTGCGCAGCCTCAGTTGCGCGCCGAGAGCTCTGCTGGGGGCTGATGGTTGTGCGTTCTTCCGGGCCGGCCTTGACTGTCTTCGAAAAAACCTCGTCGGGGCAATAGTTAAGTGGAAAGATTAAAATCGTTTTTAGACCGGGCGCGTTGACTCAGGCCTGTAGTCCAGCACTGGGAGGCCAAGGCGGGAGGATCGCTTGAGCCTGGGAGGTCGAGGTTGCAGTGAGCGGAGATCATGCCCCTGCTCTCTAGCCTGTGCGAGAGAGCAAGACCCTGTCTCAAAACAAACCCACAGTTTGTTTTTGTTTTGAGACGGAATGGCGCGACGTCGGCTCACTGCAACCTGCTTCCCCCGGGTTCAAGCGATTCTCCTGCCTAAGCCTCCTGAGTAGCTGGGATTACAGGCGCGCGCCACCACGCCCTGCTGATTTTTGTATTTTTAGTAGAGACAGGTTTCACCATGTTGGCCAGGTTGGTCTCAAACTCCTGACCTCAGGTGATTCGCCCGCCTCGGCCTCCCGAAGTGCTGGGATTACAGGCGTGAGCCACCGCACCCAGCCCAAACCCACAGTTTTAATCATGCTTTTGCTTGGCAAGCCGATTTCTCTAAGCCAGAGTGAGCCGCAAGGAGAGCCCACGGGTATTCATTTCACTTACTCTTTTCCTGTGCCGGGTAGTTTGAGGTGCTTGAGGATGCAGCAGTGAACGATGTTGATGACAGTCTCTGCCCTCGGGCAGCTTCCTTTCTAGTAGGAGACAATATGGAAATAAGAGAGTATCGTTGGCAATACTATGCTGACTGGCAGGGATGGACTGAGGACTTTACATAGGGCAGTCAGGCGAAGTCTCTAAGTAAGAGGACACTGAGTTACAAGGGTGACGAGCCAGACAGGACTGAAGGAGCTCTGGAGGAGGAATTTGCCAGAAAGAAAGACCAGGAAAGGCAAACCCCTCGAAGTTGGAACAAGCTTGGCTTAATGAAATAATCAAAAGGCGAGAAAGGTTGGTGTGTGGGGAAAACAGTTGGAAGCTGGGGAGGCAGGTAGGGGTCAGATCCAAGAGGGTCTTGTAGGGTCTGGTAAGGAGTTTGGATTTCACTGCCTGGGAGTTCTGTCTCCCAAATGACTGCTTGGACCGTGGTAGACAGGCAAGACCTGGCTGGGAATTAAGCAGGAGCGGGAGATGCAGAAGAAATGGATAATAAAATTACTAAACTCATGAGTAATAGTGGCCTATGAGTTCCATTTTTACTTCTGATGTGGCCCAGGAGTGGCTATGTGGACTGTCAAAACACTTGTGATGGGCTGGGCATGGTGGCACATGCCTGTAATCTCAGCACTTTGGGAGGCTGAGGAGGGCAGATCACTTGGGTCAGGAGTTCAAGATCAGCCTGGCCAACATGGTGAAACCATCTCTACTAAAAATACAAAAAAATTACCTGGGCATGGTGGAGCATGCCTGTAATCCCAGCTGTTCGGGTGGCTGAGGCAGGAGAATCACTTGAACTTAGGAGTTCAAGACCAGCCTGGGCAACAGAGCAAGACTGTGTCTATATTCATTTAAAAAAAAAAAAAGATCCATGGCATAAAGGTCTCACCAGCTTTAAGTCTCTCTGATGAAAGGTTCCGTTTCTTCATCTTCATTCAGAATTTTATTTCCCTTTCTTTTTTCCTAAAGGATTTCTTCAAGCACTTCTTTATTTTTCTAGTTTTATTTCTGTGCCCCGAATCTGACAATTAATACACTCCTTTTATTAGTCCGTTTTCACACTGCTATAAAGAACTACCTGAGACTCGGTAATTTATAAAGAAAAGAGGTTTATTGACTCACAGTTCCACATGGCTGGCAAGGCCTCAGGAAACTTACAATAATGGTGGAAGGCAAAGGGGAAGCCAGGCATGTCTTACATGGCAGCAGGAGGGGAGTGGGGAAGTGCCACATTTTTAAACCGTCAGATCTCGTGAGAGAACTCACTCAGCATCACGAGACCAGCATGGGGGAAATCCGTCCCCATGATCCAATCACCTCCCACTGGGTCCCTCCCCTAACAAGTGGAGATTACAATTTGACATGAGATTTGGGTAGGCACAGAGAGCCGAACCATATCACCCCTTTTACTATTGCATATATCATGTGTTTTATAATTATAAAAGTGATATTTGCTTATTGTGGAAAATTTGAAAAATACAGAAAAGAAAAAAATGTAAACCACCCATATTTCCATCACTCAGAGATAAGTACTGTTAATGTTTTGGGGAAGCCTGTAGTCCTGGAGTTCTTAACTTGGGCTCCACGGATAGAATCAGTGTTTCATTTTTAGTTTCATTAACTTCTAATTAAAATTTAACATTTCTTTTGATTATGAATATGGGCAACAAACTAGTATTAGTAGAGCTTGTGATTTTTGTCACTGACAGAAATCACAGATATTTTCTTTTCACAATAATTGTTTCAAAATGTCATTTCTAGTCATTGCTACTTCAAAATTGCAGTAATTATTAAACCCATCACTAGCTATTATTATTTAATGTGTCAATAAAGAGAAACATATCACTGTAACACATTTTTAAAATATTTTGATAACCATATTTTAATTTAGTTGATTTTCTTAGAAGTCCTATGTATTTATACATTTTAAAGCATTATTATAATAAAGGGTCCATTCATTTCGCCAAACTTCCAGAGGGTCTACAATACAAAAGGTACCTGTACAGGCTAAGAAGTTTCTTTTCTTTTTCTTTCTTTCTGGTTTGTTTTGTTTTGTTTGAGGCAAGGTCTTGCTCTGTCACCGAAAGCGGAGTGCAGCAGTGGTACGGTCATGGCTCACTGCAGTCTCAACTTCCTGGGCTAAAGAGATCCTCCCACCTCAGCCCCTCAAGTATCTAGGGCTACAGGCACACTCTACCACATCAGGCTAATTTTTGCATATTTTGTAGAAATGGCATCTCACTATGTTTCCCAGGCTATTTTCAAACTCCTAGGCTCGGGTGATCCTTCGGCCTCAGCCTCCCAAAGAGTTGGGATTACAGGCATGAGTCACCATGCCCAGCAGGCTAAGAAGTTTCACAATTATAGAGTTATAGAAAGAAAAAGGCCAAATGTACTTTACTTAATTTTTTAAAAATACTCAATTATTAGGAATAAATACTGTGGTAGTCTAAGATCTCTAAAATCCTTTTTCTTTTTAGAGAGAGGGTGTTGCTCTGTTACTCAGGCTGCAGTGCAGTGGTATAATCATAACTCATTGTGACCTTGAATGCCTGGGTTGAAGCGTTCCTGTTGCCTTGGCCTCCTAAAGTGCTGGGATTGCAGGCATGAGCCACTGCACCCAGTCACTAAAATCCTTATTACTGCTTTGTGGGTTGTTTGTTTGTTTGAGACGGAGTTTTGCTCTTGTTACCCAGGCTGGAGTGCAATGGCACAATCTTGGCTCACCACAACCTCCGCATTCCAGGTTCAAGCGATTCTCCTGCTGAGGTCAGCCTCCCAAGTAGCTGGGATTACAGGCATGCGCCACCATGCCCAGCTAATTTTGTATTTTTAGTAGAGATGGGGTTTCTCCATGTTGGTCAGGCTGGTCTCAAACTCCTGACCTCAGGTGATCTGCCCGCCTCAACCTCTCAAAGTGCTGGGATTATAGGCGTGAGCCACCGCTCCCAGCCCTGCCCTTGTTTTTTGTTTTTGTTTTTTTTTTGAGACAGTCTTGCTCTGTCGCCTAGGCAAGAGTGCAGTAGCACAATCTCTACTCACTGCAACTTCCACCTCCTGGGTTCAAGCGATTCTTGTGCCTCAGCCTCCCAAGTAGCTGGGATTACAGGCGCAAAGGTTTTAGCTTTCTTACTGGGATGGATAGGCAAAGAATGTCTGTTCCATCTTTCAGAAATGGAAGTCTCCTCATCTGTCCATTTAAGGAAATGTTTTAATTGAGGTATATCCTCCAAGCAGTAAAACAGTCTGTGACTTACTTTTCCATACTCTAATGGTGTCTTTTGATGAACAGAGGTTTTAATTTTCATAAAGTCCAATTTATCAATCTTGTCTTTTATGGCTAGTGTTGTATAATATTTTGTCCTGTTTAGGAAGCTTTGCCTGTCTTGCGGGCATGGTGGCTCATGCCTATAATCCCAGCACTTTGAGAGGCTGAGCCAGGAAGATCGTTTGAGCTCAGGAGTTCCAGAACATGCTGGGCAACATAGCGAGACTCTGACTCTACCAAACAAAAAACAAAAAACAAAAAGCTGGGCATGGTGGCACAGCTACTAGGTACTAGGGAGGCTGAGGCAGAAGGGTTGCTTGAGCCCAGTAAGCCCAGCTTACTGTAGGAGGCTACAAAAAGCTGTGATCAAGCCACTGCATTCCAGCCTGGGTAACAGAGCGAGAAAAAACAAACAAAACAACAACAACAAAAAAAACTTTGCCTATCTTTTTTTTCCCTAGAAGCTTAATTATTTTACCTTTCATATTTAAGCCAATGATCCATTTTGAACTAATTTTTGTTTGTAGAGGTTAAGGGTCATTTTGTTTCCCAGCAGCACGTGTTGAAAAGACTACCCTTCCCCCCTAATTGAGATAGTGCCTTTGTTGTAAATAGGTGACCACAAATTTCTCGGTCTATTTCCACACTCTCTATTATGTTCTGTTGTTCTATTTTGTCTTCCCTTGTGCTAATAGCAACCTGTCTCAATTACTGTAGCTCTACAGTAGGTCTTGATTTCTCATACTGTTAAGTCTTTCAACTTTATACCTTTTCTTCAAAATTGTATTGGCTATTATAGGGTTTTTGTATTTTCACCAAAAATTTTGCTTGGATTGTACTGAATCTATCAATCAATCTAAGGGAGAATTGACATCTTAACTATGCCGCATGTTCCAATCCATGAACCTGGCATCTCTCCATTTATTGAAGTCTTCTCTAATTTCTCTCAGCAATGCTTAACAATTATTTGCACATCTTTCATTAGACCTCATTTGTAGGTATTTGATGTTTTCTGATATTCTCATAAATGATGTACATTAAAAATTTATTAACTCTCCCTTTTTATTTATTTATTTTTAGAGACACCATCTCACTCTGTCACCCAGGCTAGAGTCCATTGGCACAAATATCAGCTCACTATAACTTCAAATTCCTGGGCTCAAGGTATTCTCCCACCTTGGCCTCCCAAAGTGCTGGGCTTACAGGCATGAGCTATTGTACCCAGCCTTGCCACTCTCTTTTTAGTAAGATGTGTTTGGTATTTACCTAACATCAAATTGAAATTTTATAGAACAAAATACATCCATAATCCTGCCACCTAAGTATTTCCTCTTTACAAAAGCTCCTATGTCATATAAAATTTATATTAAATAAATTTATATGCTTCTCTCATATTAATTTTTTTTTATACATAGTCTCGCTTTGTTACCTAGGCTGGAGTGCAGTGGTGCAATCTTGGCTCACTGCAACCTCTGCCTCCTGGGATCAAGCAATCCTCCTGCCTCAGCCTCCCCAGTAGTTGGGACCACAGGTGCGCACCCCCATGTCTGGCTAATTTTTATATTTGTAGTAGAGACGAGGTTTTACCATGTTGCCCAGGCCGGTCTCAAGCAACCTGCCAGTCTCAAGCAACCTGCCTGCCTCGGCCTCCTAAAGTGCTGGGATTACAGGTGTGAGCCACCGTACCTAGCTTATTAGTATATATTTTGTATACTTTTTCTCATGTTAATGTGTGCTTTGTTGTCAGCCATTAACCTAGCAATGGAAAGAAAAAATACTTATTTTTCCCCGACATTAATCTACCATAGTTTACTTACTGTCACCCTGTTGTTCTCATAGCCAGTGAAAATGGCTAGTAATTGTTTCAAGTAAGGAAGAATGACAGTGGGAAAAAAATAGAAGAAATGAAACATGAAAGAAATCTATTGGCAGAATCTGATACAGCGCAGAAAGTAGTGGTTTTTTTCATGGAGTCACTTCTCCATCTTGTGGATTTCTAGAACAGTAGAGCTTAATATTTTCAACTTAAGTCTAGGAACACACCTGGCTTTTATGTGGAATGTTTCTCTTCCCTTGTAATATCAGGATACTTTTTGTTCTTGTGCACTAAAGGTTTTTTAATGTAATAAGCCAAGCTTGTGAGAAAGTTTAGATAAAAGATGGATCTAATTTGATGGGCATAGGTTTTACAAATAGATTCAATTAGACCATAACACCCTCAGCTCAGTTTTATTATTTTGATCAAGCCACAGCTGTGTAGGCTTGGAAATAAGTTACCTTTATGTAACTATTTTTTTATGAAGATTTCAAAGGAAAGGTAAAAAAGCCCTGGTTTTTGTTGTTGTTGTTTTTTGTTTTGTTTTTGTTTTGAGACGGAGTTTTGCTCTTGTTGCCCAGACTGGAGTGCAGTGGCGTGATCTCAGCTCACTGTGACCTCTGCCTTCTGGTTTCAAGCGATTCTCCTGCCTCAGCCTCCCAAGTAGCTGGGACTACAGGCACGTGCCACCATGTCCAGCTAATTTTTTGTATTTTTAGTAGAGATGGAGTTTCACCATCTTTGCCAGGATAGTCTCGATCTCTTGACCTCGTGATCTGCCCACCTCGGCCTCCCAAAGTGCTGGGATTACAGGCGTGAGCCACCCTGCCCGGCCAAGAGCCCTGGTTTTTAAAAAGCCTGATATATTCAAAATGTGAGAGGTAAACCAGCAGCAGTGGCTGGGTGCTTCTTCAAAATACAGATTCTTGGGTCTCACACCAAACCTACAGACTCAGAATCTCAGTTTTAGCAAGATTCTCAGGTGATACTCTTAGACATTAAAATTTGAGAAGTATATATATAACTCTTAATTAAGAATTGAGAAGTATATAACTCTTAATTGAGTAAGTATATAACTTGAGTAAGTATATAACTCTTAATTAAGATATAACTCTTAATACTGGATTCTCTACCCTGCTGCATAGTACAACCAGCTGGCAAGCTCTTAAAAACCACTACACCTGGGTCCATCCCAGGTAATTAAATCAGAATGGGCAGTGTGGGAAGGAGAACATGAACATGAGCTTTGTTTGTTTGTTTTTGTTTTTGTTTTTTGAGATGGAGTCTTGCTCTGTCACCAGGCTGGAGTCCAGTGGCGCGATCTCGGCTCACTGCAACCTCTGCCTCCCAGGTTCAAGAGATTCTCCTACCTCAGCCTCCCAAGGAGCTAGGACTACAGACGCATGCCACCGGGGCCAGTTAATGTTTGTATTTTTAGTAGAGATGGGGTTTCACCATGTTGGCCAGGATGGTCTTGATCTCTTGACTTCGTGATCTGCCCGCCTCGGCCTCCCAAAGTGCTGGGATTACAGGCGTGAGCCACCACGCCCGGCCTGGACGTGAGTATTTTTAAAAAGCTCCCAAGTTATTTTTAGGGAGCTGCCAGAGTTGAGCACTCTTGGGAGGATATCTTTCCCTCTGCCATCCCAGGCTCTAAAGTTAGAGGCCTGTAAATTAACTGACAATAGACTTTAATAGAAGAAAATGTTAATTTACCTACTGGGGTGTTGTGTAGTACAATGTAACTCTCTGAATAGCCAGAGATAGAGGTATCCAGTAGGGCCTTTGTATTTGTGGATTCTGCATCCATGAATTCAACCAACCAAGGGTGGAAAATATTCAGAGAGCTGGTTTGGTGGCTCACGCCTGTAATCTCAGCACTTTGGGAGGCTGAGACAGGAGGATTCCTTGAGCCCGAGAGTTTGAGACCAGCCTGGGCAACAAAGTGAAACCCCTGTCTCTACAAAAAAAAAAATCAAAAAAATTAGCCAGGTGTTGTGGCACGTGCCTACTGTCCCAGCTACACGGGAGGCTGAGGCAGCAGGATCCCTTGAGCCCAGGATGTCAAGGCTGCAGTGAGCCATGTTCATGCCACTGCACTCCAGCCTGGGTGAGACCCTGTCTCGAAAAAAAAAGAAAAAGAGAAAAAATAATGTCTGTACTGAACTCGCGTAGACTTTTTTCTTGCCATCATTCCCTAATCAATACAGGATAATGGCTATTTACATATAATTTACATTGTATTAGGTATAAGAAGTAATCTAGAGATGCTTTAAGGTATACAGGAGGATTGCATAGGCTATATGCAAACACGATGCCATTTTATACCAGGAACTTAAGCGTCTGTAGATTTTGGTATCTGAGGGAGGTCCTGGAACCAATCCCCCACTAATACAGAGGGACAACTGTATATACCACCTTAAACAAAAGGAGGGAGGCTTAGGGCTTCAGTGGGAATGTGTGGAAGGTTCTATTGTGTTTTTTGATGCCGAATGAATCTGAATTAGGACTTTCTGGTGCTAAGCCTCAGTCTTTTCCCAATCAAGAAACTTCCTCCCAGGAAACCTCAGAAATTTATTTGTCACAGTCCTGGAGGCTGGGAAGTCCAGGATCATGTTGCCTGCAGATTTGGTGTCTGGTGATAGCCTGTTTCACAGATGACATATTCTTGTTGTGTCCTCACATGGTACAAGGGGCAAGGCAGCTCTCTGGGCAGTTTTTTACAAGAGAACTGAATAGAAAACAACAAAACAAAACACAAACAGTTTGATTCTCCTGTTGTTTCTCACAACACAGAAAACTTCTGTGACCAAGCGTATGGGGGGCTTTCCCCATACACCAAGAAAGCAGTTCGACACTATCCACCTGGAAGTCACGTCAGATCCTACAGAACTTGTCAACAACTCAGTCCCACAAAAGTGCCCCTGACTTGAGACATCAATTGCAAGTCCGAGCTTCTGGAACTTCCCACCAACCAGCTATTAATTGGCATTCCCATGAAGCTCCTTTTGGGTTCAGGTAATTTTGTATAAACTCTGTCTTTGCTGCAACTCCCACTGTTCTCGGTGTCTTTTTGCAGGGCAGCAGGCAAGAAGAATCTGTCAGGCTGTGACATCTGTGCCACTTGCTCATAAAGGCTCACAGAACTCAGGGGAATACTTACGCTTACTGGTTTATTATAACGCATATTTTAAAGGATACAAATGAATAACCAGATGAAGAGGTACATGGAAGTCTGGGAAGGTCCTGAGCTCAGGCGCTTTTGTCCCATGGAGTTGGGGTGCACCGCCTTCCCTGTACCCCATATGTGGAAGTCCCCTGAACTCAGTCCTTTTGGGTTTATACAGAGGCTTCATTATGTAGGGCTGATTGATTAAATCACTGGCCATTGGTGGCCAACTCAACCTTCAGCCCCTCTTCCCCTTCCTGAAGATGTGTGTGTGTTGGGGGTGGGGCAGGGGTATGAATTTCAAGTCCCTGAGCACATGGTTGCTTCTCCTGGCCCCTAATCCTGTGGTTACCTAGGGACTTTACAAAACTCACCTCCTTAACATAAATTCAGATGTGGTTGAAAGGGGCTCATTATAAATAACAAGAGCCTTTCACCTTTATTGCTCCAGAGCTGTTTCAGCAACCAAGGACAAAAGGCCAATTTAACAAAACATATTCTTGAAGAGAAGAAGGGGAAGGGGGTGGGGATCCGCTAGGGGCTGGCACTAAAGGGACTGGTAGCTCCAGCTTTCAGAGGAGAGGAGTTTCTTGGCCCTGGAGAAAGGGCGAGTCTGCACAAGGCTCCTGTCCTGGAAACGCTGTGAGATTGAGAGGGACAGGCTTCCCTGATGAGCCCAGTCCCTTCCTTTCAACCTTGGGAGGGATGAAGGGAATGAGAGGAGGAGAAGGGCCAACGGAGAAGGCAGAATGGCTAGTCAAGGGCCGTTTGTGTCCTGCTTCTCCCCAGGGCTGCCTCCACTCCTGTGGCTGCTTCGAGGGTTGCCAGCGGCGGGGCAGAGGCGCCAGTCTATGGTCCGGCACCAGGCTGTTAAATGCCTATTCAAGGATCCACATTCCCTGAGAAACCACCTTTGCAGAATTTTAAGTAATGAAATATAACATGACTGACTCCATTTTGCTACTAGTCTTGCAAGCTAAATTGGTTGGGGGTTTTTGTTGTTTTTTGTTTTTGTTGTGTATATTCTAGTGCAGAGGCCAAGATAACTATAAGAGGAATTTAGTTTATAGCTAAACTTTGAGGCAAGGAGAACTGACGCCCCTCCTTGTTCGGAGATCGAAGCCACATTCATATGACATGGTTACAATTATGGTAGGGGCTTGAACTTTGCTGAAGAATTGTGGTAGGGGCTTGAACATAGTTAAAGAATGAGCTGCTGTTGCTTCCTCTGTTTTCTGTAAGTTGCTTACTGCCCCAAAGTCATGTAATGGGGGTCTCAAGATTGATAACTTCCTCAACTACTCCTATAGATGACCTCACTATTATGAAACCTAGAGACCTGGTCTTGGAGATCCTTTTCAGATTTAGCATTTCAGTAGATCAAGAGAGGCCCCCTGGTCCTGACATCACCCACACTTCCTGGGAACTGACTCAGCTGTGTTAAGACAGTTTTAGAGGCCCCTGTGATTCTATCCCCAGCCAATCGTTTCAGTTCCCCAGCTCCCTGCCTACCAAAGTACCCTTAAAAAACCCTAGCCTCCAAATTCTTGGAGAGAGGGGTTTGAGAAATTTCTCCCTGTTCTCCTCACTTGGCTTGACCCTGCAATTATTAATTAAATTATTTCTTTGCTACAACTTCTGCGGTTCTCGATGGTTTTTTTCAGGGCAGCAGGCAAGAAGAACCCATCAGGCTGTGATACCTGTGCCACTTGCTCATGAAGGGCCACCAGCTGCTGGAGCCGTACCTGATGGTGAGTGTGAACGAGGTGCACGTGGGCCAGACCAGCACCAATGGAGGACCACCAAACCCATGTACAATGAGGAGCTCTAGACTAACGCCACTGATGGCGGCCGTCATCCATAAGATGCCCCTGGGCTATGACCACTTCATGTAAACGTGTATGCTGTAATTAATTCTTTCTTTCTTTCTCTCTCTCTTTCTTTTTCTTTCTTTCCTTTCCCTCCCTCCCTCTCTCTCTCTTTCTTTCTTTTCTTTCTTGAGATGGAGTCTCACTCTGTCTCCCAGGCTGGAGTGCAGTGGTGCCATCTCGGCTTACTGCAACCTCCACCTCCCAGGTTCAAGTGATTCTCCAGCCTCAGCCTCCCGAGTAGTTGGGACTACAGCCACCACATCTGGCTAATTTTTTGGTTTTTTTTTTGTATTTTTAGTAGAGATGGGGTTTCACCGTATTGGGCAGGCTGGTCTCGAACTCCTGACCTCAGGTGATCCACCTGCCTCAGCCTCCCAAAGGGCTGGGATTACAGGTGTGAGCCACCATGCCTGGCCACATGTACCCTGTAATTGTATCACTGGTAAACTGAGTTCTTTCCCTACTTTGTATCGGTTGCAAAGAAAAAACAACCAATTGGAAAAACAAAAGGCAAGCAGGTTTTATCTCTGGCCAACAATAGAGAGCTCTTGCTCTAAAGCAATGTTCCCCAACCTTTTTGGCAGCAGGAACCAGTTTCATGGAAGACAATTTTTCCACAGACCAGGGTGGGGGGATGGTTTTGGGATGACTTAAGTGCATTACATTTATCGTGTACTTTATTGCTATTATTATTACATTGTAATATATAATGAAATAATTATACAACTCTCCATAATGTAGAATCAGTGGGAGCCCTAAGCTTGTTTTCCTGCAACTAAACGGTCCCATCCATGGGTGATGGGAGACAGTGACAGATCATCAGGCATTAAATTCTCATAAGGAGCATGCAGCCTAGATCCCTCACATGCATAGTTCACAATAGGGTCCACACTCCTAGGACAATCTAATGCCACTGCTGATCTGACAGGAGGTGGAGCTCAGGTAGTAATGCCAGCAATGGGGAGTAGCTGTAAATACAGGTGAAGCTTCACTCGCTTGCTTGCCCACCTGCTACTCACCTCCTGCTGTGCAACTTGGTTCCTAACAGGCCACAGGCCAGTACCAGTGAATGGCCCAGGGGTTGGGGACCCCTGCTCTAAAGACCCCTTCTCCCAGAGCCATAGGAAGCTGGGGAATTTTATGGAGTTAGATGAGGGAAGGGGAGGTATGTAAATATGTGCTGGGAGCCCAAGATCATAAACATGCATCTTCATACTATGCATGTTCAGAAAATGGTGGGCATTTTCTTCTATGGGTGGGATTTTGATATTGTAATGATATCTTAATGATCTAAAGGTAACAAGGAGCTTCCGGTTCTGGTTGGCACCAGTTTTGCACCAGCCTTATCTTCCTCTGGTAATTGACGAAGGGTTCTGAAGCTCCTGTGGCTTCTCAGGTCATCTGGTGTTCTTTTAAGCAAGGTACCTATAGATAAAAAGACTAGAAAAACACTGTTTAAGAAAAAATAATGAGCTTTCACAGCTGTTTATGGTTTAAGAAAATAGGCTGGGTGCGGTAGCTCACGCCTGTAATCCCAGCACTTTGGGAGGCCAAGGTGGGCAGATAACTGGAGGCCAGGAGTTCGAAACCAGCCTGGCCAATGTGGTGAGACCCTCCCCATCTCTACTAAAAATACAAAAAAAAATTAGCCAGGGGTGGTGGCTGGCACCTGTAATCCCAGCTACTCCGGAGGCTGAGGCACAAGACTCTCTTGAACCAGGGAGGTGGAGGTCACAGTGAGCCGAGATCGCACCACTGCACGCCTGGGCGACTGAGGGAGACTCTGTCTCAAAAAAAAAAAAGAAAGAAAATAGTGAGCTTTCCCAGCTATATTTCTAGGGCTGCCCTGGTAACAACTCCAGTGTGGACTAAAAGGAAGAAGCTGAGGCAAAATTAATATAACTAGAGAATTTATTTGGGCCAAGCTTGAGGATTGCAATACAGGAGCATAGATTCAAAAGATTGCTCTGAGCTATTTTTTTGTTTTTTTTTTTCACTGGGAGTGGCTGTGCACTGCCGGCATGGCCAACACCTTGAGCACCTTCCAAGGCTAGGTGAATCTGCAGCCAGAGAGGAAAGCATTTGTGGTAATAACCCTAATAGTGCAAGACATGGTGGGTCAAGCCTGTTATCCCAGGTACTTAGGAGGCTGAGGTGAGAGGATTATCTGCGACTAGGAGTTCAAGACCAGCCTGAGCAATATGGTGAGATCCTGTCTCTAAAATAAAAATTAGCCAGGAGTGGGGGTGCAGTCCTGTGGTTCCAGCTATTTGGAAGGCTGAGGTGGAGGATTTCTTGAGCCAGGAGTTCAAGGCTGCAGTAAGCTATGATCGTACCACTGCACTCCAGCTCAAGTGACAGAACGAGACCATGTCTCCAAACCCAACCCCTCCCCACCAATAAAACAGATCAATGGAAACAAGATTATTCTCACATACCTGAGGCAGCCCACCTACTGCTCTTACTGCAGGAAGTTTATCTGGGGAGTATTTGGGAAACAGGGTTATCAATGCCAAGTGTGCACATGTGTTACCCATAAACACTGCCATCATCTAACCATTACAGCCTGTATTTGCCAAAACAATATTAACCAAGAAGATTCAAAGATTGCCAAACAGAGGTTCAGAATCAACATCTCACACAACTTCAGCATCCACAACTACAAATCACTACCGCTTTGCAATCACTGTGGCGCCTTGCTTTGGGGGATAATGGGTCTTCATTTCTGAAGGCTCTAGTGTCAGGTAAAACTTTGATGAAATAAATTTGTTATAATTTTCTTTTGGTTTTGTTTTCTTTTTTGAGACAGGGTCTCTCTCTGTCACCCAGGCTAGAGTGCAGTGGCATGATCACAGTTCACTGCAGCCCCGACCTCTTGGGCTCAAGGGATCCTCCTGGCTCCTGTTTCCTGAGTAGCTGGGTCTACGGGTACACACCACCACACCCAGCTAATTTTGTTTATTTTTTGTAGAGACAGGGTCTTGCTATGTTGTCTAGGCTGGTCCTGAACTCCTGGGCTCAAGCAATCTTCCTGCCTTGGCCTCCTGAAGTGCTAGCATTATAGGCATGAGCCACTGCACCTGGTTCTTTTCTCTCTTGTTAATCTGTCATTTGCTATAGGAGTGGTGGCTGTTCCTTACGATGGATGAGGAAAGGTATCACACTTTTCTGCCACTACACTGCCTTTGAGAATTTGTAGTTTACCCTTCTCTGAGTTCCCTTGGATTTGCAGTAAACAATGGTATGCTAGAGCCTGCTCTTAGCAGCTTGCAATTTTTAGGAATTTTGTGAGCCAGTTGTCGAACACAACCTTCATTAAGAATCAGATTACAGTCTGGGTATGGTGGCTCATGCCTGTAATCTCAGTTTTGGGAGGCTGAGGCAAGGAGGATCGCTTGAGCCCAGGAGTTTAAGACCAGTCTAGGCAGCATAATGAGAACCCATCTCTCCAAAAAAAAAAAATTTGCTGGGTATGGTGGCACGCACCTGTAGTTCCAGCTAGTCAGGAGGCTGAGGTGGGAGGATTGCTTGAGTCCAGGAGGTCAAGGTTGCTGTGAGCTATGATTGTGCCACTGTACTCCAGCCTGTAATAATTTAATTACATAAATTATATTAAAACCAAAGATAATATAGACTCCAGACTTATCACTGCCTAATTATTTTACTATGTCTTCCTATTATTTATGTCCTTGAGGTTTTTTTTTTTTGTGTTGATTGTATCTGTATGGTAGAAATACTGTATAAATGAGCACCTCTTCACAACTCCATGTTCAGTGACATCACAATGGGAGCTCATAAATAAGAAAGTATTTACACCCCAGAAATCAGCAAACCTGACAATTGTGTCTTACTTATTCCCACTCCCTCACAGTTCCCCACCCCACAACTCCCAGCAACCTATTAAGGGATAGAGTGTGTGTTGGCAGCCACATGATTAAAGGAAAGAGGCCAAATCTCTAGATCCTCCTACAAAGGAAGAAGAAAAATAGAGCAAGCTGGTTTGAACCTGAGAAGGGGTCCTAGAGCTATGCACTAACAGGGTACAAGTTTTAAAGTAAATTTTTAAACTTAACTCATTCTTTATGACTTTAGAATTTTATTTTTGAAAACAGATTTTTAAATTAAATGCCGGTTCTGAAAATAAAAGCAGGTATTCATTTTCAACTTTGGGGTTTGTTTTTTGTTTTGCTTTGAGTTGCTGTTTTATGAACTTTGGGGTTTTAAAAATGAATTATAGGCAGTACATTGAGCTCCATAAAGACAGTGCCGGGGCAAGTGAGAGCCGGATGGGCCCTAGGCAACTCTGTGCCTCGCTGAGGAAAAATAACTAGACATAGGCAAAGGAGATCTTAAAAAGCCAAGAGGCAAAATGCCATCGTATGTATTTTGTGTGCAAACTTGTCCGGAGGAGCGTAAGAAGAAACACCCAGATGCTTCAGTCAACTTCTCAGAGTTTTCTAAGAAGTGCTTAGTGAGGGGGAAGACCATGTCTGCTAAAGAGAAAGGACAATTTGAAGCTATGGCAAGGGCAGACAAGGCCCGTTACGAAAGAGAAATGAAAACATATATCCCTCCTAAAGGGGAGACAAAAAAAGTTTAAGGATCCCAATGCACCCCAGAGGTCTCCTTCAGCCTTTTTCTTGTTCTGTTCTGCGTGTGGCCCAAAAGTCAAAAGAGAACATTCTGGCCTGTCCATTGGTGATTCGGCGAAGAAACTGGGAGGGATGTGGAATAACACTGCTGCAGATGACAAGCAGCCTTAAAAAGAAGTCTGCAAAGCTGAAGGAAAAATACAGAAAGGATACTGCTACATATTGAGCTAAAGGAAAGTCTGATGCAGCCAAAAAGGGAGTTGTTGAGGCTGAAAAAAGCAAGAAAAAGAAAGAAGAGGAAGAAGAGGGAGAGAATGAGGAGGAGGAAAATGAAGAAGATGGTGATGATGAATAAGTTCGAGTGCAGTTTTTTTTCTTGTCACTAAAGCATTTAACCCCCCTGTACACAACTCACTCCTTTTAAAGACAAAAAAAATTTGAAATGTAAGACTTGTTTTTAAACTGTACACTGTCTTTTTTTTTTTTTGTACAGTTAACACACTACCAAATGTGTCATTGGATAGCCCTGTCCTGGTGATTTTTTTAATAGCCTCCATACTGTACCTTGTTTGGTACACTGTGGGGGCTGTAAATTGACATGGAAATTTAAAGCAGGTTTTCGTTGGTGCACAGCACAAATTAGTTATATATGGGATGGTAGCTTTACATCTTCAGTTGTCTCTGATGCAGCTTATATGAAATAATTGTTGTTCTGTTAACTGAATACTCTGTAATTGCAAAAAAAAAAAAAGTTGCAGCTGTTTGTTGACATTCTGAATGCTTCTAAGTACATACAATTATTATTATTATTGTTGTCCTTTTAAAAATGAACTATAAACTATTTCAGACATGGAATAAATAATAATTTGAATTGTTAAAGATAATAGGACTACAGGTTGAGTATTCCTTATCCTAAATGCTTGGGATCAGGAGTGTTTCAGATTTTTTTTTTTTTTAAATATTTGCATATACATATGAGATATCTTGGGAATGGGATGCAACTTTAAACATGAAACTTACTTATGTTCATATACACCTCATACACATATCCTGAAGGTGATTTTATATTTTAAATAATTTTGTTCATGAAACAAAGTTTTGACTGCATTCTTTTATTTCTATTTTTATTTTTATTTATTTATTTTTTTCGAGATGGGGTCCTCACTCTGTCACCCAGGCTAGAGTGCAGTGGTGCAATCTCGGCTCACTGCAACCTCCACCTCCCTGGTTCAAGCAATTGCCCTGCCTCAGCCTCCTGAGTAGCTGGGATTACAGGTGCACGCCACCACGCCTGGCTAATTTTATTGTGTTTTTAGTAGAGACGGGGTTTCACCATGTTGGCCAGACTGGTCTCAAACTCCTGACCTCAGGCAATCCACCCACCTCGGCCTCCCAAAGTGCTGGGATTACAGGCGTGAGCCACCGTACCTGGCCCTATTTTTATTTTTTTTAGAGACAGGGTCTTGCTCTGTCACCTAGGCTGCAATGCAATGGTGCAATCATGGCTCATAGGCATGAGCCACTGCACCCAGCCTTTTTTTGTTTTTGTTTTTGTTTTTTTAAGACTAGTCAAGTGCAGTAGTGAGAAGGGGAGAAAAAAATAGAACAAGGTGTTCCATCTGTAACTGACTGTGACCAATCTATTAAGGTAACTCACTACGTTCGGACCAAACTGACTGCATTTTCACTGGGACTGGTCACATGAGGTCCAGTATGGAATTTTCCACTTGCGTTATCATGTAGGTGCTGAAATTTTGGATTTGGATTTTAGATTTTTGGATTAAGGATGCTCAACCTGTATAACAATCTCCTGTTCACTCTCCCAGTGCATAATAAAGTGGAACTAGTAATTTATCTCTGACTAAACTATAGGTAGTGGAAAACCACTGAAAATGACATGCAGGATTAAAGTAGCACTTTGGAAAGGTCGGTCTGGTGATCCACAGTAAATGCTCAAGAAGCAAGAGGTTTTTTGTTGTTTGTTTGTTTGTTTTTGAGACAGAGTTTTGCTCTTGGTGCCCAGGCTGGAGTGTAATGGCACAATCTTGGCTCACCGCAATCTCCGCCTCCCAGGTTCAAGCAATTCTCCTGCCTCAGACTCCTGAGTAGTTGGGATTACAGGTGCCCGCCACCATGCCCAGCTTTTTGTATTTTTAGGAGAGACAGGAGTTTCTCCATGTTGGTCAGGCTGGTCTCAAACTCCTGACCTCAGGTGATCCACCTGCCTCGGCCTCCCAAAATGCTGGTTTTACAGGTGTGAGCCACCGCGCCCAGCGGAAGCAAGAGGTTTTTGCAGTAGCACAGGAAGCCCTGAGGCAACCTGTGCCAGTATCAACTTCAGAAAACATTTAGTAAAGGGGGAAAAAAATTGAATGTAGTGATGGGCAAGAAATACAAAAGTATCAACATAATTTCAATGAACTGAACAAGTATGACAGTATCTGTGACTGTGAATCCCTGACCACGCCCCCACCCATTCCTGGAGGGCTTGTTAAAACATAGGTTACCGGTGCCCTACCCCTAGAGTTACTGATTCTGTAAATTCGCGAGTGGGGCCCAAGAATTTGCACTTCTAACAAGTATCTGGTGACCCATAGCAGGTGCTCAAGAAGCAAGAAGTTTCTTGCTGCTTTTTATTTTTATTTTTTTGAGATAGGGTCTCACTCTGTCACTCAGGCTGAGATGCAGTGGTGTGATCATGGCTCACTGAAGCCTCGACTTCCTGGGCTCAAGAGATTCTCCCACTTTAGCCTCCCAAGTAGCTGGGGCCATAGGCACATGCCACCACATCCAGCTATTTTTTTTTTTTTAAATTTCTGGTAGAGTCAGCGTCTCACTATGCTGCCCAGGCTGGTCTCAAACTCCTGGGCTCAGGAGATCCTCCTGCCTTGGCCTCCCAAAGTGTTGGAATTACAGGTGTGAGTCACCATGTGCAGCCAGTTTCTTCTTGATGCTGTATCCAGGTGATGCTGATGCTGCTGGTCTGGGACCACACTTTCAGAACCACTGCCTTACAGTGGTTATTTTGCTAAGGCCTCAAAGACATCATTGTTAAACCAGCAGGGGGAGACAATATACAACAGAGCCTCTAAAAATAAAATGTCTTAGGGTACTAAAACTCCTTTGGAGTTATGGTGTTGCCATGGAGACCTCTGAACTGTTTTGGAGAGCAGTGTGTAAATTGACATGAGGTGAAATAAATTTCAGGAGTTTATGTAAAAAATTAATTTGGTAGAAATAATGTCTAGATTCTTGCATGCCATGGTGTCTTGGTTAAGAACTTGGAATGTGGAGTCAGCTCTGCCACTTACAAGCTATGTGGCTCTGGGAAAATTACTTATGTCTTTGATCTTTTCTTCGCTTTAAAAAGTAACCTGTGGTATAGAATTGGAGGGGTAAAGTTCTTGGAATGCTGAGATTATTAAATTATTATTCGTTATTAAAACTCTAGTTACTTAGCACTTACAGCTCTTTAGCTTAGAAATAGTCTAAATACGTTGCTATATTTGCTTTTTTAATAACCAGCGCTCCCGTTATTCAGGTAAAGAATTAAAAACATCTAAAAGGTAATTGCTTTGTAAATCCTAACCTCTTTCATTCAAAATACCTAAGGTAGATGGCTCTTTATAAACGTGCCCGGCTCAGAGAGCTCTCATCTATATTATATCTCCGAATCCAAATTTCACTGATGCCCAGTCTAAGAGTGTTTCCTGGGCTTTGAGCTTTGAGATAGAACGAAGCAGGTGGATCCTGGCTTTGACTAGGCAGGGCCAGACCAGGCCCGACCCAGCCAGCCCATCCGTAGAGTCAGCATCAGCCGGGCGTGAAGATTGGTGTCGGCTCCTGCGTTCCGCCAAGTTCAGGAACCTGGCATGGGCCGGCCGCCTCCCGCGAAGGGACACACCTGTTGGTCACCGCGCTCTTACTGGCCAGACCCGGATATTGGCCTTCTGGCGTCAGCGGCAGGGGCATGTCCCTGGCCGGAGAGCACAGGCCAGAGTGGGGTGACGTCATCGAAGGCACGTCCCAGCCTTGCAGAGCGGTGGGCGGGGCCTGCGAAGAAGGTGTGCCGGGGGCTGGTTGGAGGCGCGGGCGGCGGGGCCAATGTGGCGGTGACGTCACGGGGCGGGCGGACGCTGGCGCGGGTAGGTAAGAGCAGCGGCGGGCGGTGGCGCTCACTCCCGGCTTCCAACCGCGCGGAGCCTCTGCCTTGGAGATTCTCAGTGCTGCGGATCATGTCCCTAAGGGGCAGCCTCTCGCGTCTCCTCCAGACGCGAGTGCATTCCATCCTGAAGAAATCCGTCCACTCCGTGGCTGTGATAGGAGCCCCGTTCTCACAAGGGCAGGTGAGAACTGGCACCTGGAACCGCCGGGCAGGATCCTCCGCCCCCTAGAACCTGGAGACAGCGGCGGTAGGGTGCGGGGGACCGGGAGGCGAGGAGAGGATGGGGAGAAATGGCGAGGGGAAGAGCTGGCCGGTTCCCGCTACTGGGCACCGTGGGAGCATGTGGGATATCCTCCGACAGAGAATGGAGAGGGAGGGAGGGAGGGGTGGAGGGCACCCTGTTTGGGATGAGGGTGTGTTTCTGCGGCCTCCCCAGAAAGACCGAGAAAACGGTGGATGCAGCTTGGGGTAATGGAGGGGAGAGAATGAGGAAGAGGATTCCTTGGAGGGGCTGGAGGAGGCGAAACTGGTCAGAATCCCCAGTGGAGAATCGATGGAGGAGGTTAAAAGGAGCGACCGAGGATTTAAGTCTTCTGGATCCATTCACTCAGAATGAGCATTAACTGGGAGGGAAATTGGAGCTGGCCTCTCCAGCGCGGGAGGTGGGGAGGAGCTGTTTTGTTCTCTTCAATGAAGGAAACCTGCAGTCGGGAGCGCTCAGTCATCTCGAAGCCCAGAAGCCCAGTCTCTGGCCCGAGCCAGCCCCACACACGCCTAGCTCCTGGATCCTAACCTGGCTCAGCCTCTCCCGTCTTGGCTTGGGCAGCTGATGTGATTCCAACAATGGAGTTGGAAGGACAGTCATTGATGGAAGGGCTGATGCTGTCACAGGTTTTCAGAGGAACCTGCTGGGAACTAAATGTACCAAATGGGTTTTTTTCCGACACCTTCTCTACCTCTAATTGTGTAATTTGTGTGACTGACAGAAAAGAAAAGGAGTGGAGCATGGTCCCGCTGCCATAAGAGAAGCTGGCTTGATGAAAAGGCTCTCCAGTTTGGGTAAGTGGTTAGATTTTTAGATATTAGTGCAGGACTAGTAATAGACCACTTCAGAGTCTTTTCTCTGACATCCAGGGACTACACAGCTTTGTGTTTGGGAACAGTCTGCCACATCCCGCATCCTCCTTTGGATTCCGTCTGCGGCTTAAGATCAAGGAGTCATCAGGGAAAGTCTTCTTGCAATAAAGAGTGTGTTGGAAGGCAAGGAGGTAGAGTGAGGCAAGGTCTGAACAGCTGTCAGGGAATGCAAGTGATGCTAAGAACACTAGCTCCAGCTTCAACTGCACAGTCAACCTTTCCCCTTAAAATTCCATTTTCCTAACTCCATCTTGAGATGCTTATGATTTATCAGTCTCGCCAGTTTTCTGTCTTCAAATTATTTCCTCTCTAGGGTTAATATCTTTATTACTGGAAGCAGTAATATAGGTCTTATAGGCTCACTGATCTTATATAGAACTAATAGGCTTAGATCTATATTTTCCGTGTTCTTTTTTTTTTTCTTTTTTTGAGATGGAGTCTTATTCCATCACCCAGGCTGGAGTGCAGTGATGCAATATTGGCTCATTGCAACCTCCACCTTCTGGGTTCAAGCAATTCTCCTCCCAAGTAGCTGGAATTACAGGTGCGTGCCACCACACCTGGCTAATTTTGTATTTTTAGTAGACACGGGGTTTCACCATGTTGGTCAGGCTGGTCTTGAACTCCTGACCTCAGGTGATCCGCCCACCTCAGCTTCCCAAAGTGCTGAGATTATAGGTGTGAGCCACTGTGCCCAGCTATAAATGCCATTTCCATAGTAAGGGAGAACCCTTCTCTTAGTAACAGCACCAAATTTGAATACCTTTATAAGCAGGGTGCGGTGGCTCATGCCTGTAATCCCAGCACTTTGGGAGGCCAAGGTGGGTGGATCACCTGAGGTCAGGAGTTCGAGACCAGCCTGACCAATATGGCGAAATCCCTTCTCTACTAAAAATACAAAAATTAGTCAGGCATAGTGGCATGCACCTGTAGTCCCAGCTACTCAGGAGCCTGAGACAGAAGAATTGCTTGAACCTGGGAGGCAAAGGTTGCAGTGATTGTGCCACTGCACTCCAGCCTGGGTGACAGAATGAGACTCCATCTCAAATAAATAAATAAATACCTTTATGGCAGGAAGGTTCTTCTTTATATCCAATCTAAATGTTTCTAGACTCTGTTCAAGGCCATTTGCTCTGTTCATGTTTGGATCATTCACATATCTTTTCTGGTGACATAAGTGCAAAATGTGAGGCAGCACGGAGATTATGGAGATAATAACACATAATCTAAGTTAACTCCCCACTGTTGCTCTGAACTCTTCTCTGCTGGTCATAAGTCCATTCCAAGTGAAGTCATCTCCTTCCAAAAGCCAGAGGAATAATGAAGTCACTGAAACAGCCTTGAGTTGAGGTGTCCTTCATATACCTCCACCTACATATGGATATGGTGACATGGATTCAATATTCGAACCTTGTTTATTAAATAATTGCAGTTTCTTCTTTACTAAGGCCTCTCTTAGTCATTTTAATAACTCTCCAAGTTCACCACTGAAGATTAAAGACAAACTGCTAAGATTTAGTCTTCTTTTAATGTGTGGCAAGTTAACTAATGGGAGGAAGTTTTTATTCCCGCCCATAAATGAGCATACTGTCTCTTAAAATAGCTTGTACACACTGCCTTTTTAAAAGAATCATTTTACACTGAAGACGACAATCTCTGGTTATCACTGTTTTTAAATCCTGGAGACATCTCTGCAGTCCATCTGAACTCGGCCAAGCATTGCTCAAATTGCTCTACCGTCTGTAGGTTCTGCCTTAAGAGATTCCTGACAAGAAGCGGTTTCAGCCTCTTCTGGAGGAGACCTCTATAACAATCAGCTGAGGCTGCTGAATGAGGGGGAAGGGCACATTTGTAGCAGCTTCTCTTACTCATGCTTTGTAGACTTCCTTTCCTGTCACAGCTCTTGGTATTTTTCCACTCCAACCCAGGGGAAGCCATTCTCCTGTAAATATTACTCCCTCTTTAAACTCCAACCTAAAGTGATGGTGAGGCTTCAGTTTATATGGCCTTCCCTTTGACTTTTTTTCTCAAATATATTTAATTGTACAATTATATCCTTACTGTGTAGCTGACTGGTAGCTCAGTATCACCAGCAGTCTGAAATAGAATCTCATAGCCTATTAAATAAAACTGTGGCTCTCAGCAGATTTCTAGCATGTGGTTTTGGCTAATCTCCTGGAATATATTGGAGAAAAGTACCAAGAGACATTTCAGTTGCTCTGTTCCTAAACAGTACCAAAATAACTTGAGTGTTTTGAACACTTTCAAATAAACAGCATGGATCAAATTTCAAAGGAGAGACTCATGGAAAGGTAACTTTCACAATCCCTTTGTTCCTTGCCTTTGCTCTGATGTCACAGGCTGCCGGTGTTACCATAGCATGAGTTAAATTTCCTGTTTTCTCTCGAATGAATGTATTTGACTTAGTGTCTGGGCTTGTTTTATTTCCTTGGGCTTAGTAAGGACACTCAACAGTACTCTCAGGTAACCTTTTTTTTTTTTTTTTTTTTTTTTTTGAGACGGAGTCTCGCTCTGTCACCAGGCTGGAGTACAGTGATGCGATCTTGGCTCACTGCAACCTCCGCCTCCCGGGTTCAAGCAATTCTCCTGCCTCAACCTCCAAAGTAGCTGGGATTACAGGTGCCTGCCACTGCGCCTGACTAATTTTTGTATTTTTAGTAGAGATGGGGTTTCACCATGTTGGCCAGGCTGATCTCGAACTCCTGACCTCAGGTGATCTGCCCATCTAGGCCTCCCAAAGTGCTGGGATTACAAGAGTGAGCCACTGCTCCCAGCCACCTTTTATTTTTCTTTGAGAGAGGGTCTCACTCTGTCACTCAGGCTGGAGTGCAGTGGCATAGTCACAGCCTACTGCAATCTCAACCTCCTGGACTCAAGCGATCCTCCCACTTTAGCCTCTTGAGTAGCTGGGACTACAGACACATGCCAGTATGCCTGGATAATTTTTTTTTCTTTTGTAGAGCCGGGGTCTCACTATGTTGCCCAGGCTGGTCCCGAACTCCTGGGCTTAAGAGGGCCTAAGAGAAATGAAAAGGCATTGCTCTGGCAAGGCTGAGGAGCAGTATATCTGCACTCGATTTTGGTTAGCTCTGAGAACCATGGTAATTTGTGAATTCTAGCCACCTGTTACCATGTGAGAAGGAGTGGGCCTTGTACTCTTTTCTCCAGTTTTTCAAGAAAAGCCAGAAATTTGCACTTTAATGGGAAATCTGTGTTGTTTTAAAATACTGTATAGTGACACCATTGAAAATGGTGGCATAGGACCTCCAAAAAAGGAATGAGAACTGTATTAGTCTGTTCTTGTACTTTTGTAAAGACATACCTGAGACTGGGTAATTTAAAAAGAAAAGAGGTTTAATTGACTCATGGTTCTGCAGGACATACAGGCTTCTGCTTCTGGGGAGGCCCCAGGAGAATTATAATCATGGCGGAAGGTGAAGGGGAAGCAAGCACGTCTTATATGGCAGGAGCAGGAGGAAGACAGCGAAGAGGGAGGTGATACACACTTTTAACCGGATCTCATGAGAACTCTATCATGAGACAGCACTAGGGAGATGGTGCTGAACCATTAGGAACAACCCCCATGATCCAATCACCTCCCACCAGGCCAGACCTCCAACATTGGGGATTAAAATTCAACATGAGATTTGGATGGGAACACAGAGCCAAACCATATCAAGAACATTGGCAAAAATGATCAGAATCAGCTTTTTCAGAACTCTGGAAATTAACCAAAGGCTTGCAGCAATCTGGGGAGCATTTATTCAAGAAAAACATTGAATCTCAGTAAGAACATTAAGAATTGTGGCATTTTAACTTGCCCTGTTCCCATGCTGCCTTTTCCCAGATCAGCTGTAGCCTGGACAACCGATAGCCTGCAATCACAGTGAAACCAGGAGGCTGGCAGTTACTGCAAAAGGGAGAACAGAGGTGATACTCCTCATAGACCATCCCCAGAAAATTGTCATTTGACTGGTCTGATGGTTTCCTAAAATTGTCCATTCACAAGGCTGTCTTTATTTGACCAACACAAGTCAGTAAGGAAAGAATAGTCTTCAGTAAATGGTGCTGGGATAACTGGATATCCACATTAAAAAAAAAAAAATCCCTATCTCACACCATATATGAAAATTAACTCAAAATGGACCAAAGTCCTAAATGTAATGCTGAAACCATATAACTGTTAGAGAACATAGGACTGGATTTTTGCGACCTTGGGTTAGGTATTGGTTTCTTAGCTATCCCATCAAAATCATAAGTGACAAAAATTAAACTTGACTTAGCTAAATTAAATACATCTATGTTTCAAAGAGCACTATTAAGAAAGTGGGGGCCAGGCACGGTGGCTCACGCCTGTAATCCCAGCACTTTGGGAGGCTGAGGCAGGCGGATCACCTGAGGTCAGGAGTTCGAGACCAGCCTCAACATGGAGAAACCCCATCTCTACTAAAAATACAAAAAAAAATTAGCCGGGCATGGTGGTGCATGCCTGTAATCCCAACTACTCGGGAGGCTGAGGCAGGAGAATTGCTTGAACCTGGGAGGCGGAGGTTGTGATGAGCCGAGATTGTGCCATTGCAGTCCAGCCTGGGCAACGAGAGCAAAACTCCATCTCAAAAAAAAAAAAAAAAAAAAGAAACTGGAAAGACTTCATCAATGTAATGAAAAACCAAAAAAAAAAAAGAGAAAAGGTAAAAAGACTGCCCATAGAATTGGCAAAATATTTGCAAATCATATACCTGATAAGATTCTAGTGTTCGGCAAACATAAATAAAATAACAACCGTAAAAAGACAACCAAATTTAAAAATTAGCAATAGATTTAATTAGCCACTTCTCCAAAGAAGTTATACAAATGGGCAGTAAACACATTAGTCATTACGGAAATGCAAATTTAAAACTACAATGGCCGGGTGTGGCGGCTTACACCTGTAATCCCAGTACTTTGGGAGGCTGAGGCGGGCAGATCATTTCAGGTCAGGAGTTCAAACCAGCCTGATCAACATGGTGAAACTCCGTCTCTACTAAAAAATACAAAAATTAGCCGGATGTGGTGGCACACTCCTGTAGTCCCAGCTACTCAGGAGGCTGAGGTGGGAGAATCACTTGAACCTAGGAGGTGGAGGTTGCAGTGAGCAGAGATTGTACCACTGCACTCCAGCCTGGGCAACAGAGTGAGACTCTGTCTCAGGGGAAAAAAAAAACCACAAAACTACAATGAAATACCATTTCACACCCACTAGGATGGCTATGATAAAAAAGATAGACAATACCAAGTATTGGTGAGGGTGTAAAAAGATTCGACCTGTCATACACTACTGGTGTGAATGTAAAACTGCAGCCACTTTGGAAAACAGTTTGGCAGATCCTCAAAGTTAAATGTATAGTTACTGTGTCCTCAAGCAAATCCATTCCTATGTATATACCTAACAGAATTCAAAACATATATTCACACAAACTTTTTTTTTTAGACAGTCTCGCTCTTTCACCCAGGCTGGAGTGCAGTGGTGCAATCTCGGCCTCAGCCTTCTGAGTACCTGGGACCACAGGCAAGCACCACCATGCCCAGCTAACTTTTGTATTTTTAATTTTGCCATGTTGGCCAGGTTGGTCTCGAACTCCTAGCCTCAAGTGATCCACCTGCCTCAGCCTCCCAAAGTGCTAGGATTATAGGCATGAGCCATTGCACCTGGCCACACACAAACTTATATACAAATATTCATAGCATTATTCATAATGGTCAACATGTGGAAACTCAAATGTACATTAATTGAATAGGGGAGGAAAATTTGACATATCCATATAATGGAGTATTATTCAGTCATAAATGGAATGAAGTACTAATTTATGCTACAACATGGATGAACCTAGAAAACATGCTAAGTCAAAGAAGGCAGACACAGAAGGCCACATGTTATATGATTCCATTTATATGAACTGTCTAGAACAGGCAAAGCCATAAAGACAGAAAGGAGATTAGTGGTTCCCAGGAGCTGGGAATGACTGCTAAAGGGCATGGGTTTCTTTCCGAAGGGTGATGGGACTGTTGTAGAATTAGGTAGTGTCGATGGCTGCACAACTTCTTGAATATATTAGAAAGCACTGAATTATAAATTCTAAAAGGATGAATTTTATGGTATGTGAATTATATCTCAATAATTAAAAAACTAGGCAATTGTGATCAGTAAGGAGATATATATATATATATATATATATATCTGAAACTTCTGAATTGCTAATATTGATCTGTTTTGTGACTTGGGTAGTAATTATAGGGTGTTTACAACTATCTGTTATACTTATGTAAGTTTTATGTGTTTATATTTTATGAAATATACAGTAAAGACACATTACAAATCATGTCTGTTGATAGATATCCATCTTTTCAAGCTCTAGTTTTGGGCATTGAAAAGAGATGAAACTGGCATCTCTGAGGTGCCTTTTGAACAGTGTCATATCTTTGGGACAAGAATTGGTTGCTAGGTTGACTCAACAGCAAATATCAGTGATGTTTCTGAAGAGACTGTAAGGCTGTATGATCCACCAAACCTTCTGCCTCTGCCATTCACACTCTTCTATTAAACACTTAGCAAGGCATAGTGGCTCATGCCTGTCAGCCCAGCACTTAGGGAGGCCAAGGTGGGAAGATTGCTTGAGGCCAGGAGTTTAAGATCAGCCTGGACAATGTAGCAAGACCCCATCTCTACATTTTTTAAGAGTCTATTTCCACAGCAAGGAAGAAATGAAAGTACAGCACCTGTCCCATTTCCCACAAAAAAGTCTTTGCCTAGGGTCTGCATATGTGACTGGAAGCTAAATTATTGGAATGAGCTTGTTTGTTTAAGGTTATTAAAGTTCTGGGTTCTTTGACTTCTAAAGTCACTCTGATATGTATTTGGAAGAGTAAATGTCTAGCAAATTGGCTTTATATTTCCTTTAGAGATCTAGCAAAGACCAAACCTGCTTTGGACCTCATCTGTGCCACAGTGCCCTTGGGGGATGGGCCACCTGTAGCAGAGGAATAGGAGCTGAGGCATGAGCTGATAAGTGGCATCACTTTAGGGCCCTCTCCAATCTCACCTGGAATGTCACTAATAGTGACCTATTTCTTTGGGTTCAAGCTTTTCATTTTCTGGGCCTCCTTTATATTGCAGATTCTTTTATTTTATAGATAGGTCTCACTATGTTGCCCAGGCTGGAGTGTGGGGGCTATTCACAGACATAATCATAGTACACTACTGCCTCAAACTTCTGGGCTCAAGCAAGCCTCCTGCCTCAGCCTTCAGGATAGCTGGGATTACAGATGTGCACCACTGTGCTCGGCTGCAGATTCCTTTTAGGAGGTGAATACATAATCAGTAATTTGCTAATGCCTTAGTAAAAACTTAGTGATGTGCCTGCATAGAGGGAAATCTATAATAGACACTATTGGGATTTGGCAAATTTCAATGTAGCCGTATATTTCCCATTTATGACAGCAAAGATTTTAACTTAATACCTCTTATTTAACTTAATACCTCTTATCAAAAGTTTTTTGATACTTAACATTTACCATCTTCTAGACACTGTGCTAGGCATTTGCTATTATCCCATTTTCATAATTTGTAAAAAGCAAATTTTGACCACCTCAGCCATTAGGATGGCTACTATCAAAACAGAAAATAAGAAGTGTTGATGAAGATGTGGAGAAATTGAAACTCTTTTACACTGTTGGTAGGAACATAAAATGGAGCTGCTATGGAAAACGGTATGGCAACTCCTCTAAAAATTAAAAATAGAATTACTATATGATTTAGCAATTCCACTTCTGGGTATGTACCCAAAAGGACTGAAAGCAGGATCTTGAAGTAGTTGTGTACCCATGTTCACAGCAGTATTAACAATAGCCAAAAGGTGGAAGCAACCCAAGTGTCCATTGATGGATGAATGGACAACCAAAATGTGGTACATACATATAATGGACTATCATTCATTCTTCAAAAAGCAGGGCTGGGTGGGGTGGCTCATGCCTGTAATCCCAGCACTTTGGGAGGCTGAAGCAGGAGGATTGCTTGAGTCCAGGAGTTTGAGACCAGCCTGGGCAACTTAGCGAGTCCCAATCTCCACAGTGGGGGGAAAAAAATTAGCCAGGTGTGGTGGTGCATGCACATAGTCCTAGCTATTCAGGAGGCTGAGGCAGGAGTATTGCTTGAGCCCAGGAGGTTGAGGCTGCAGTGAGCTATGATCATACCACTGCATTCCAGTCTGGCAGCATGGACAACAGAATAAAGCCTCATCTGTTTAAGAAACAAAACAAAGAAACCTGACATATGCTGCAATATGGGTGAACTTTGAGGACATTATGCTAAGTGAAATAAGCCAGTGACAAAAGGACAAATACAGCATGATTCCATTTATATGAAGTTTTTAGAGAAGTCCAATTTATAAAAACAAAGTGGAATATCAGTTACTAGGACTTGGTGGGAGAAGGAAATGGGGAGTTAATTATTGCTTAATGGGTACAGAGTTTGTTTTGCAAGATGAGTTCTGGAGATGGATGATGGTAGTGATGGTAGTGTCCAATCAACTTCTCAGTCTTCTCGGCTCTTACTACAAAGGAAGAAACTGTACTACCCAGATTTCTTTTTTAATAGAAATGTTATTTATAGTTAATAACGAATGCACTGCATAAAAACTTTATAGTTTCATTATTGTGAAATGTGTTCAAGATCCTACAGTAAAAGTGAAACATTCCCAAGGACTTGCGTTAGTGAAGACTACACAGAAAACCTTTCTAAGGATTTGTGTGGATCCGATAGATACTTGGCAAATTTTTGAGTTGTACATTCTTACAGAAAGTCCACTTAAAAGTGATCATTTGTAAGACAAAAATATAAATAGTTTCAAAAATCTTTAAAAAATCATCCTAAATGCATGATCTTCACCTCCAGCTTCTGAAGAGCCCTCGTTCTCAGTGTCTTCCTTCCCACATTTCCCACCACAGCCATCTCATGATCCTCAAGCTCATGCTTTTCCAGTTCGGGTAGGGACTCTCTCAACTTTCTCCCTGTCATCCCCCACATCAGTTGTATTGACAAAGAACGTCAGAGGATGAAGGTCTAGTTCTGTATTAGGTTTGTGCAAAAGTAATTGCGGTTTTTGCTGTTGAAATGGGTATCATAGATAACAGTGCCCATGGTAAGGGTTCAAAATTAACAGTGGAAAGAAAAATAGTTCATTTCACTCTCAAGTAAACAATTTGGAAAGTAGTCCAGAGCTGGTTTAGTGGTTCTCTTCCTTTAAGTTCAGACCTAGATTCTTATCTGGTGCTACTGGCAAGGCCTCTGCCTAATGGTGCCAGATGGTTGTAGCCTCAGCAGCAGGATGGAAGAATGAACAAAGAAAGGGGCAAAGGCAGTTCTCTTCCCTTCCCAAGAAGTTGCTGCGGGACACGGTTCTGCTTATCCTATTGTCCAGAACTAGTTCATGTGACCACATCCAGTTACAAGCGAGGTTAGTAAATATAGTTTTTATGTTTATTTATTTATTTATTTTAGATGGAGTCTCGCTCTGTCGCCCAGGCTGGAGTGCAGTGGCGCGATCTTGGCTCACTGCAACCTCCGCCTCCCAGGTTCAAGCAATTCTCTGCCTCAGCCTCCATAGTAGCTGGGATTACAGGCAGCTGCCACTGTGCCCAGCTAATTTTTTGTATTTTTAGTAGAGATGGAGTTTCACCATCTTGGCCAGGCTGGTCTGGTCTGGAACTCCTGACCTTGTGATCCACCTGCCTTGGCCTCCCAAAGTGCTGGGATTACAGGTGTGAGCCACCGTGCCCCGCCCATGTAGCATGTAGAATGTAGTCTTTTCTAAGAGGTTAATGCTCCCAGCTAAAAACCTTTTCTTTCCGGAAAAAGGGAAGAATGAATGTTGGGTAACTAACACTCGGCAGTGCCCTCTCCCTATGCTCTAGACCCCCTCCCCTCTGACAGTCCCTGCTCCAGCATTATCCCTCCCCTCACCTCGTGTCATGGCTCTTCTCTCCTAACCTGTCCTTTCGGTAATTAATTGTGCAACCCTTACCCTCCACCATCCCCCTTGACCTTAGGTAGCCCTCTAGCTGTTGTCCAGTTATTTTGTTTTTCTTCAGAGCCAACTTCCTGGCTTTCTCATTGCCCTTTCACATTTCAGCTTGTTATAATGTGGCTTCGTAGGCCATCATTGCAATAAACCTAGTATTGCTGCAGTATCTGACCTACTTTCTAATACAATGAACAGATGAACAGTGTAACATTCACCTTATTTACACCACTAATCTTTCTTTATTGAAACCAACACTATTCTCTCTTGGCTTCAACTCTTCAAATTCCTCTAGTAAATCCTTTCTTTCTTTCTTTTTTTTTTTTTTTTTTTGAGACAGGGTCTCACTCTGTCATCCAGGCTGGAGTACAGTGGTACGATCTCAGCTCACTACAGCCTCCACCTCCCAGGTTCAAACGATCCTCCTACTTTAGCCTCCCAAGTAGCTGGAACTACAGGGACATGCCACCACACCAGTTAACTTATTTATTTTTAGATACAGGGTCTCACTATGTTGCCCAGGCTGGTGTTTAACTCCTGGCCTCATGTGATCCTCCTGCCTTGGCCTTCCAAAGTGTTGGGATTACAGGTGTGAGCCACTGCATCTGGCCTACATCCTCTTTTTCTAGCTACTTCTTACATGTCAGTGTTCTCAGGATTCTGTCCTTGATTCTCCTGCTTTATCCTGTCTTGGTTGGCAGTCTGCTTCCATGGCTTTACTGTCACCTGTATGCTGATGCCACCCAAAGCTCTATTTTTTTAAAAATTTTTTGAGACAGGGTCTTGCTCTGTCACCCAGGCCAGAGTGCAGTGGTGTAATCTTGGCTCACTACAACCTCTACCTCATGGGCTCAAGTGATTCTTCCACCTCAGTGTCCCAAGTAGCTTGGACCACAGGCTTGTGCCACCATGCCTAGCTAATTTTGTTTATTTTTTTCTTTTTGTTTTAGAGATGAGGTCTCACTATGCTGCCCCAGGTTGGTCTCAAACTCCTAGACTCAAGCAATTTTCCCACCTCAGCCTCTCAAAGTGTTGGGATTACAGGCATGAGCCACTATGCCCAGCAAAAACTTTATCTCTAATACTTATTTTTCCTCCTAACTGCAAACCTGTATACAGATGTCTTCCATGTATCTTATCTTTTTAACTTTTTGTTATGGAAGTATTCAAACATAATGAAAGTAGAGATGGTAACATAACTGACTTGATATATCCATAAGCCAGCATCATCACCAATACGTGGCAATGTTTTTTACACCACCTCCAGACCATTTTGGAGTAAATCAGACATCTTGTTTCATGGACTGGACAGCACCTTTGATCACACACAGTGTATCCTAACTTTATTATGGCCACCCAGAGGGGAAACAGACTTCTCATATCTTAACACAGGAGGTGGTTTTGCAAATTGGAGCAAGGTGCCCACCATTTGTACCCAGGGGAGTTAGGCTCTTACCCTTCTGTAGGAACTGAGAGGTTGAGGCACTATCTCCCTAAATGTTTGCATCTCCAGGAGATGGCTTCCTGGGTCCTTGAAGAAGCATTCCTGGGTTGTGAGACTTGTGAGAGGCCTATTTAGTCATTATGAAGATTCACATAAATTTGAAAAGCACACAAATATTATGAAATAGAAGGAAGGAAGGGAGGTCTCTTTCTTTATTTTCAACAGGGAGAATTAAGCCTCTTAATTTTTTTTTTTTTTTTTTTTTTTTTTTTTTGAGGCAGAGTCTCGCTCTATCGCTCAGGCTGGAGTGCAGTGGCGTGATCTCGGCTCACTGCAAGCTCCGCCTCCCGGGTTCACACCATTCTCCTGCCTCAGCCTCCTGAGTAGCTGGGACTACAGGCGCCCGCCACCACGCCCGGCTAATTTTTCGTATTTTTAGTAGAGACAGTGTTTCACCATGTTAGCCAGGATGGTCTCGATCTCCTGACCTCGTGATCCGCCCGCCTCGGCCTCCGAAAGTGCTGGGATTACAGGCGTGAGCCACTGCGCCCGGCCAAGCCTCTTAATTTTTAATTAGTATTGTTCACATTGCCTGATTAAGTTACACTTTTTAGGTTTATTTTGTTGTTTTTTGTTTTTAAGTTTGAGTTGAATTCAAATGAGGTCCACATTGCTTTATACTTTAAGACCTTTGTAGGTTCTCTCTTTTTTTTTCTTCTTTGCAGTTTATTTATAGAAGAATCTAGGTCATTTGTCTGCAGAATTTCTCTGTTTAGATCCCTGTGGTGTCCTATGACATATTCTATGGCGATGTATACTTCATCAGAGGTGACATTTCAGCGATACTGTCAGCCATTGACGATTGCCTAGAATTATCCATTAACTTGTCTCCATGTGCTTTCAACAGGATAGTCTCTAACACATCAATGTCAACATATCCCAAACTGACCTTATCATCTTCTCCCTCCCTTCCCATGCCCCTCTATTGCTGGACACTCTGTTCCCTCTCATTTATTTCTTTAGCTTCCTGTGGCACTCTGCTTCTCCAGACCATTTTCTACACTGCTGTCTGAGCACTAGATCCAAAATGCAGATTTGATTTGTCTTCCTGGCTTAGAAACCACGGTTGTTCCCCACCACATTTAGGACCTGGGCCTTGCCCCGGCTCCTGCCGCATCTCTTTGCAGTCCTCTAGGTGCACTCTGGGTTCGGAGGAATTGTGCATTGTTCTATAGGGCTGAAGGCATTCTCTCCTCCTCAGTAAGCATTTCTTCCTCCTCTCTTATTCCTGGCTAATGTCTTCCAGACTCAGATATTGCTGCTTCTGAGAAGTTCTCCTGACCCTTCTCTTCCTGGGTCTCTGTTCCCGCCACACCCTTTGTACATCTGGTTCATAGCAATTAGCACTGGGCTGGGCTGCCACTTTCTCTGCCTGACATCCTACCAGCCTGTGACCTCCTTGAAGTCTGCACCATACCTTATTTCTGCATTCCTAGGATTTAGTGGAGTGCTAGGCACAGAGTATACTTTTGTTGAAGGAAAAAAGGAAGCAAAGCATCTTAGCTTTCTCCTGTAACTTCATTCACATCACAACCCTTGATGAGTTTTCCCAAACCAGTATTTTGTTTCTCTGAAAATGATCTGCTACTTAGAAGCCACCTGGTCTCCCAGATTTTTAAAACGTATGACTCAAAGGATAACTGCCATATATCAAACTTTAACTCTTGCAAGCTAAATGTTAGTAGGGGCTGGGTGCGATGGCTCACACCTGTAACCCCAGCACTTTGGGAGGCCAAGGTGGATGGATCACTTAAGCCCAGGAGTTCAAGACCAGCCTGGGTAGCATGGCAAAACTCTATCTCTACCAAAAAAAAAAAAAAAAAAAATTTAGCTAGGTGTGGCTTCTGTAGTCCCAGCTACTTGGGAGGCTGAGGTAGGAAGATGGCTTGAGCCTGGGAGATGGAGGCTGCAGTGAGCTGAGATCACACCACTGCACTCCATCTTGGGCAACAGAACCAGACCGTGTCTCCAAAAAAAAAAAAAAAAGCTAGTAGGTAGTAATGATGATGAGTTATTGCTCCCTTTTTTGAAATACATTTTTAAACCAGGACATCAGTAGATAATGACTGCTTTCTTCAAGTAAGGCTGACCTCTAATTACTTTAGACAGATGGTGCATTGTTATTTTAATATCCAAAATAGTACAATTCAGAGGCAGAACCTAAGAGATTACAGTGGTTGGCTTAAATAATTTAACCTTTGAATAAATTTACTTATCCCTCTCTATTAATGACCAAACCTTGGAGGAAGGAGATGTTACAAGGGCTGGTTGGAGCTGTCTCCTCTGAAACTCTGAAGAAATGAACTGGGACAGATATCTCAAGACACATGGTTCTTTGGCTGGGCGCACGGTGGCTCACGCCTGTAATCCAGCACTTTGGGAGGCTGAAGAGGGTGGATCGCCTGAGGCCAGGGGTTTGAGACCAGCCTCGGTAAAATGGCGAAATCTTGTCTCTACAAAAAAATATAAATTAGCCAGGTATGGTGGCGCATGCCTGTAGTCCCAGCTACTCTGGAGGCTGATATGTGAGAATTGCTTGAGCCTGAGAGGTTGAGGCTGCAGTGAGCCATGTTTGTGCCACTGCACTCCAGCCTGAGTGACAGAGTAAGACCATCTCAAAAAAAAGAGAAAAGGTTCTTAAGGTTGTACAGTCTTTGGGAGTTAAATGCACCAAATAAAATTCAGATCTCTGCATTTTATTGGTAGTAACCAAATGAGTTTACCTAAATAACAGTCTCTTCAAAGGTTATTACCCAAATTACATTTTATGGATAAGAGAAATTCTACTTACTTCAAATGGCCTGAATTAACCCTGGCATCCCCCATTCCCCACCCTCCAGTTTAGACTTCTAGTAACATTGCAACTTTATTTTTAATAAGCTAGTATTTCAAGTACAAGCTTGTTCTAAGAATTAGCAGTCACATCCCTTTAAAATTCCAGGAATTCGGCCGGGCACGGCGGCTCACACCTGTATTCCTAGCACTTTGGGAGGCCAAGGTGGGTGGATCACCTGAGGTCAGGAGTTCCAGACCAGTCTGGCCAACATGGTGAAACCTGTCTCTACTGAAAATGCAAAAATTAGCCGGGCGTGGTGGCAGGCACCTGTAATACCAGCTACTCGGGAAGCTGAGGCAGGAGAATTGCTTGATCCGGTGGGTGGAGGTTGCAGTGAGCCAAGATCACGCCACTTCACTCCAGCGTGGGTGAAAGAGCAAAACTTCATCTAAAAAAAATTTTTTTTAAATTTTAAATTAATTTCCAAGAATTCCTTTTGCATGGGGCTAAATCTGCCATGTAAAATATTTGAGTCTGTAACTTTAAAAGCCATTAGTACCCTCTCAGCACCAAGTGAGGATGCAGAGTCTTTGTTTTTCTCCTGATTTCACTGACTTGTTATTCCTGACAAGTCACAAACATTTCTATCCTATTCATATTTAGAAACAATTTGGAAAAACTGCACACTAAGAGGCCCCTAGCTTTTCTCCATGTCTGTTATTCTACCAATGGGTTGCCTGTGGCTCAGCAGACCCTCCTGTGTGTCAGCCCACTTTGAAACCCATCTCTCTTGACTTGCTATGAGCCCTGGTAGCAACAGGGGTCACAGCAGTAGGGAGAATGGGATAGTCTTATGCTGTCAAAAAAAAAAACCCAAAAAACAAAAAAACAAAACCTTACTCATCATGTAATCATATATGAGCTCTAACCAAAGAGTAATTCAGTTGCTGTTAAACAGTTGGAGCTATTCAGCCTTGCTGAAATTCTTCCTCTGCAATGTGTGGATAGTGACACCAGCAGAGGATGTGAGAATGAGCACGTATCTGTAGAGCGTGTAGCACAGTGTGGTGTGTAGAGGCAGACAATTATTATCCATTTCCTGTCTCTGGCTTCTTTCAGGGATTTACTCACTAGCCCTGAAATAGAAGTGCTGTTCACAGATATTGCTAAGGTCAGGTAAGGCTGTTTTGATTTCTTCCTTACAGCCTGGTTGCATCATTCTGTTGATGCACTTGTGTTCTTGTTCCACTCTGATAGAGCCTGGAGAGGTTTATCAAGGCCAAAGGTAACATCTGGGCCTGAAAGATCAGAGTAGTACTCGGTGTATTTTATTACCAGCACTCAGGAGAGAAGCAACAAGGCTGTGCCAGTGTATAAACAGCAAGTGAAAAATGAGACCCTTTCACATTGTTCCAAATCTATTTGACATGAGAACTTCCTTGAAATTTCAGGCTCCTCTTGTCCTACAATGTCCTCTTAGAAGAAAGAGCAGCAATGAAACACTAGGTCTCATCTGACCTGGACTTACAGATGAATTGACCTGATGCACAGTTAGAGAAAGGGAAAGTTCCCACAGGCATAACAGCCAGACACATATTCCTTACACATTACAATGTCTGCATTTTTCATCATTACCCTAAGCTTCTTGAAAAATTAGTGAGACCGTTTCTTATGACCTATGAACCAGAAGAACTTGCCACAGCACTCTGATAAAGAAATAGCTTTAAGGCTGGGCATGGTGGCTCACACCTGTAATCCTAGCGCTTTGGGAGGCTGAAGTGGGAGGATCACTTGAGGTCAGGAGTTCGAGACCAGCCTGACCAACATGGCGAAACCTCGTCTCTACTAAAACTACAAAAATTAGCTGGGCATGGTGGTGCATGCCTGTAATCCCAGCTACTTGGGGAGGCTGAGGCAGCAGAGCCCCTTGAACCAGGGAGGTGGAGGTTGCAGTGAGCCGAGATCATGCCATTGCACTCCAGCCTGAGCGACAGAGCAAGACTCTGTCTCAAAAAAAAAAAAAAAAAAAAAAAGAACTTTAATATTACTCAGTTCATCCTGCTGTTACAAAAAGTTAACTTCCCATCAGCCTCCTCACTCCTCTTAAAAAAAAACTGTAGCAGATGGGTTACAATTCATGTTTTCTACAACAACATACTAGAACCAGGGTTCAGATAATCCTAGAACTAGGGTTCTGTTCTACCAGTCCTTTGGGTATTGGTAGTACCCAATACTATTGGCACAGTGGGCATTAGAGGAGAAAGCTCTTAAGAGGTGACATCAGGCTGGCATCATGTATTTGTTGATTCAGTTATGTAATTAACTAGAATAGTTTAACATAAATTTGTAATCCTAGAGCAACTTTCATATTTTGTTCTTAAAGGTTATGGCAGTAGAATAAAAAAGTACTCACGGTGGCATACATTGCTAGCTGTCCACCAAAATCCATTCGCATTCTGTTCTGGACATAAGCTAGACCTGCATTTGCTGGCCAGTGCCAAAAGTGAGCAGGAGTAATGTGCCACTTTCAGGCCAGAGTCTTGAAAAGAGGAGGTGTGCTTTCTCAATGCTTTCTTCCTCTCCCGCTGCCTTGAACCTGGGGAGACCTAGACTTAGCCACACAGATGGCAAAGTCCTAGGCATGAGAGCCACAAGCCAGGTCTCTGAATTACTGCATAAAGGAAAGCCTCCTGCTGACCTGGAATATCTACCCTGGATGCTAAACAAACAAGAAATAAACTTGTTTGAGCCATATTTTGGGCTCAAACATATTTTGCTATGACAGTTAATTTACTCTAATAACCTTACTTAAAATAATATTATGTATTATGCCTATAACTAGCCCAGGCATGGTGGCTCACATCTGTAATCCTAGCACTTTAGAAGGCCATGATGGGAGCATTACTTGAGCCCAGGAGTTGGAGACCAGCCTGGAAAACACAGTGAGACCCTGTCTCTACAAATAATCCAAAAAAAAAAGAAAAAAAATGATTAAAGTCTGAAAGGATACAGTAGTAAAACCCGGGCAGTAGGTTTGGGACCTCTGATATACACGTTATCCAATTTTACAGAGAATTTCAAAACAAAACAGTGCAAGTACAAACTATTTGTCATAGGAGTTCTTCTTTGACGCCCCTGATCCTCAGTGAACTTCCCCTGACTCCTTTAGGACTCATTGTCCCAAGTCCTTACCTGGCACTGAAACTGTGCAAATTATAGAGTTGAGTTCGTTCTTCCTGAATATTCTAGGGGGAAAAAAGAAAAAACAGAGTTGGGAGCAGGAAGGTAGGCCACTCAGGCAGGGCCTCTCAAGGTATAAATCCCTTTAGAGGAGGCTGGCCCTTAGCTTTGTGGATGCAGAAACACAAGGTTGCTGAGTGCATAGCTCATCAGGCTTTCAGACCCAGACTCATGCTAACCATGCTGGATCAACCAAAATGCCCGTGCATAATTATGTTAAGCAGTAGTCCTTCCAGTGTCCACTGTCTAGAAGCTTTTGCCCATATTAAGGCATGTGGGAAACCAACTGAATAGCCAGAATGCTGTTTGGTGAGATGGCATCGGAGTAAATGGAGTTGGACAATGTGGACAGAATCCACTACCCAGGTTGGGAATTAATCTGATGAACCCCCGACAGAAGTTAGTAACCCTTCTAGCACCTGTAATGAGAGCAGAGTGGTGGCCTGAATTAGCGACTGAAATCCTTCTATGAAATTCAGTCTCTCTTCCTGGGAACGTTACTGTAAGATTGCCAAATTCTCTTTAGGTTCCTTTTTAGGCTTTGTGCAGCTTTTTTCTAATACAAGTGAGTACTGTTTTCTGTCACGTTTATCTGAGTCTACATCCTGGTTTGCATGATTGGACTTGGGTAGTCCCAAAGTTCTGTGACTTATCCACTGGATTGAGCACTTTAATTTCCCTGTATTTCTTCTTGGTCCTATGAGGATTGAATGAAAGTGCTTGGCAAATAGTTCTGAAACGTTAGTTAATATTATTTAACTCCAGTTTGGGGCCTTTTATATGACTATTCCTTAGAGTGCAATTACCAAAATATAAATTTATAAAGATTATAAATCTTTTATAATTGTACACCTAATATTATAAAACACCAGGCATACCCTGGTGTCTTACATCTAGTAAGAACCTAATGGTTGATGTGATTTAAGGAGAGTGCTGAGATAAACATGGAGGTGAAAGTAGAAACATCCAGGAATTGTCCATTCAAGATCTGTACAGTACACTGGGTGCAGTGGCTCATGCCTGTAATCCCAGCACTTTGGGAGGCCGAGGCAGGTGGATCACTTGCGGTCAGGAGTTCGAGACCAGCCTAGCCAACATGGCGAAACCCTGTCTCTACTAAAAATACAAAAACAAATTCACCAGACGTGGTGGCGCACACCTGTAATCCCAGCTACTTGGGAGGCTGAGGTAGGAGAATTGCTTGAATCCAGGAAGTGGAGGTTGCAGTGAGCCGAGATTGTGCCACTGCACTCCAGCCTGCATGATAGCGCAAGACCCTGTCTCAAAAAAAAAAAAAAAAAAAAAAAAAGTCTGTGCAGTCCAGGATTGTGTTGTCAACAGACAGAGGAAAGACTTGATATTGACTTGAAGGTTAATTAAAGCTTTCATTCTCTTAAGTCTAAAGTATCCTCTCCATATTTTGAGATTTGGTGAAGTCCATAATGACTTTACTCAAACCTTTTTGTCTTTTTTTAAAAAAATAAAAGATTTTTATAGATGTTTTATTTGGTTCACATTTTTATCTTGGTTCACAATGTCTTTGGCCTGTTGTCATATTTTTCTCCTCCTACCCCTGCTCTGCTACCTTTTTATCTGGTTGTCTGGATCTTCTCCAGGTTGGGGCCTTTTATATGACTATTTCTTAAAGTGTAATGACCAAAAGATAAATACAGAATTCTTGCTGTAGGTGTATCTCACCTTTAAGAATAGGTCTGGGTGACACAAGGGCTGGGGAGGAAAAAAAGAATAGGACAAAGTTTTCTGTCTTGTTTCCAATATCTCTTGCGGTGGCAATTCCTTGGTTGGCCTCATGGCTTTTTGTTATGGTCACTGCTCCTCAAATTTTTATATTTCTTCAGAATTTTGGCTTTGGATTGAGTTTGGGTTCAAGAGGTAGAGCTCAAAATTATAATTTAAATTCATGATGAGTCCATGCTGCTCTTAATCCGAACCTTTAACACAAATCTCTGCAAATATTAAGATACGCCACGTCTTATCTTGTTACTGCCCCTTTCCCACCAATACCAGGACCCTAAGAATATAATCTATGTCAATGTTCTGTTCTCTGATAGTTCAGATCCCTTTTTGATACAGTCAGATTATTTAGTCCTCATCCTAAATGTAGCATCCAACTTAGGTGGGGAAATATTCAAAGCTGTGAGAATATAGCACTAGTTCTTAAAGTGTTGGACTCATGAGGAATTCCTTAGGAGACAAACTGCATAGTAAAGGATAGAGGTTGAGCGTCCCTAATCCAGAAATCCAAAATCGGAAATGTTCCAAAATCTGAAACTTTTTGAGCACCAATATGACATTACAAGTTACCCTGAACACACTGTATTAATGGTATGTCATATTTTCTGCTTTTAAGTACTTATGTGTGAAAAAGTAAGAAAATAACTGCCTATCAGTAGCATATAAATTCAGAGTCAGGAAGATGGTGATGCCAAACAATCATATTGTCCACATGGGTGGCTGTGATAGTGACACCTTTGTTTTCTGATGGTTTAATGCACACAAACTTTGTTTCATGCACAAGATGATTTAAAATATTATATAAAATTACCTTCAGGCTATGTGTATAAAGTGTGTATGAAACACAAGTTTTGTGTTTAGACTTGAGTTCCATCCCTAAGATATCTCAATATATATATAATGCAAATATTCCAAAATCTGAAAAAAATAAAAAATCTAAAACACTTCTGGTCCCAAGCCTTTGGATAATGGGTACTCAACCTGTACAAACTTTGGAGCCAGATGGCCTAGATTTGGATCCTGATTCTGGCACTTAATAGCTGTGTAACTTGGGCGGTTACTTCTCTTTGCTTCAGTTTCCTCATCCACCAAATAGGCACATTTTAGTTGCCTCACACAACTGTTTTGAGTCTTAAATAAGAATTTATGTTAAGCAGCTAGAACAATGCCTGGGATCTTGTAAATAATCAATAAATATTAGATATTTCTTTTAGGATGTTTCAGATTGGCTATTTATAAAAGTTTATAATATGTGAATTTCTTGGCCAGGCAGGTGGCTCATGCCCATAATCCCAGCACTTTGGGAGGATGAGGCGGGAGGATCAGTTGAGGTCAGAAGTTTGAGACCAGCTGGGGCAACATAGCAAGACCCCATTTCTACAAAAAGAAAGTTTAAAAAAATGAGACTCTCTTTGTGTATTTTTTTGCTAAATTAATAGTACTTAATTTCCTTTAAAATTGTTGGTTCTTAATTTTCTTTAAGATTGTTGGTTCTTTTTGATATTTTATTTCTACTCTATCACTCCAGGATATCTGAGGTCTAATGGTTAACCATTTTTTTATTGTTGGGTTAAGTCAATCGATATCTCTTAGTTTCAGTTTCCAACATCTGCAAAACTGTTCATAATAGGATCGAGATAATCTTCCCACAATCATTTGACATTTTAAATTTTACTGTGACAAAATGATTATGATGTGTACTTTGTCACGTATTATCATTGTGGCCCAGGCTAGTTAAGAGTTGGAGATAGCACAGAAAATTCATCTTGTCATCCCTCATTTGCTTCCAGGCTGCCACCTAAAAGACTTTGGAGATTTGAGTTTTACTCCAGTCCCCAAAGATGATCTCTACAACAACCTGATAGTGAATCCACGCTCAGTGGGTCTTGCCAACCAGGAACTGGCTGAGGTGGTTAGCAGAGCTGTGTCAGATGGCTACAGCTGTGTCACACTGGGAGGAGACCACAGGTAAGCTGGGAGCCAGGCGTGGTGAGGGGATGGATTACATGGTGCTTGGGGCTCATAACTTAGCTTCTTTATCTGTTTCTTCATCTGGAGAAAAATACCCTACAGAATTTTTAGGGTAGATATTAAAATGAACAGCAAGCATTTAAATGTCTAAGATCCTGAGCTGCTCAAGGGGCACTGTGGTTTTCTTTGTATGACACATTGCACAGTAAGAATATGTACATTCAGACACAGCAAGTTCAGAGGTATACTAGGCAAGGTTCCTAGGCACTGTGTTAACATGCTTGTCTCCTGGAAAGCTTTCTTGAGACTTATCTTATGACTTTGGAGAATTAGAAAGATCCATTGATAGGCTGAATGTGCAAGTTTTTGTTAGCATTTCTGCTAATAGACCTGTTAGAAATCCCCTTTGGCATGTTACTACATTTTCTTTTTTTTTTTTTTTTTTTTTTTTTTTGAGATAGGGTCTGGCTCTGTTGCCCAGGCTGGAGTACAGTGGCATGATCTCAGCTCACTGCAACCTCTGCCTCCTAGGCTCAAGCCATCTTCCTACCTCAGCCTCCCAAGTAGCTGGGACTACAGGTGCATGCCACCATGCCTGGCTCATTTTTGTATTTCTTGTAGAGACAGGGTTTGGCCATGTTGCCCAGACTGGTCTCGAACTCCTGAGCTCAAGCGATCCTTCTGCCAAGGCCTCCCAAAGTGCTGGGATTACAGGCATGAGCCACTGTGCCCAGCTGTGGATACATTTTCTGCCTCCACAATATGGACCCTAGTGACTCATGCAATCAGTCCTTTGATCCTGTCTCCTCCTGAATCAGCATGTACTTTATTGAGCACTGTTCTGATATTTTCTCAGCAGTGCTAGAGATTGCAGGAAATTTGTGATATATTAAGGCCTAGATGAAATAAATATACATGGAATAAACAAAAATATTGAATTCTACAGAATTTCAAAGGAGGAAGAGATCAGTCTGGACTAAAATAGATTTCACAAGGGAATGTGATTTGAAATAAGCAATGAAGGTCTTCAGTAGGAAGAAGGCACTGAAGTACTAGGAGTATTGAGCACTCCATACATATTCTCAGTTAATTCTGCTAACAATGCTAGGTGGTAGATATGGTTTTATCATTTACTGCTGGAAGCATGTAGGGACAGATATATAAGAACTTATCCAAGGTGGGCACAGTGGTGCATGCCTGCAGGCCCAGCTACTCAGGAGGCCAAGGTGGGAGGATTGCTTGAGCCCAGGAGTTTGAGGCCAGTCTGGGCAACACAGTGAGATCAGGTCTCTTAAAAATAAATAAATAAGAAAGAAAATATAACTTATCCAAGGACTAGAACCAGGAAATAGAGCTGGGATTCAAATCCAGTGTGACTCTTCTGGTGATTATTTTCCCTGAGGTGCTGAGAAAGCTTTTCAGATCACTGAACAGAAATGAAATCTTTGTTACATCTGGAGAAGCAGGTAGATTCCTCCTTGGGAGTAAAAAAAAAAAAAAAAAAAAAAAAAAAAAAGACTCAGGTTGAAGAAAACGGTCACACCCAGGTTCCCTACTGAGATGACTAGGCCATTCAATTAAATCAACCAGAGGGCAAGTCTCCTGCCTCCTTTCTCAGTGTAGTCTCTGGAAATTTATTAAGTCTGTCTGCTGTTCTGAGTTCTGGTCAAGTCTCACTGTTTGGGGACCACTGATCAATGTGATTACCACAGATCTTGTTTTCTTTTCCTGTGGCTATCTATATTGCAGCCATGTTACTGCTTACCAGCTCAATGTTAAAGCTTAGGCAATCTGAAATTCTAGAGAGGAAGAGATAAGTGCATAACTTGAATAGCTGTTGAACATTTTCAAGAAGAGCCATTTTTAGGTCACTGCTCCTTTTATGTAGTTTAACATATATTACTACTTTAATCATCAAAGCAACTCTGATTTACACAGGCCAAGTATTATTATTATCCCTATCTCACAGAAAAGGAAACTGAAATCTAAAGAAATTAGATGGTTTGTCTTCAGTCACACAGCTCTTCCAGGACTAAAACTCTAGTATTCTGACTTAATCCACTGCCTTTTCACTAGACCATGCTATTCCTCAAAAGACCCAACCAGTGTGGGACATGGCACCTAGAATAGCTGTCTCATGCTATATTGACCAAGAAGGATGGTTGCAGTCCTAAGATGCTTAAGCTGCATTTCCCATCTATGTCAAATTCCTTGGTTACTGGGAAGCTTTCCAACATTTATTTCATCAGGTGTATTCTTAGAATTGAGACAGAACAGTTGGCTAATGTAAGCAGAGCCCAAGGACAAGGAAAGGCAAAAACAGAAATACACTTTAAGATCTTATATTTGAGGCTGGGCATAGTGGCTCACGCCTGTAATCCTAGCACTTTGGGAGGCTGAGCCAGGTGGATCACTTGAGGTCGAGTTCAAGACCAGCCTGGCCAACATGTTGAAACCCCATCTTTACTAAAAATACAAAAAATTAGCCAGGCATGGTGGCATGTGCCTGTAATCCCAATTACTCGGGAGGCTGAGGCAGGAAAATAGCTTGAACCCAGGAGGCGGACGTTGTAGTGAGCTGAGATTGCGCCACTGCACTCCAGCCTGGGAAACAGAGCGAGACTCCGTCTTAAAAAAAAAAAAAAAAAATTGAATGCCATGCTAATATATATAAGGTAACATGCAATACATCTTTTTACTCAGTGGTCTAAATTAGGTCTTTAATGGTTTACCCTGTTAATGTCTCCAAGAGCTTTTCTTACAGATTTTGGTGAGTCGTTACCTATAGACTGTACCATTTACCTAGATTTCTTTTTTTTTTTTCATTTTTGGAGACAGGGTGTGACTATTTTGCCCAGGCTGGTCTTGAACCCCTGGGCTCATGTGATCCTCTCACCTCAGTCCTCTGAGTAGCCAGGATTACAGGTGTACACCATCTTGTCTGGCTTAACTTGATTTCATTCATTGAACAAATATTTGAGGTTCTTTTCTGAGCAGGGCTAATGGATAAAATTATACGGATTTGGGGACAGGACAGCAGTGACATCTGTCACACTGCAGGGTAGCAAGTCACCAGCTTCGAATCTCTAGGGCTTTATCACTCAAGATTAATTTTTGAGAACTACAACTACAGGTCTTGCCTCACCCAAACCCAGTCTCCATCTAGGCCCTGGCTTTGCACTGTGGAGAGAGTATAAGTTGTTTTGGCTGAGGACGTTTGTTATCGGTCATGTTTGCCAAGCAGAGGGCCTTCAAGATTATACTTGTTCTTTGCAGCCTGGCAATCGGTACCATTAGTGGCCATGCCCGACACTGCCCAGACCTTTGTGTTGTCTGGGTTGATGCCCATGCTGACATCAACACACCCCTTACCACTTCATCAGGAAATCTCCATGGACAGCCAGTTTCATTTCTCCTCAGAGAACTACAGGATAAGGTCAGTGGGCCAAAACGAAAAGAAAGGTGAATGGCTTGCAGGGTTTTGCTGGAGTTGGTCTAGTTCAGTTAAGATTTTGGTGAAGGGTGGGTTGAGTGTGGATTACCACTCCTTCATTTGTTCATCACTATTATGGACCAGGCAGTCTGCCAGATGCTAGGGGTATAAAGACTAGACATAGTCTCTGTTCTTTGTAAGAAAGCAAGGAGGGGGTAGTAACAATAGCGACTGATATACCCACAGCCTGAGGACTTCTTGGTTAGAGGCTCCCAGGCCATACTCTCAGACACACTGATCTAGAAGACAAATAAAACCATGACCTCTGGGTAATATTTTCCTGAGCAGTTCAGAATATATGGGAGTCCATGTTAGGCACAGACTAGAATCTGTATATCCCTCCCCTCAGTGAGGGACCAAGTCAAACCAGGACACTACAAAGATTATTCATTGGGCGGAAGTCCTGTGTCGGCTGTTGGCAACTTGAGATGGCAACCAGGTTATGCTTCAAGAACCAATCTGTAAACAAGTCAGTAATGTGCAATGGGATAGAAAAGGGCTAATCAGCAGTATTCCTGCTACTAGGTAAGTTAATGAGAAACCAAGACAACCTTAGAGATTTTATTCGTCTTGAGAAAGCAATACTGTGTTCCTCAGCTGCCCTTCTGAAACATTTCCACCTTGTGTCACTTCTCCTTCCCAGATCAAGTGTGTCCTGTGTTGCTCTAAACTTACCCTGTGGGTGGCAGAAGAAAGCAGATTGCATACCCACGGACGCACATGATAATGATCTTGGTGAGAACAAGAATTCTTGATTAATCCTGTCCATTTCTCCCTTTCATAGGTACCACAACTCCCAGGATTTTCCTGGATCAAACCTTGTATCTCTTCTGCAAGTATTGTGTATATTGGTCTGAGAGACGTGGACCCTCCTGAACAGTAAGTTGATGCATTTGGCTGAAGTTTAGGGCCTGTCCTAGCCAATTATGTTCTATTTGAAAGGCTGATGCTTAACTTGGTCTATTGCAGGTCACTACAACAAACCCACCCTCTCCCCCAAATACATATTTGTTAAAAATGCTCTTTAAACTAAGGACTCCTCCCTTTATATCTCATCACAGTTTTATTTTAAAGAACTATGATATCCAGTATTTTTCCATGAGAGATATTGATCGACTTGGTATCCAGAAGGTCATGGAACGAACATTTGATCTGCTGATTGGCAAGTAAGTAACTATAACTGATGTCAGGGCAAACCCCCAATGGGCAACACACTTTTAGCCTGTTTCTTGAGGACAGCAGCTTTACTTTTAAAATACAAAGCAAAAACATACACATAATTTTAAATAGTTCAGAAAGGCAAAATTTGAAACACAGGTCATATTCTTCCTCTGGGGTTTTTGGGAGGAGGTTTCCTCTAAATCATTGCCTAGATCTTCTGTCTCATGAATTTTTCTTTATCTCCATCTTTAATGCTTATCTTCTGAGATGACAAGCATTTATTGTTTCAACTGTCCCATTCTTCCCAGCCTCACGATTGTTTCATCTGAGTTTTATATTAAGCAAATCTTGGCAGTGTAGAAAGATGGCAGATGAATACTAATCAAATGGTAATTTTAAGAGCATTTTCCCAATACCAAGTCTTTACTTCTGGGTGATTAATGTCAGAATTGTTATCTGGTAGTATGTCATTTCATAAGCTGTTAAGAAACTTAGTTGTTAGCTTCAGCCTTTGGACACTGGGGCTATAATGAAGTTAGAAATGGAAGATGTTAAAACTGCAGACCTAAAATTAGAGTTCACTTCAGCTGCTGTTACGTTCAGAGAATAAGAGCAACCATAACTTACATCAAGCCAATTTAAATTAGACTAATTTAAATTGTCTAATTAAATTGTCTCTAGATGAGAGCCCAATCTCATCTAGAAGTGAAGAAATCTCTCTATTGACAGTTATTAGTATAAGAGGTTCTAATACCCAGTGTAAGGCAGAAATATACATTGGAGTTAGTCTGTCTGAGGTATGCAGAACAAATGGCAGTATCATGAAGTGGTATGTAGGAAGTTAATATTGCCAATCTCAGTAACTTCCAAGAATAGGAAGCCTGGAAATGTATTAACAGCTTTATTAACAAAGTACTAGGACTAATAGCAACAAAATCAAGGAGTTGCAACCATAAGAAGGATGAGTGTCCAAGGACAACCAGTTAAGTATTATTTTAAGTATTATTTTATCCTCTTCCTTTTTAGGAGACAAAGACCAATCCATTTGAGTTTTGATATTGATGCATTTGACCCTACACTGGCTCCAGCCACAGGAACTCCTGTTGTCGGGGGACTAACCTATCGAGAAGGCATGTATATTGCTGAGGAAATACACAATACAGGTATGTAGCAACCAGGTCTGCAGCCTGTTAACTACATAGGTAAATATGCTAGAGTCTCTTGCCTGCAAAGGATCTTTTCTGCTATTCCACATCATTGCAGAGTTTGTTTTTGCTTAAACTTTTGTAGCTAAAAATTATATGGCCATGCTAATAAAAAGGATATAGTCCTTTAGAGTCATGCTTGGACATGGCTCTTACCAAATTACACTAAGGTAATAATGAGTAAAAAATTGTATATTTAAACAATTAAATACAAGAATAAATTGTCAAACTGATGCAGTTCTTTGAGTTATCTAAAGGCAGATTAAGATAAGAAGGCAAGATAAGATAAGAGTGCAAGGCTGTAATTTGCACTCTAAGAGATTGGTTCATTGGGAGTTGTGAATTTGGAGCTAAAGCTGATCTCTTGAAGAAATCTGCAAACTGGACAATATCTTGGGTCCTTTATGTAGGGTAGGTCTTGTACTAGAGCCTGAAAGGATTTCTAATAAGGGGGATACAGTTAGATGAGAATGGCTGATGGAAAGAGTACTAAGATGAATTCTACGTTATCAAGACTGGCTACTTTTCCAAAACTCATACTTGTTTGCAAACAGTTTCCATTTCTGTCAGAAAGCTTCTGGTTTTAAAGCTACTTCAAATGACCTTTCATTCCAAAATTTAAAGAACTACCAAATCATACTGCTTCAGTAACCATCTGATGGAACTAGGGTATAGATAGAGACCCCAGATTGAAAGGTTCAGGGCTATAGAGAACCCTTGACTAGCTGGGATAGAAACTCACATTGAGAAATGGTCTCCTTAGCGCCACAGCCTGCCAGAACCTTAGGCAGTACAAAAAGGCAGGCAGTACTGGTCTAATTCTCAGATCTGCAATCTTAGATGTTGCCAGTGGTCCTTAGGTTATTGGCCAGAGAACTTGGGGGTTCAATTCTCTGCTTTGCTTCCTAAAAACACCACTTAGAGCAGGGGTTAATAACCTCTAGCACTTATATATGGCATGGCTTGTCTCTTTGTTCCTATGCTACAATATTTTACTCCAAAAGACACTCATGGGGCTAGGCACAGTGGTTCATACCTATAATCCCAGTACTCTGGGAGGCCAAGGCAAGAGGATTACTTGACCCCAGGGGTTCAAGACCAGCGTGGGCAACATAGTGTGACCCCGTTTCTACAAAAAATAATTAGCCAGGTGTCCCAACTACTTGGGAGGTTGAGGCTGCAGTGAGCCATGATTGTGCCACTGCACTGTTATAATGCTGTCAACTAGATACATAAAGCAGTTTGCTTAATTTATAGGGTGGCAATAGTCTGGAAACATAAGTCATGTATATATTTCTAATAGTGCAAACTTTGATGACCACTTCTGGGATATGCTAAAGGTGCAGGTTTAGTCAGTGGAAATCAGAGACAAATCAGGAACACAGGTCCATGTGCAGGAAATGATGGAAATGCTACAGTAATACACCTGTTGGTTGCAGTTTGGCACTGTACACTCAACTATGCATTGCTAATAAGGGAAGATGCTGAACGGACATGATGGCATTCAGCACATCATGTACTATAGTGTAATATCAATAAACCATTAGGTACATTTGCCTGTGTTTCCAGACTTTATGGCCACCCTAAATATTCTTAGATACTTGTATTCCTGAATACTAGCTTGTTCAGATCACCCTTCATCCAGAATAACCAACTAAAAAGTTAAATTCTATAGAGAAGTGAGGCATTTAGAGGGGTGAGCATAGTAGCAGGTCTGGATAGGTTCTTCTGGTTTAAGCTTCCCTTCCACTTGCTCCAGGCCAAAGGAACACTACCGAGAACTTTGACACAAGTTCTCAAACCTTAACAGAAGGTAACTGAAGTCCAGATAAAATAATTAACATATGGCTGAATTTTCTCTTGATCAAGTACAAGACACTGGGTCAGTCTGCTGGGAGACAAAAAGATGTTGTTAGATGTGGAACCTGCCTCCAGAGCTCAGGCCTGCAGGGGTGAGAATGAAGTTTGCAGTAATAACTACATTTCAGGGCATATGGTGTGGTGCTCTAACAGATACAGATAACACATTAGAGTTCAAAAGTGGGAATGCAGTTTGGCTAGTGCAAGTGGCAGATTTCCTCTGCCTTCATACTTGATTCATTTCCAGGCAGGCATCTGGAAGGTTCCTAGTCATACTGGAGGTGGCATACATTTTGCCAACAAGCAGGATGAAAACCTCCCCCACCCAACACCAAGCCTTTTCCTTTTCCAGAACGCCTGACAATTATGCCTGTTATGTTAGTTGAACAGGGATGGTTTATTTCATTATCTTAAAAGGTTTCTTTTAATCTACTATAGCACAACAGTGTTTTAACTTAAATTCATGGCCAAGAGGATGAGGTGCAAGGGGCTTCCTAAAAATAGGTATTTTCTACTATAAAATGGACTCTTGTTTTTACTTTGGCTTGTTCTCCCTGTCCCAGTGGGATGACCCTCACTGAGAGTAGCAGCAAGGGAACCTGAGGTTTTGTCACACTTTGTTCTTCCAGGGTTGCTATCAGCACTGGATCTTGTTGAAGTCAATCCTCAGTTGGCCACCTCAGAGGAAGAGGCGAAGACTACAGCTAACCTGGCAGTAGATGTGATTGCTTCAAGCTTTGGTCAGACAAGAGAAGGAGGGCATATTGTCTATGACCAACTTCCTACTCCCAGTTCACCAGATGAATCAGAAAATCAAGCACGTGTGAGAATTTAGGAGACACTGTGCACTGACATGTTTCACAACAGGCATTCCAGAATTATGAGGCATTGAGGGGATAGATGAATACTAAATGGTTGTCTGGGTCAATACTGCCTTAATGAGAACATTTACACATTCTCACAATTGTAAAGTTTCCCCTCTATTTTGGTGACCAATACTACTGTAAATGTATTTGGTTTTTTGCAGTTCACAGGGTATTAATATGCTACAGTACTATGTAAATTTAAAGAAGTCATAAACAGCATTTATTACCTTGGTATATCATACTGGTCTTGTTGCTGTTGTTCCTTCACATTTAAGTGGTTTTTCATCTTTCCTCCCTCCTCCCACAGCCTGGCTATACAGTGCATCCTTGAACTGTCAGCCCACAGCAGCAATATGCTTATTCTATCCACATCCCTAACATCATGCATTCACAAGGTCAAAGTTCTGGTCCACAAACCCTTCCCTATAGAAGTTCAATGGCTGCGAAAGAATTTGTAGTAAACCAGGCCTCCCAGGATGGCGAGCTCCAGTAAGATGATAATGGAAAGCAGCAGCTTGTTGGTTGTCACTCTACAAAGAGAAGCAAAGTGGGGAGTAGTCAGAAGTTTGGATAACCTTCCTTCTAAACATTTTGGGGTTAGACCTGGGACCACGGCTGGATACTCTGAGGCTGTATGTTTGATCACACAGCCACTTAGCAGGAAGTACTCATAAGGTTCTTTAGCTGTCACTTAGGGATAACACTGTCTACCTCACAGAAATGTTAAACTGAGACAATAAAAACCAAAGCATAAAAATGGATTCTGAAATGTTGTTCAAATAGTAGTTACTTCCTTTAAAAATAGCTTTTCTAGAAAGAAGGGTTAGCTAGAAAAAGTAATCAAATAGACATCCAGCTCAGGATGGGTCCTGCCCTAGGATAAGTAACTAGAAGCCTGGGTAATACCTTTCAATCCCTTGTAAACTTCTTCCCTCTGCCCTATTTTTCCCTTTGCTCTCCTATCAACCCAAATGGGTATGTTATAAAGGTAGTATAGGAGCTTAAAAATTTTCCTATCTGTTGTTTACATAAAGAATCCAACCTCTGGTTCTCATGTTCACTCTAGGTTTCTCCCTAGTCCACAAGGAATTTATCACTGTAGGAAAATCCCACCCCTCCTGCTAGTTCCATGAGTGGGTTGTAGTTTTGTTTCATGCTAGGCCACCTGTGCCCAAGGTCACGTACAATACCCTCTTACCCCCAACTTCAACCTCAGTGGCAGTATTTCTGCCCTGGATTTGTTGCTGTTAGCACTCGAGGATTTTGTTTTTTATTTTTGGTAAAGACTACTGTATTGGTGGCAGTTAGTACAATTCAAATATTGTCTTCAAAGAAGGACTTATTTATTCTCTATGGACTAGGAGTCCATACAGAGCTGAATGAAACTGAATCAAGTCACTGCTGTGATGACTGAAGTCAATCCCATTTCTTGGGAAATGAAACCACAGCCAGCTGATGCATGGCATATGCTGTTTCACTAACTGAGAACCATGGTGGCTCTATACAGGAGGTCATCAGCTCTACCACCCTTTAGATGCACTGGAATTCCATTCTTCTCCTGAAACAGCTTGTGTTTTCTGGACCTTTATTTTCAAAATGCCTGCATGAAGCAATGCTCATGGTCCTCTGGGCAACCTGACAGTGCCAGCAGATTCTGCAGCATCTTGACTCAGTTACTGCCCAAGAACCCTGACAACTCCACAAGGGTTTTATTTTTAAAAGTCTACTTCTTCCCTACAATATAGAACTTCCAGAAAAGGAGCTGACTCCCATGAAGGGCAAGCAGAGCCAAAAGCAAGTACTATGCAAGTGAAAACTACTTTCTAATCAAGATTTTACAAATATATTTCTTTTTTTTTTGAGACGGAGTCTCGCTTTGTCCCCCAGGCTAGAGTGCAGTGGTGCCATCTCGGCTCACTGCAACCTCCACCCCCCAGGTTCAAGCAATTCTGTCTCAGCCTCCTGAGTAGCTGGGATTACAGTGCCCGCCACTACGCCTGGCTAATTTTTTTGTATTTTTAGTAGAGACGGGTTTCACCATTTGAGCCAGACTGGTCTTGAACTCCTGACCTTGTGATCTGCCCGCTTCAGCCTCCCAAGGTGCTGGGATTACAGGCATGAGCCACCGCACGGGGCTGAGATTATATAAATATATTTCAAGGAATAGGAAGCTGTTATTCCCATGTGTTGCCTTCTCTAAAGAACATCAGCTGTGATTAAATGTCCTTTCAGTGGAGAAATTTTTCACTGCTCCAAGTCAAAGCAGTATATACTTTTAACAAATGATTTTATCCTGAGTTATTTAATTATCCAAGACCATATTCCTTAGCGTCTTTATTCTGGTCTGCTGGGTGGTACTGAGTATACAGGGACTATGCGTCAACTGCTGAGGTGCTTTATGAGGACCTTTGTAAGTCACTATTTTAAGCTTTTTGGTTGAAAGCCACTGAGTTAAGAGAAATTTCATGACTTTAATAAAACTTACTTTCTGGACATTGAACGGAGAATCTTCCGACTTTTGCTCAAGTTTTCACTTGTGTTTACCAGCTGAGAAGAGAAAATAGTGATTATTTCCCTCTTTAAAAAGTATACTCTGTACAATTGAATATCCCTAGATTAACAGTAGGCATTAAGGGATATATGTTGAAAAATTCCAAGAAATCAAGCCAATTTAAATGATGGCCTTTGAGTGTAAGTAGAAGAACCTGGAAAGGACAAGATATTTTAGTACTCATCAAGTAGGCTTAAGAATCATCTTCCCAGGTTGCTGCTGGGGATGGACTCCTGAGACTGAGCTAATCTTCTACCGTGGCTACTCCAAAAGGGAAGGCTTCAAGTGTAGCCAGCAGACTGGCCAGCCAGTGACTGTAGAGCAACTTAAGATTTGAATTTCATCAGCCAAATTCCAGGACAGCCTCTTGAGTTGGCATTTGTTTTTGTAGGCTGGTCTGTTACTGCTTTTGGGATCTGGTTTTTTTCTTTACCCTCTTAAGAGACAGTTACATTGAACTGTGAAAAGAATTAACCTCCATGGAACTTTCAACTGCTTGCTACTAATCTGGACAGCTGGAGGATATTTCACCTCCAGCAGATGGCTACTTGCCATCTGTTCCCATTCCCCAGTGGCCTTGGTAAGCTGACCTCTCAGCTCGTTCCTTGGCTTTTATTTATTTGAAACAGGGTCTCACTCCGTCACTCAGGCTGGAGTGCAGTGCTGCAATCGCAGCTCACTGCAGCCTCGACCTCCCAGGCTCAAGCAATAACCCCACATGTCCCCAAGTAGCTGGGATCACAGGTGCACGCCACCACACCCTGCTCCTTTTTTTGATTTTTAGTAGAGATGAGGTCTCGCTATAGAGATGAGGTCTCGCTCTAGAGATGAGGTCTCGCTATGTTGCCCAGGCTGGTTTCAAACTCCTAGGCTCAAGCCATCCTCCCACCTCAGCCTCCCAAAGTGCTAAAATTACAGGTGTAAGCCCGGCCTCCTTGGCTTTTAAATTCAACCAATCTACCTGGTATGTTCAAAAACCAAAACCCACACAATCTGTAAGCAAGTTACATTCTCCATAGCTTGCCTTGAATGTAGTACTTTATTGTGAATTTTCACTGAAGAGGGCAGGGCATTACTCTGACTTAATGGAGAACTGAAGCTATTAAGAAAATCTACTCAAATCTTCACACTGAGCTAGTATTTTCCTGTCCAAATCTTGGCCACAGTATGTTTTTCAAATTGATTTGCCTTCTGCTATTAAGAATACAGCATTCCATTGGTAAATTGTACCAATTAAAAAATTTTGCCCGGGCGCAGTGGCTCACGCTTATAATTCTAGCACTTTGGGAGGCTGAGGCGGGCAGATCATGAGGTTAAGAGATCGAGACCATCCTTGCTAAAATGGTGAAACCCCGTCTCTACTAAAAATACGAAAAATTAGCCGGGTGTGGTGGCAGACGCCTGTAGTCCCAGCTACTCGGGAGGCCGAGGCAGGAGAATGGCATGAACCTGGGAGGCGGAGCTTGCAGCGAGCCGAGATTGCGCCACTGCACTCCAGCCTGGGCGACAGAGCAAGACTCCATCTCAAAAAAAAAAAAAAAAAAAAAAAAATTCCAGCTGGGCACAGTGGCTCATGCCTGTAATCCTAGCGCTTTGGGAGGCCAAGGTGGAATGATTGCTTGAGCCCAGGAGTTCGAGAGCAACTTTGGCAACATAATGAGACCCCGTTTTTACAAAAAATTAAAACAATTAGCCAGGCACAGTAGCACATGCCTGTATCGCAGCTACACATGAGGATCACTTGAGCCCAGGAGTTTGAAGCTACAGTAAGTTAAAATTGCACTGCTGCACTCCAGCCTGGGTGACAGAGCAAGACCCTGTCTCTAAAAAACTAAAAAATTCCTATGTAGGTTAACTCATTTATGGAAAGGAAAAAATAAATGAGTTATTTTTCTGAGGCTCTCAGAGTGACAGCAGACTAGAGATCCCTGATATAGTCATCATTTGATTTAAATATTTGTTTTCTTTCCACAATGATCCAGCTTACCTTACTGGATAATCCTTAGACATTTTTTTCCCTATTACTTTTTTTTTTTTACTTTTACTTACATAACAGTAAAGGGTTATAGTCCAGGATTGAAGCATAATTTATAAATCTATAAACTGTGGTACTATTTTATGAAATCTGGAAAACAGCCTTGGCTCTAAATAACAGGATATAAGCAGATGATGTTTTCGTAAGAATAGCAGAATACCCTATTAGATGTGTGAGAAATTAAAATCTCAGATTGGAAGCTTTGAATCCTTAAGTGCCTTTTGACATATTATTTCTCTTGCCAAAGAGAGAATGCAGCCACTTTATCCTTATTAATTTCTGTAATCTTGTAAGTGTAGAAATCAGGTCCTTCCATCTTTTTTTCCCCTCACTGAAGCAAAAATTTCCAGTGATGTCTAAATCTTAGGGGTAAAATTGCTTCTAAGGGACATCTCTCAGCCAAGCAAACTAAAAATTGAGCAAAGCGGCCGGGCACAGTGGCTCACGCCTATAATCCTAGCACTTTGGGAGGCCGGAGCAGGTGGATCACCTGAAGTTAGGAGTTCGAGACCAGCCTGGCCAACATGGCGAAACCCCATCTCTACTAAAAATACAAACATTAGCTAGGCATGGTGGCGCATGCCTGTAATCCCAGCTACTCAGGAGGCTGAGGCAAGAGAATCGCTTGAACCCAGGATGCGGAGGTTGCAGCAAGTGGAGATCACGCCACTGCACTCCAGCCTGGGTGACACAGTGAGACTCTATCTCAAAAAAAAAAAAAAAATTAATAAATAAAAATTGAGAAAAGCATAAGAACTTAAAAAAGACTATTCCCTGAATACAGAACTGCTGTAGCTTTTGGCCTTAGTACGGTTTCCAGGTGCAGTGGCCCCCTAATTACCCCATACTTGCCCCTTTCCCTGTCTGCCCAGACTTACTCTACTCTTGGTACGTTCTAACTGGTCTCGTTGTTCCCCCAGCTCTTCTATGATTTCTGAGCCAATCTGGTCAGTCTCTGTGGCAATCCGATGAGAACGTTCAATACTTTGGGTGGCCCGGTTCAGGCTTTCAGTGCCCTGCAGAAGCATTGCCCTTTGAGACTGTAGCCGATTCTGAAAGAAGTATGGAAGAGAAATGTTAGACTTTTTCCATTATAAATTCATTGCCAGCATATTCCTCATCACCTTCCCCATGTTAGAAGGGATATAGTGAGCAATAATTTTCATTCCTTTTAAGACAGAACCAAAGAAGCTAATGATTCTTTTCAAGGTCACAGACTAAAGCAGGACCTGAAATCCAATCAATAGGATCACAATACCCCCACTCCACTGCCTTTTACACTTACGCGAGGCAAGGAAAGATGGATTAAAAATACTGGAGCACTTTCCCTGTGTTTGTAATGAATCTGAACTGGTCCATGTGCCTCCTGGACTATCAACTTCTGAAAGGTGGCAGCCCAGATGTGGGAGCTACCTGATAATGCATATAGCCTGTAACTTCGATAGTGCTATGGGCAAACCAACTAAACTCTGCAGCCCTAGAAAAAGGTTAATTCACTGAAGATTCCCACTAGACTGGTACTGAGGATTGACGGACCATGAATAAGCTATTCTGTTCTTCGTTTTAAGCCTCCAGCACCTGGTATTTCCAGGTGGTCTCCCATCCAAGTACTAACCTGGCCTGACTCACTTGGCTTCTGAGATCAGGCAGGTTCAGAGTGGTATTGCCTAGATGACTACATTCTTCTTTTTCAGCTTCTAAAGAAAGCATGTAGAAGTCTGAGACACTACCACATTCTGGAAAAAACGTATGTGGTTACCCTCTTGGTGAGCCCCAGAAAGAACTTCACCTAAGGTCAAACAAAAAACCTTGAGCCTGCCACACTGGGGGTGATTTGGTCTCAGGGAAATTAGTATCTGGGGCTTGAGCAAGCTTCCCCACCTGCCCTAATTTCTCAACTGCCCTAATTTTCTAAATCCCCACCGAAGTTTTACTCCACCTGTAATCCTAAATACAGACAGCAGGAAGAAAAAAGTAGCCTTGTCAGGCCAGAATTAACAACCACTGACAGAAACGGAGGCAGCTCCAAGTTCTTAGCTGTTCAAAGCACGCGCGCGCGTGCACACACACACACACACACACACACCCAAAATCAAAAGGGACCCAGCTCACAGAGGCCTAGTACAGAGCAAGTGACCACTGGCAGTAGGACCATCAAGGAGCCAAAAGATTGGCTCCCAGAACAGAAGTAGCAAGGAGCATTTTCTTTCTTTCTTTTTTTTTTTTTTTTTGAGACAGTCTCGCTCTGTCGCCCGGGCTGGAGTGGAGTGGCAAGATCTCAGCTCACTGCAGCCTCTGCCTCCCGGGCACAAGCAATTCTGCTGCCTCAGCCTCCCAAGTAACTGGGATTACAGGCACCCGCCACCACGCCCAGCTAATTTTTGTATTTTTAGTAGAGACAGGGTTTCACCATGTTGGCCAGGCTGGTCTCGAACTCCTGACCTCAGGTGATCCACCAGCCTCAGCCTCCCAAGGTGCTGGGATTACAGGCGTAAGCCACTGTGCCCGGCGCTCTGTAGCATTTTCACTTAATAAATGGCATACAGACCAGTAGACGAGGAAACCACTGAATGAGGTTCAAATAAAACCAGTTAGGTTAGCGCAAAGGAAGAAGGAAAAAGGTTTTCAAAATAAAAGATGCAGATTTTCAACTGAGTAGGCTAAAAAATGACTAAGAAAAGATCAGATCACATAAATGAACTTCAGACAGATTTGGAACAATACTTTTTCTGAAGGTATGGATACCTAAATTATGTTTTAATAATTTCTGAAACTCGCCAGGCGTGGTGGGTCATGCCTGTAATCCCAGCACTTTGGGAGGCCGAGACGGGTGGATCACAAGGTCAGGAGATGGAGATCATCCTGGCTAACACGGTGAAACCCCGTCTCTACTAAAAGTACAAAAAAAAATTAGCCGGGCGTGGTGGTGGGCGCCTGTAGTCCCAGCTACTTGGGAGGCTGAGGCAGGAGAATGGAGTGAACCCGGGAGGTGGAGCTTGCAGTGAGCCGAGATTGCGCCACTGCACTCCAGCCTGGGTGACAGAGCGAGACTCCGTCTCAAAAAAAATAATAATAATTTCTGAAACTCATAATTTTAAAGCAAAATTGTTTGGACTTCCTCCCCAACTTTGGCAACATGACTAAAGTCACTTTTACAACTCCCACTTTAACCAGCTCCACCTGCCTGCCTGTTTCCAGTCTCCCTTTACAAGTGATCTTCTGTCAGCTTCTAATCTGTGATAATCCCTCGCGCATCCATTTGAAAATTTTAAGTACTTCATTCTCAAGGGATCTAGTTTTGGCATCAGCAATGTCAAGCCAATATCATCCTGAATATCTCTTAAACTATAATCAGGATGCATCGTGAAACAGGATTTGTTTAAAATTGTAGTATGAGCCTTTCAGTCTGCACTGGTGGGCCCCTTTCCATTTCTCTGCCATGCTACTTGCCAGAGAATTTCTACTTTGTGTTGTGTTTGTGGAAGACAGACCAAATGCAGCACATTTAATCTTTCAGACGTTTTATTCCTTTAACGATCTAGCTGCTCTAGATGGTTTCAGAATACAGATGTTCAATTAGTCCAATTTTATAAATCAGAATCCTGAAAGCTAGAGAGGGAGTCTTGCTCACTTTCTATTACCACAGAATAAAATGATAAAAAGCTCCTTCTCGAGAAGCGCCCTGCATTGGCTACTGTATCTCAGTTGCTGGGCCATCTTGACATTAAGGTAAAGGAAAGCTTGGATTGATTTTGTAACAATATTCTGATAAATTAGAAACCTAACTGAATTTTCCAGGCATACCTGAGAAAGTGATTCTAAAATTTATATGAGAGAATAAAAAAGATCAAGGAGAAAAGAAATTAGATCAATGAGTCAGAATCCAGATAATAAGAATAGGTAACATTTACATTCTACTACATACAAAGCACTGTTTTTTTTTTATTATAAGACTGTATTATATTAAGGATAAAAAGAAATCTAAATATGCATATAGTTCGAAAGGCCTGCCTTAAATAGAGCAGATACCAAGGGGTAACAGGAACTGGATGCAGAAAAGAGGATAAGGGTGAAAAAAATGAAACAAGAGTCTAGTATACACTGATAACATGAAATACCCCAACAATATAGTTAATTTTTGTACCACAGGCCCTTAAAGGAAAAAAAAAACAAACAAAACAGCTAAAACTTACCATATGCTCATTCTCTACAGCATATATGCCATATTTCATGTCTCCTCGGCCTCCAGGTGTGGCTGTCAAAGGTGTGCTTCTCACCTCCCGATGGAGTTTAGCAAGGTCCTTCCGGTAGTTTCGAAGCTTAGACATCATGGGGTTTCGGAAAGACAGGGGTGCATAACGTAGCTCCTCCTCCATCTCTGCCAGCTGGGAAGGCAGAAAGTAGTGAGCAGATAGCCTGGTTCTTCCCTCACTCATTTGGAAATATGCCTAGTTTGGACTAATCAAACTACTTATTTATTTGGACTACACCAAGTAAATAACCATATGCTCCATGAGGCAGGGACCATGTCTGGCATGTTCCCCTCATTCTGAATGCCTTGCATAGTGCCCAGCAAGCACAGAGCAGGCATTCGAGTATATGAACTGAATGAATGAATGGAAAAACAGAAGTACTTTATAGCTTACTAAACACTTTTATATACATTCTCCATTTAATCCTCACAACAAATCAATAAGGTAGGAAATGCTCCATTTCATATATAAGACTTAAAGAAACCTCTGAAGATCGCACAAAAAGGAGTCCGGGCCAGGCACAGTGGCTCAAACCTGTAATCCTGGCACTTTGGGAAGCCGAGGCAGGAGGATCACTTGAGCACAGCCTGGGCAACATAGCAAGACCTCATCTCTATATATATATAAAAAATTAAACAGAAAAGGAGTCAGGATTCAAAATCTTCAAATTCTCTCAGCTCTCTTCAATATACCAAGTTTTTAGCCTGGTATGATTGAACATTGCCATCAAGAAGTGCTTTGAAGTCTACTGTATTAAAAATGATAGGGGTCTGGCATCAGGGTTCTTCCCTTCTCCTGCTCCTCTTTCTGAAAATCAATTAAGTTTGTCTCCATGTCAGAGAGAACAGGGGCCTACCCAGAGCAGTCTGCTTTAGGGGAATCAGACTTCCATTTTTCTGGGGTAAGTAAAATGTAACACCTGGACACATCCACAAGAGGCCCTAAATTATTTTCATCTGCCTGGAATGGGCAGCATAGGATTATTACTTTTGCTGAGTTTGGAGAAAACAAGTATCTGAGCATCAAACAAATCAGTAGCAGCTAGAAGATTTTAAAAATGCTACCAAGGTATTAACTGAAACAGGAGAATGGCTACAAACAGGTATCATGGATATGCCCAGCTGTACACAGGTATTAAGAAAAGCTCCCAGTACTCCCATTAGGAAGAAGATAGTTCCCACAGTCTAGTGGCCTGGTCTTTCTTAAAACAGATGCAAAACAGAGAAAAGGATGCAGATGTGCTTCCTTCTCAGAACTTCATTGGGATAAGTGGGAAATTGAAACACTGATCTTCAACAAGCAAGAAGGAAGTTCGCTGGCCAAAAGAGAATTTTTTCTCCATCTGCTCTCGGGTAGCAAATACAGGGCCAACTATTTCTGCGGAGTACTAGCAGCGACCAGAATTTTGGCCCCAATCTTAATGAGTTTGCTGAAGCTAGAGTATGATGAGATGGAGTCAAAGGACTCTTGCTTCTATAGGGCTAGAGCAAAAAAAAAAAAAAAAAAAAAGTTTTTTTTTTTTAAAGAAAAGCCACAGGTGAAGAGAAGCAGTTGTTAAACTGTTCAGTAAACGGAACCAACTTCTGACAAACTTTGGGTACCAACTGAGACTCATGCATGTCTTGCCTGAGGTACCAACTCCAGCTCCTATGTTGTCTCTTAAGACAGAAAGGGACATGGTTAGAATTACCTCTAAACTACATTTTCTGTGACAGTAGGTTTAACAAAGAACAGTAACCTTTTTTTTTTTTTTTTTTTTTTGAGGCAGGTCTCACTCTGTCACCCAGACTGGAGTGCAGTGGTGCAACTGTGGCTAACCACATGCTTGACCTCCCAGGCTGAAGTGATCTCCCACCTCAGCCTCCTGAGTAGCTGGGTCCAGAGGCATGCACCACCAAACCTCGGTAATTTTTTTTTGTTTGGTAGAGATGGGGGGTCTCCCTATGTCGCCCAGGCTGGTCTTGAACTTCTGGCCTCAAGTGATCCTCCCACCTTGGCATCTCAAAGTGTTGGGATTGCAAGCGTGAGCCACCGCACTGACCAGTAACCTATCTTAATGGCCAGCTCTTAAAAACAGATTTTAGGCCAGGCACGGTGGCTCATGCCTTGTAATCCCTGTACTTTGGGAGGCCGAGGCGGGCAGATCATGAGGTCAGGAGATCGAGACCATCCTGGCTAACACGGTGAAACCCCATCTCTACTGAAAATACAAAAAAACAGCCAGGTGTGGTGGCGCCCACCTGTATTCCCAGCTACTTGGGAGGCTGAGGCAGGAGAATGGTGTGAACCCGGGAGGTGGAGCTTGCAGTGAGCCGAGACTGTGCCACTGCACTCCAGCTTGGGCAACAGAGCGAGACTCTGTCTCAAAACAAACAACAACAACAACAACAAAAAAAAAAACAACAGATTTTAAAAGACTGCTTGGGTAAAAGTATGAGAATGCCCTTACTACTCACATCAGCAATATATTACCAAAGAGTCACATTTCAGGAGCATCTTCAGGCTTCACCCATTTGTTTGCCAAACCCCCTCAACAACCATCCCCATCAACTGGCTTCATTTAGTAAGAAATAGTCAAAATCAAGATCAATGGACAGGAACAGTTAATTTGTGATCAGCTCATAGCATTACTTCTGGAAAAGACCAACACCAGGTAGAAGAAACAAAATTTGTTCCTTGTTCTCACCGTTTCATTTGCTTCCTGTTGCTTTTCATCAAAATCCCTGATCAATTTCTTCTTTTCTTCTAGAAAAGATAGATAAGTTTCAAATGCTTATTACTGTTTCCACACATTTGTAAAGGCCATTCCCTCTGCTTCGAATAAGCTTCCTATGGCAGGGCCTGGTGGCTCATGCCTGTAATCCCAGCACTTTGGGAGGCCAAGGCAGGTGGATCACAAGGTCAGGAGTTCAAGACCACCCTGGCCAACCTGGTGAAACCCCATCTCTACTAACGATACAAAAATTAGCCGGGCGTGGTGGCAGGCACCTGTAATCTCAGCTACTTGGGAGGCAGAGGTAGAGAAATGCTTGAACCCAGGAGGTGGAAGTGGCAATGAGCCGAGATTGCGCCATTGCACTCCAGCCTGGGCAATAGAGCAAGACTCTGTCTCAAAAAAAAAAAAAAAAAAAGAATGTTTACCAATAGTGACTCTCTGAAACCCCTCACCACTCCCACAGTGAACCACTTCTATGTTAACTCGTACACTACTTTTCTGCAAAATAAAAATTCCACCTACTCGGCTTGCTGAGAGGCTGTCTGGTGTGGTGCTTGTTTTTCTCTGGGTGTGGCACCGGCAATGACTTGAACGATGAGAACGTTATTCATTCCCCTTTCAGCCTTTCCCATTCTGTCCCTTTGGTTGAGTGTATCTTTAATACCTAAAAATTACTAATCTCCCCTTTGAACAAAAATAGAACAGGCTTCAGCTTCAAAACAAACATCTAACTAAAACAGTATTGTCTTAATTGTATTTTCTGATAGTTTATACTACAGGTTTTCCATCTAAAATATGATAGCAAGTTTCATTTTTAAATAACATTGTTTTAAATAAATGTATTTTACATGAAATAAGTTGACATAAAGAAAATGTAAGTGACAAGGCTGGGCACGGTGACTCACGCCTGTAATCCCAGCAATTTGGGAGGCCGAGGCGGGCGGATCATGAGGTCAGGAGATCGAGACCATCCTGCCTAACACGGTGAAACCCCATCTCTACTAAAAAATACAAAAAATTAGCCTGGTGTGGTGGTGGGCGCCTGTATTCCCAGCTACTCAGGAGGCTGAGGCAGGAGAATGGTGTGAACCCAGGAGGCGGAGCTTGCAGTGAGCCAAGATTGTGCCACTGCACTCCAGCCTGGGCGACAGAGGGAGACTCCATTTCAAAATAAATAAATAAATAAATAAAATGTAAGTGACAGTAATAATGATACTTGCGGATGGCAAAAATTATGAAGGTGGTACCAGAATGCTGTCACCTGGTAAACATTTGTATGGGGGAAAGGCATACAAGCACCTTTTCTGGTTAGTCAGCGGGGTGAGGTTCTGGTGCCAGGTTCGGGCCTGCCTCAGCATGTAAACTTAGATAATTTCCTTCATTTCTTTGGGACCTCACATTCTCCTTCATTGACTACAAAATGAGGAAGTAGGTCATTCCCTTATATCTAACAAGCAAAAATTAGCTCCTTTTAAGAGGAGCTTGATTTTTTAAAAAAATTTATACATCCAAATGACTGTTCTCCCTGGAAATCTACACATAATCTACTTATCACCATAAAGTTACCATCATTTACAATGTTTGTTTGTTTGTTTCAAGACAGAGTCTCACTGGTCACCTAGGCTGGCAAAATACATGTAATATAAAATTTACCATTTTGACCATTTGTGAGGGTATAGCTTAGTGGCTAGGTACATTCACACCGTTGTGGAGCCATCACCACTAACTGTTCTCCAGAACTTGTTTATCCTCTCAAACTGAAATTCCGTACCCATCAAATACCTCCCCATTCTATGAATTTCACTACTCCAGGTACACCATTAAGTGGAATCATACAATATTTGTCCTTTGTGTTTAGCTTATTTCACTTAGCACAAAGTCAAGGTTCATCTATGCTGTTGCACGTATGGGGATATGGCCTTTTAAAGCTATGTATTTTTCAATGTGACTCCTAAACACAAGCCAGCAGCACTTCCACCAACTAAAGAGCAATTTTTTTTTTTTTCTTGAGACAGAGTCTTGCTCTGTCTCCCAGGCTGGAGTGCAGTGGCTCGGTCTCGGTTCACTGCAACCTCCACCTCCCAGGTTCAAGCGATTCTCTTGCCTCAGCCTCCCGAGCAGCTGGGGTTACAGGCACCCACCACCATGCCCGGCTAATTTTTTTACATTTTTAATAAAGACAGGGTTTTGCCATGTTGGCCAGTCTGGTCTCAAACTCCTGACCTCAAGTGATCCATCCACCTCAGCCTTTCCGCTGCAAAAGAGAACAGATGAGCCGGGCTTATGGAGAAATGGCATGTGGGTATTCAGTTGCTGTCCTGAGATTTTCTTAGATGATTTGTCTACTCTGATTTTCATCTTAAGACCTGGCTTTTTTTGAGACTGTGTCTCACTCTGTTGCCCAGGCTGGAGTGCCGTGGCGTCATCTCAGCTCACTGCAAACTCCAACTCCTGGGTTCAAGTGATTCTCATGCCTCAGCCTCCTGAGTGGTGGGGTTACAGGAGTGCACCACCACAACCAGATAATTTTTCTATTTTTTGGTAGAGAGGGGGTTTAACCATGTTGGCCAGGCTGGCCTTGTGTGGTCCACCCATCTCGGCCTCCCAAAGTGCTGGGATAACAGGTGTGAGCTAGTGCACCCGGCCAAGCCCTGACTTTTGAACCCAATCCTACATAAGATGTAATGTCACTGTAATGCTTTATATGGATTTACATTTTGTTAATCACAACAGCATCTAATGTCAGTTATATCTTTTTTTTTTTTTTTTTTTGAGACAGTCTCACTCAGGCTGGAGTGAAGTGGCATGATTACGGCTCACTGCAGCCTCGACCTCCCAGGCTGAAGCAATCCTCCCACCTGCTCAAGCAATTCTCCTGCCTCATCCTCCCAAGTAACTGAGACTACAGGTGCAGGTTACCACACACAGCTAATTTTTTTTTTGGTAGAGATGGGGCCTCACTATGTTGCCTAAGCTGGTCTTGACTCCTGGGCTCAGGCAATCCTCGACCTCAGCCTACCAAAGTGTTGGGACTACAGGTGTGAGCCACCACACCTGTCCTTGTATCCCACTTTTTAAGTGACCATAAATCATTTTGGATGCGTATATTCTATAATCTCAACTTGAGACCAAGTTCCTCTGAAACATGGAAATTTATTTTGTCATTTTTACTGTGCCATAGATCCTAGAACTATAAACCTCCTTAGATGTGGCTACTGCCTGAAAGGGCAAATGACAACACACCCTTTACTATGTCTCATTCATTGTTGTGTGCCACCCCCTTAATATACACAAGATACTTCAGACAATTTTCTCCATACCACTCACAAAACCCATGGCTGTTTGTTGTTTAAAAAAAGGTAGAGGAAGGTTCACCATGGCAAATGGTATGACTCTTGACCATCTATGATGTAACTGAAATGAGCACCAAGGCAGCTATTACTGTTCCTGAGGGGGATGTGTTCTTAGCTACCAGTACTGAAATAATACCGACAGTCAAAAACGGCTACTTCCATGGAGCAGTATTGTATTATTTTGTAATAAGCTGTCCCAAAAGTGCTGAGCATCATCACTGCTCTGAGTCAGCACATCTCCAAACTCAGGCATGCTCACTCCTGATCCAAGCCAGACAGTAAGAAGCAGTACTGTACACATATGTACATTCCCTTCCTAGCTCCTTCCTTTCCTAGACTTTTCTACAACTGTGTTTAGTCATAAATTCTCCTCCTTTATTCTTCCTTTGTTAATGGGTATGAAAATCCGCATTCTCAAGAGGCAAATTCTAGAATGATTCCAGGAATGTAACTACATAAATGAAAGGGGGAGAAGAAGACCACAGAACCTCTCTCCTTTCACTAACTTCTGTGTGCTAGAATATTCCATTTCCTACCTGATTTCATAAAACACATTTCCTCTTATAAGTGCTCTATAACAACATACTTTTACAGAACTTCACTACATTTATGAGATCCTTTCTGGACTTCTAAGATTTAAAACAAAACAAAACAGAAACCTTTGAAATCATTTCTTGTGATGATAAAGCCAGGGAGGCAGATAATTCAAGAGACTGATCTCTACCCAACTGAGAGGGATCAATAGCAGCTTTTTAAAAATTCTTTAGGCTCAGAATTATGAAACCAATGAATGCTAGAGCTAGGATGTACCTCAGCGATCATCTAGTCTAACTTCCTGCCTTTACCACTGAGGACACTAGACCCTGGAGAAACTGAGTGCCTGCCCCACAGTCATTGGAACAGCAAATGTATGGCAGCACTAGTTCTGGAATGCAAGTGTGCTGACTCCCAGTCCAAGGCTTTTCTGTATATTAAACAACTGTATACTGTATACAACTGAGGGGCATTTTTGTGCTCCCAGAGTATAGCCTTTAACAACTGGTAAAATCTGTTGAAAAAACAAAAAACCTCTTCCTCTTTTTAGGGAGTTAGAATTGATGCTACAATCAACTACAAACAGCAAGGTGGCATCCTGGGGAGAATGGGCACCATGAACAAGAATGAACCACTTCAAATACCACTATCCCCCACCCCACAAGCCTGCCCAAATCAGTCACATGTGAGGGACTCTCTGGGACCAACTCTGTCTCCTTTGGGAAACTGGGTGGATGCTGACATGGAGTAAAATGGAAACAGACAGCTCTGAAAAACAGCACTACAGAAAGCCTACCTTAATGTTTGACCAAGGTGGGCAGCCTCTCTTCCTTATGGGGATTTGAATTTCCAGCCCAAGAATGCCTAATCTTGGCCCTTTAAAGTTGTGGAAACAACTTCAGTTTCACCAGCTCATAAATATGTGGTTACTTTGCTTTTGGTGCCTCACTGTGGCAAAATGGAGGACTTACACCCTTTATTTGTACACCGTGACAGCTGACTAGATCCCACACCATACAAGAGTTAAAAGCAACAGAGATCCCTCTCAACCAACCTGTTTCCTCATCTGCAAATAGGGACTATAAGACTACTGACCTTGTAAGGGTTGTTTGAAAGGGTTAAAAGAAATAATACACATAACATTCACTTAGCAAGTGCCAAATATAATAAGGGCTCAATAAATAGAAACCACCATTGTTTCTGAAAGTAAATACTTAGGAAGAACCTAAGAGCAAAAACCAAATTCAGTAGAAAATATGAGGAGTTAGAGGCCAGGCGCGGTGGCTCACGCCTGTAATCCCTGCACTTTGGGAGGCCGAGGCGGGCGGATCACGAGGTCAGGAGATCGAGACCATCCTGGGTGACACAGTGAAACCCTGTCTCTACTAAAAATACAAAAACTTAGCCCGGCGTGGTGGTGGGCGCCTGTAGTCCCAGCTACTCGGGAGGCTGAGGCAGAAGAATGGCGTGAACCCGGAAGGCAGAAGTTGCAGTGAGCCGAGATCGCGCCACTGCACTCCAGCCTGGGTGAAAGAGCAACACTCCATCTCAAAAAACAAAAAACAAACAAACAAAAAAAATGAGGAGTTAGAATAGTTAAAATTCTACAGTCTGTAAGTAATTGGTGTTTATCGGCCAGCTGATTATAGTACTCCATAGTGACTATTTTTTCTGGCTCTGAAAATAATAGGGTCTTGTGTTATACATACTGATCTAAATGATTTAAAATGGAAAACTTTCAATATTTTTATGATACACGTTAAGACATATGGAGAGATGTCTTCAGGTATGACAAAACCAAAACTAGAAATCATGACCACAGGCATTTAACATTGATTAGATTAAGAAATTATAGCACATTATAGTACTCTGAGGTAATTGGAGAGACCTCTTCAGAGGTTGTAAAACCAAGAGTAGAAATTATGGCCATAGGTATTTAATGAAATATTAAATGGATTAATAATTATTGTAAGTGGTAATGGACAGTTACACAAAAACTTCCTAAAACAGGACACATTGTCTCTAGTATCATTCAAAGGCAGAAAGTGAATGGAGACTGTACTTTGGAGAAATACAGTTTTTGTTGTTTTAATAGGTGGAATATACCCATTTTTAAAGTAATGAAAATGTGGACAACAGAATAGAAATAAATCACAATCATATATCAATATTTTCTTTCCAACAATTCACACATTCCATCATCCAATAGGTATCTATGAAGCACCTAGTCTGTGCTAGGCACTGTTCTGGTACTTAGGAAACACAGTGAAAAAAAGACAACATTGAGCTTATATTCTAGCTCAGTGGCTTTCACACTTAGCCTTCATCAGAAACCCCCTGGAGGGCTGTGAAAACACACTGCTTGTTAAAACTTTCTGATTCAATAGGTCTGGGGTGGGGCCTGAGAATTTGCATTTCTAACAAGTTCCCAAATGATGCTGATGCAGCTGGTTCATGGACCACAATGAAACCACTGTCCTAGTGAAAGGAAGACAAACAATATACTGTAAATATCATAAATGTGGAAAGTGTCTAATATGTCAGAAAATAAGTACTCTGGAAAAAAAAAGGTAAGAATAGTTGTATACAGGGCTGGTATTCTTAATTTTCATTTAAATAAAATGGCTAGTAGCTCTATTATCAGGCAGTATTCTAAGGACTTTACATATATTAACTCATTTACTCCTCACAAAAACCCTGTGAAGTAGATACTATGATTTATCCCCATTTGGCAGGAAAAACTAATTGGGTTAAAGTAACCTGTCCAAGGTCACACTGCTACTAGAAGGTGAATTTAAACTCAGGCAATCTGGCTCTTGAATTCTTGCTGTTAAATATTATACTATATGGCCTCTCAATTCACATACTTCTTCATAATTTTTTTTTTTTTTTTTGAGACGGAGTCTTGCTCTGTCACCCAGGTTGGAGTGCAATGATGTGATGACAGCTCACTAAAACTTCAAACTGCTAGACTCAAGTGATCCTCCTGCCTCAGCCTCCTGAGCAGCTGGGATTACAAGTGAGCAGCACCACACTACTCAGCTTTTTTTTTTTTGTAGAGATAGGTCTCACCATGTTGCCAAGGCTGGTCTCCAACTCTTGGCCTCATGCAATCCTCCTGCCTCAGCCTCCCAAAATGTTGGGATTACAGGCACGAGCCACCACACCTGGCCCCCGTATGTTATTTTTAATGGCAGAAGAAGAAACATTTTGTAAGGCTATATTATGTCATGATCTCTGTTCTACAGGTACCTTTGATATTCTCATCCACAACCCAAACTCTGCTTCTCCTCTTATGTTTCTTACTTAAGTTCATCATTCACCCAGTTGACCAAGTGAAAAAATGCAGACACCCTGGAACCTTTCTCCCTCACTCCTCATATCCATTGAGGCTGGTTAATTTCTGCCTCAAAACCAACTCTTGGGCCGGGAACTGTAGCTCACCCCTGTAACCCCAGCACTTTAAGAGGCTGAGGTGGGTGGATCACTTAAGCCCAGGAATTCGAGAACAGCCTGGATAACATGGGAGACCCTTACTAAAAATACAAAAAATTAGCCAGGCCTGGTGCCATGCACCTGTGGTCCCAGCTACTCGGGAGGCTGAGGTGGGAGGATCACCTGAGCCCGGGAAGCCAAGGCTGCAGTGAGCAGTGATGGTGCCACTGCACTCCAGCCTGGATGACGGGAGACAGGAGTGAGAACCTGTGTCAAACAAATTCCCGTTAGCAAGGTGACTGCCCAAAAGGCTCTTAACACAGTCCCCTGTACCCAGATTCTTGTGCTCTCTCTTGTCCTGTCTAGCCATTAATGCCCTCCTTCTAAAAGAAAATCCACATCAATCAACTGCTTTACGTCCTTTACTGACTTTCCATATCAAGTCCAAATGTCTCAATGTGACACTGAGATCCCCTCACAATCTGGCTGTTTCACCTGCCCCTCTACTACTACTTTCCCACATACATTCTAAGCTCCAGAGTTGGGAGTATTCCATGTTTTACTCCTGTGTTGCCTCTTCGCATTTCCCATCTAGCAAACTCCCATTCAATCCCTTATATTCAGTTTGAAGTTTTTTGAAGCTTCCCCCTCTTCCCCATGCTCAAGTCCAGCCCTTTTTATGGTCTCAGAGAACTTTATTTTAGGATTAATCACACACTTGGTTGTAAGGTTTGTTACCTTTTTTTTTTTCTGAGATAGAGTCTCGCTCTGTCGCCTGCAATCTCTGCCCCCTGGGTTTAATCGATTCTCCTGCCTCAGCCTCCTGAGTAGCTGGGACTACAGGCACATGCCACCACACCCAGCTAATTTTTGTATTTTGAGTAGAGATGGGGTTTCACCATGTTGACCAGGATGGTCTCCATCCGTGACCTTGTGATCCGCCCGCCTAGGCCTCCCAAAGTGATGGGACTACCAGCATGAGCCACCGTGCCCGGCCGTTTGTTTCTTTTTAAGGTAAGAACTCTGGAAGTCCTCAGAGCCTAGACAGTGGCTGATACATAATAATTCTCAGTGTTTATTGAAAAATGACTGAATTCAATTACAGAGCATAAGCTACATGCAAGGACTGTATTATGTACATTATGCTGTGCCTAATAATTCATGATGGGCATTAAAGCTCTGAAAACTTTATGATGTGGTCTCTGAACTAGAAAAAGAGGATTCAGAGATGAGGCACCATGTGTTTGCTTAGATAAATTCAATTTATTCAACAAACATTTATTGAGCAGTGTGAATGAGGTAGTGAATAAGAGGTAAAGTTGTTGGACTTATTATAATTCTAGGGATATGTATATATTTTCTTTACTTATCCATTAAACAACTATGTCTGTTACCAGCAACTTAGAGTATTTTGTGGTTGGGCGCAGTGGCTCACACCTGTAATCCTAGCACTTTGGGAGGCCGTGGCGGGCAGATCACTTGAGGTCAGGAGTTTGAGACCAGCCTGGCCAACATGGTGAAACCCCGTGTCTACTAAAAATACAAAAATTGGCTAGGTGTGGTAGCATGCGCCTGTAATCCCAGCTACTCGGAAGGCTGAGGCATGAGAATCACTTGAACCCAGGAGGTGGAGGTTGCAGTGAGCTGAGATTGTACCACTGCACTCCAGCCTGGGCGACAGAGCAAGACTCTATCTCAAAAAAACAAAAAAAAGAAAGAAAAAAGAAAAGAAATTCACATATTTCTGATTGTCCTCTTTGCAGGATGGAGAAAAAGGCTGGGTAGACAACAAAGGTGAATGTAACTATCTTAGCTTTATGTTGCTATAACAGAATAGCTGAGTCTGGGTAATTTATAAAGAAAATAAATGTATTTCTCAGAGTTCTGGAGGCTGGGAAGCCCAAGGCTGAGAGGGCTGATTCTTTCAAGGGCCTTCTTGCTACCCATGGGTCACCCCATGGCAGAAGATGGAAGGGCAACAGATCAAGAGAGCAGGCAAGCAAGAGAGGGCTGAACTAACCCACTCTCTCAACAACCAAGCCACTCTCAGGATAACAATCTAATCTCTGAGGATGGAGCCCTCATGGTCTAATCATTTCTTATGGGTCCCACCTCTTAATGCGATTAAAATAGCAAATAAATGTCAACATAAGTTTTAGAGGGGGACATTCAAACCATAGTAATAATGAATTCAATTTTCTATTTTTCAAAGCAATGTTCTTTTGCATTATTTAGACTTATAGAAATGGGCATTGCAAAAATTAATTCAGTGCCAGGTTGAAAATGCAGTCTACATTTTTTTTTTTTTTTGGGAGAGTCTTGCTCTGTGGTCCAGGCTAGAGTGCAGTGGTGCGATCTTGGCTCACTGCAACCTCCAGCTCCAGGGCCCAAGTGATCCTCCCACCTCAGCCTCCCCAGGAGCTGGGACTACAGGCATGCACCACCATGCCTGGCTAATTTTTTTATTTTTTGTAGAGATGAGGTTTCACCATGTTGCCCAGGCTGGTCTCAAAATCGTTCAACACAGCAATACTCCTGCCTCAGCTTCCCCAAGTGCTGGGATTACAGGTGTGAGCCACCATGCCTGGCCTGCAGTCTACTTTTTTTTCTTTTCTTTTCTTTTTTTTTTTTTTTTGATACAGAGTCTTGATCTGTTGCCCAGGCTGGAGTTCAGTGGCATGATCTCGGCTCACTGCAACCTCCGCCTCCTGGGTTCAAGCAATTCTGCCTCAGCCTCCTGAGTAGCTGGGACTACAGGCAACTGACACCATGCCCGGCTAATTTTTGTATTTTTAGTAGAGATGGGGTTTCACCATATTGGCCAGGCTGGTCTTGAACTCCTGACCTCAAGTGATCCGCCCGCCTCGGCTTCCCCAAGTGCTGGAATTACAGGTGTGAGCCACCGTACCCTGCCTGCAGTCTACTTTTCAATCACATAAATCAGATCCCACAATGCTTCTGCACAGTATCTTTTAACTGCATCCCATCATATTTAGAAAAAGGCACAAGTCTTTCACCATGGTCCACAAGGCCCTACATGATCTGGCCCTGCTTATCGCTCTCCTTTGCTCACTCCATCCCAAACACATGGAACTTCCTGCTCTTCGCTGAACACACCAAGCTCATTTCTGCTTAAAGGCATTTGCAGTGCTATTCCCTCCTTCTGACACTCACTTCTCCCTGATTTCTGGTTTACTCCCTCACTTCATTTAAGTCTCTGTTCAAACGCCATCTCCTCAGAGAGGACTTTCACAACCGCCCTATTTAAAACTGAAGTCCCAAAGAAGGCGGATCACTTGAGGTCAGGAGTTAGAGATCAGCCTGGCCAACATGGCAAAACCCTGTCTCTACTAAAAATACAAAAATAATTAGCTAGGGGTGGTGGCGCAACTGTAATCCCTATTACTCCAGAGGCTGAGGCAGGAGAATTGCTTCAATCTGGGAAGTGGAGGTTGCAGTGAGCCGAGATCGTGCCACTGCACTCCAGCCTGGGTGACAGAGTGAGACCCTGTCTCAAAAAAAAAAATGATAAATAATAAAATAAAACTGAAGTCCCATCCCCTATTCTTTTACTCTGATTTACTTTCCTGTATTCTTTAACACTGCCTCTTAATAGTTATATATTGTTTATCACCTACCCACTAGAATGGGGATGTTCGTATCTTTTTCACTGTAATTTGCAATATTCACCAGCACCTAGAACGGTGCCTCACAATTCACCAGCACCTAGCACACAGCAGCCTCACAATAAATATATATTAAATACATGAATTTCATTCTCACCAGTCATTCAATTCCTATGACCTTGAGTAATTCGTTGAGCAAACACCCAAGCTCTGACTCTTAAATAAAAGCAATAAAACAAAGTTTTGTCCTTGCCATCAAATTCTATATATCCGGAGGCCAAGAACTATAGCAGCTTTTCCTATGGATTTAGGGCCGGAAAACTCTAGCTCCTCCAGACAGAACTTGTAGCAACCTGAATCATGAAATTAAGGGGTAGTAAACAGTCTCAGCTGTAAAAACGTTCAAAACAAGACCACATCTAAATGCCACAATCAGGTTTTAAAGGCCAGCTCTCTACCCTCCAATAACTGGTATTTACCAACACCCCCAAATTATGACTCCTTTGGGTTTTTAACCCTTTTTCTGTGCTACGGATCCTCTGTCAGTCTGGTGAAAACTAGACCTGTCTTGAGACTAGTGCTTTTAAATGCATAAAACAAACAAAAACAGCTATGAAAGAAACCCACTCTACATTACAGGACCGCAGATGCAAAAGCCCCTCTGCTCTATTTGCCACAGTGAAAAAAGATGAGAAAATGTGGAAGGCCATAGAAGGATCCCAGGGAACTGAATCCCGAGGTCCAATTTACTCTCAGTGGCAGCAGGGAGACCTGGGGCTGGGACAAGCCAGCCCTAGGGGGCGTGTCTGAGGACGCGGAGGGAGGAGACGCGGGCCCGGGTCTGGGAGGAAGGTGGGAGAATCTTCCTTCCAAAGCGCGCAGGGCTGCGCTCCCCACGGCGTGGCCCACCCCCGCCTCACCGGTCCCCGCCGTCCCCAGCAGCCGCTCGGGCACCCCTTGTAGGTCTTCATGGAGGCCGCGGAAGATCTCGTGCAGCTTCTCGAAATGCTCCGAGGAGGCGGCGGAGGAGGCCATGGCGCAGGCCGCGCTGGAGCAGCGGCCACCGAGATTCGGGGCCCTGGGCCCTTTCCTAGCCCGGCGGTCAGCCGCCCAGCCCAGTGGCCATAACGGCGACCGCCGCACCACCGCCGCCCAGGACGAGGCTCTTCCGGAGCCGCGGCAGGGTCCTCTCGAGCCGGAACGCCCACCTTCTCCAGCCAGTGATTGCTGGAGCGCCGGCGCGAAAGCCTGACGAGAAGTCGGGAGACTGCGCGGCCTAGGCGACTCCTGAGGGAGCGGTGCCGCGCCGGGGCGATCGGCAGTCGCGGAACCCGAGAAGTGCCGGGTCCGGGTTGGGGAAAGGCCGCAGCGAAAGGGGCCTAGGGGACCTGCGGGACTGGCAGCGCGGCCGCCTTCCTCCCGGGCCCCGCCGGCCGGCGAGGGGCGGGCGCTGCAGTGCACGCCGGGGGATGTAGTTTGGCTCGGACGAGAGCGTCTCGTCCCGGGGTCGCGCGTTGCTCCGGGTGCCAGGTTCAGCCCGCGCGGCGACAGCGGGCTTCGGCCCGATTTGATGTATGTTTGCGTCTAGACGTCGTCCTCACTGTCATCGCGCTTTGCTTTGCCACCCTGACCCGAATTCCTCGTTTCGCGTCTTGACTGTTAGCTTTCGGCCCTGGAAAGATAGCCGGGCCAGGGGCTCTGCCTGCCGTCGGGAGGTGGAGCACTTTTCTTGGAAGGCCCAGCGGCTCCCCAAGCTTTCAGAAGTGGAACCCGGCCGGGCGAGTGGCTCGCGCCTGTAATCCCAGTACTTTGGGAGGCCGAGGTGGGAGGATTGCTTGAACCCAGTAGTTCGAGACCAGCCTGGGCACAATAGCGAGAGCTCTACCAGAAACCCAAAATAAGAACCGGGCATGGTGGCGCGCACTTTTGGCCCCAGCTACCCCCGGAGGCTGAGGTCCCACCACTGCACTCCAGCTTTGGGAGACCTTGCTCCCAAGTGGAGCGAGATCTTGTCTCCAAAAAAACAAAAAACCCAAAAACCAAAAATTCAAAAGTGGAACCCAGTTAGGATGACCTCGAAATACTCTAGCTGCTAGGCCCGAGTAATTCTCCTCGTGGAGACTAATTCTCCTCCTAGGCTGCCTCGTGCACTTGTTGACAACAGGTGTTTGTCAAGCGTAGGCATTGCGAGGGATCTGGGCATGTTGGTGAATAAAACATTTAATCTCTGCTCCAGGGGAATTTATAATCTGGTGTGGAAGGTGGGCCTGGCTTCATTAGGTCTCATCTGCCACTAAGTGTCACGTGTTAAAAATTACAAGGTCCCTTCTTGCACTCCATGGGTATAAATTCCTGTCTTCACGTCGGGCATGGTGGCTCACGCGTCATCCCAGCACTTTGGGAGGCCGAGGCGGGCGGATCACTTCAGGTCAAGAGTTCAAGACCAGCCTGGCCAACATGGTGAAACCCCCGTCTCTGCTAAAAACACAAAAATTAGCCAAGCGTGGTGGTGGGCGCCTGTAACCCCAGCTACTCGGGAGGCTGAGGCAGGAGAATCGCCTGAACCCGGGAGGCAGTGGTTGCAGTGAGCTGAGATCGTGCCACCACACTCCAGCCTGGGTGACAGAGAAGACCCTATCTCAAAAAATTAAAATAAATTATTATTTTCACCGATTTCACGGTTTGCTCAAGGTGTCTGTTCTCAAATGTTTGCTTGGGAGTTCAATTTTAAACTGCCTACAAATATTAAAAGATGTATGACTGCTCAGGAGAAAATGCTTTGCTAATTTGTATCTCCTGGGCCCTCATTTTTATTAGATCAAGTTCATTGGCTGTTGATTCAACACACTTTGGTTAAGCTCTTAATATGCACTGAGCATAGACATGACCAAGTCTGAGGATAGTCAGTATACTGTGTAAGTCCCACAGCACAATGCTGGGACTTGTCACAGTACAGAAATAAGGGGCAGGTGCAAAAAAAGGATCAATAGCCTGGGGCCGGGTGCTGCGGCTCACACCTGTACCCCAGCACTTTGGGAGGCCAAGGTGGGAGGATCGCTTGAGCCCAGAGTTTGAGGCCAGCCTGGGCAACAAAGCAAGACGCTGTCTCTAATTAAAAAGAAAGGAAAAAAAAATGGCCCGGGATGATCAAGAAATGTGGAAAAAGTGTCTGTGAAGAGTGTCAAAAAAGGTTAAGTAGGAAATGGTGAATGAACAATTAGATTATCACACAACCTAAATTAATAGCATGTGGATTGAGATTACACTGTAGCTAGACTCTGGAACAAATTATTCTTTAGAATGAGAAATCATTGCACAACCATAATAATGAACAGTGTTTTCTTCTTTTGACTGTAATCAAACTTTTAATTCTTAGTTTTTATTCTGGTAAATGAAAACAAAAAATAATCAAAAAGAATTTTTATTTGTCATTGACAGTTCAATATAAATTAAGTAAAACATTAATTCATTTATTCTGCACTATTATCAGAATTTTTCTAATTTTTCCGTAAAATGACCATTTCTAAACATATAGCTTAATGGTCAAAACAAGTGCAATAAAAGATTAATTTACAAGTATCAGAAGTGAAGACTGTGGTCCTATAACTCTTTCCCCCACCAAAGTTAAAATATAATTGTCATTCCAGGAAATCAAAATCTTTTAGAATAGCACACTCCAAACAAGTGATGGGAACACTACTAATTCCTTAGACTTCCTTTGGCAGCATTACTTTTGATAAGAAGTCTCCAAATAAAATACAAAATTTTGGCACAGACATTTTAATCTTGTCAAGACAATGTAAGGAAATGCCCCAAAATATTATTAAATTGACCATAATTACCAATATCAGTCCCTAAGATAATTTTTCTGAATGAAGAATTGTTTTTTTTGTTTGTTTGTTTTTAGGATTTTTTTTTTTTTTTTTTTTTTTTTTTTTGCCACACTGGTTTTTGTTAAGACCTCATCAGTCCTGGGTGCTTGCCCTCAATTCCTCCATAGCTATGTTAGCATATTTAATATCTTTTGCTATTAATCCTTAACTAGTTAATCCTTAAAGGGCTAGTTAATCCTTAACTAGTCCCTTCATTTTGTGCATTATCTTCCAGTATTCTCCTTCTCTTTTTTTACTTCTTCCCTGCTACCCATGTGCTCTTGGTGGGTAGTTACCAACATATACAGAATCTGCTTCCCTTTGCAGCATTTCATTTGCATAAAGACTGGATGGCACTGGTTTGCTCCATCTCTGATTATTGTGGCTGTTTTGAACTTTGTGAAAATACTCCCTTGGCACACATAAACAGGAAGACACACAAAGATATACACAATTTTTAGTAGAGGTGGGGTTTCACCATGTTGGCCAGGCTGGTCTTGAACTACTGACCTCCGGTGATCCACCATGCCTGGGCAAGCCCTGCTCCTGAGCCAGTCTTTGTTATTCATGTTAAGCTGAGGTTGCAGTGTGGCCCTCTTGAAGTGAAGACTGGTTGGTTGGGAGGAACTGAATTGTGAACAAAGAAGCTAGTTCAAATTTGCATAAATCATCCCTGCTATAGCTTAGATTCTCCTAGGTAGTAGTTTCTTTCAGAAGGAAAATGAGCTGTGCAGGTCATATGAGGGTCTTCTTATCCTATTATGATATCTCTAGTAACTCTGGCAGTAACAGAAGCAAAGTAAATCTGGACATGACAGACATTTAGACGAATCTGGCAGTACACTGAGTTTTAACTGGACACCAAGCAGGCAAGGCTGGAAGGTTTTGCTCTCTTTGTGCTAAAGGTTTTGAAAACCTTGAAGGAGAATCATTTTGACAAGAAGTACTGTGTAGTCTGCTGCAGTCTTCTCTTGGGTCCAACTGGCACTGCCTGTTAGTCTATTGGGAGGCCCAGCAGGTCACAACTGACGTCCCACAGCCGCCTTGCTATAGTCTCATTACGAGCTTGGGCAGAGACCCATGCCACATGACAGTCACTGGAAGGTAAAGAGAAAGGTATGAAGCACAGTGTTAAGAATGAAGTCTGCCATCTGCCAGGGATAAGGAATATGACATAAAAACAACTAGGGATCACATGTTCTCCATGTACTTCACAGGGCCAGTGTTTGTCCTTATCTCTTCATTCTCCAGTCCTTAGCCAGAGAAAATGTAATTACCATTTTAGATCTCCTCGCTAGACCACCTCTCATCAGAATGCTTTGTTTGATATATAATGCATACATTTGGTCTTTATATTCCCCTATTTATATAATTTAATATTAGTGCCTGCCTGACACCCATGTATATCCATCTTCTTCAAGTAAGTCCATAAGGCCCATTCTACAGAGCCTTGGACAATGTCATATAGCTGAGATCCTGCTATTCACATTGGTCAGAGATGCCTGGAGTAGTAAAAAAAAAAAAGAAATGCTTATTTCTGGACTCCTTGAAGTTATACTGTTAGTAAACTCATATGAGAAGTAAAGCCAGCTTCGAAAACAACAAAAGGAAAAGGCGACACAGAAAAGAAATGGTAAAACCAAGGTACGAGGTGTCTTGGTCCATTTTGTGGTACTGTAACAGAATACGACAAACTGGGTAACTATAATGAGCATACAGAAACTGGCTTATGATTATGGAAGCTGAGAAGTCCAAGATCAAGGGGCTGGCATCTGATGAAGGCCTTCTTGCTGTGTAATAACAAGATGGAAGGCATGACATGGGCAAGAGAGGGAAGGGGACACAAGTCATCCTTTAATAAGGAACCACTCCCAAGATAATGAACCCGTTCCAGAGATAATGGCATTAAACCATTCATGAGGGCTGCCCTTGTGACCTAATTTACCTCTTAAAGGCCCTGCCTCTCTATACTGTTGTATTGAGGCTTAAGTTTCCAACATATGAACCTTGAGGGACACATTCAAATCATAGCAAAGTGTTTCATATACCCTCTCTTCATTGCTGTAATTAATTCCAAGTTTTTTTTTTTTTTTTGGAGGCGGAGTCTCACTCTGTCGCCCAGGCTGGAGTGCAGTGATGCGATCTCAGCTCACTGCAACCTCCGCCTCCCAGGTTTGAGCAATTCTCCTGCCTCAGCCTCCAGAGTAGCTGGGATTATAGGCGCCTGCCACCATGACTGGCTAATTTTTGTATTTTTAGTAGAGACAGGGTTTTGCCATGTTGGCCAGGCTGGTCTCGAACTCCTGACCTCAAGTGATCCACCTGCCTCGGCCTCCCAAAGTGCTGGGATTACAGGCATGAGCCACTGCACCCAGCCTGTAATTCCAAGTTTTATAATTTTATAATTCCGATGCAGAAAATTTTCTTAAGGACAATTCTGACTCATTTTTGTATTCTCTGGATCTGGTATACATCTGGTAAGCATTCAGTCAAAGTTTTAAAAAAAATGATTGAATGTATTACAATCTTTAGTCATGTGAGGAAACAATTTTTAAAAGTATACTATTTCAAGAAAATTGCTTCCTCAGTATCTAAGCAAATTCTGAAGGTGAAAGAGTTGACAAGTCTGAATTAACTATATATGCAAACTCTTAACACTATGTCAAGTAAGACAGTGGGATTCAAAGTGTGCACCACAAACCAGCAGCAGGAGCATCAACTGGGAGCTTGTTAGAAATTCTCCAGCCCTACTCCAGACATACTGAATGAGAATCTCTAGGGTTGTGGTCCAGGAATCTATTTTCAACTAGTTTTCCAGATGACTCTTGAACACACTAAAGTTTGAGAAATACCATTTCAAAATATCGTCACGTTTACAAAACAAGTCTTATCAGTACTTCTGTTTAAGAAGACTCACCAGTATGACCAGTACAACTTGCCATTTCCTAGTGAAAAGATCATCAGTGAGAACCACAAGGCTCTGTATCTCTCTGGAAATGACTCAGCCTTTGTAAGCCTCTGCATCCTCCACTGCACTGTGCCTTATACTCTTCATAAGGTTACAGTTAAGAGCAAAGAACACAGTTGACATGAAGGTTCCTTGTAGGCTATAAAAACTAATCAAATACTACAGCAAGAGCTTTCTGGTTGTTTTTTTTAGACAGGGTCTCACTGTTGCCCAGGCTGGAGTGCAGTGGTGTGATCGCAGCTCACTACAACCTCCCCAGGCTCAGGTGATCCTCCTATCTCAGCCTCCCAAGTAGCCAGGACCACAGGGACACGCCACCACGCCTGGCTAATTTTTGCATTTTTTATAGAGATGGGGTCTCATTATGTTGCCTAGGCTGGTCTTGAACTCCTGGGCTCAAGTAGTTTGCCCACCTCAGCCTCCCAAAGTGCAGGGATTACAGGCGTGAGCCGCCGCGCCCAGCCAAGTAAGAGCTAGTTAAGTGTGCCTATGGCATCAGCATGGTCACAGTATTGACATTTCCAGGGGGATTTTGCTAAGAATTAGTATAGGTAAAAGATAAACTAATTTCAAAACTTACTACAATGCTATAGTAATCAAGATAGTGTGATACTGGCATAAGGACAGACATACAAATGAACGGAACAGAAAAGTGAAACATAAACCCTTATATTTATGGTCAATTGATTTTTGACAAGCTTACTGTTATACTCCAATTGTGTTCCCCCAAAATTAATATGTTGAATCCCTAACCCCCAGTGTGACTGTATTTAGAGAGAGGGCCTTTAAGGAGGTAACTAAGGTTAAATGAGGTCATCAGGGCGGGGCCCTAATCCAACAGGGCCTTATAAAAAGAGGAAGAGACACCAGGAGTGTGTGTACATAGAGGAAAGGCCATGCGAGGGCTCAGAGAGAAGGCATCCATTTGGAAGTCAGGAAGGCAGGCCTCACCAGAGACCAACCAGGCCAGCACCTTGATCTTGGACTTTCAGTCTCCAGAAGTGTGAGAAAATAAATTTATATTGTTTAAGCCACCCAGTCTGTGGGATTCTGCTATGGCAGCCTTAACAGACTAATACAGATACCAAGACAATTCAATGGGTAGAAAACTGTCTTTTCAACAAATGGTGCTAAGGCACTGGATATCCACATGCAAAAGAATGAAGGTTGACCCCTACCTCATATCATATACAAAAATTAGTTCAAGGCCGGGTGTGGTGGCTCATGCCTATAATCCCAGCACTTTGGGAGGCCGAGGAGGGGGATCACTTGAAGTCAGGAGTTGGAGACCAGCCTGACCTACGTGGCAAAACCCCATCTCTACTAAAAATACAAAAATTAGCCAGGCATGGTGGTGTGCACCTGTAGTCCCAGCTACTCGGGAGGCTGAGACAGGAGAATTGCTTGAACCCAGGAGGCGGAGGTTGCAGTGAGCAGCCTGGGTCACAGAGCAAGATTCCGTCTCAAAAAAATAATAATTATAAAATAAAATAAAAATAGTTCAAAACAGATCACAGACCTATGTAATGCTACAACTATAAGACTATTAGAAGAAAACATAGGGGTTGCTATAGTTTGAATGTATCCCTTAAAAAATCACATGTTGGAAACTTAGTCCCTCTGCCTTCATGAACAGATTAATTAATAAAAGCTTTGCCCTCATACCTGGATTAATGTCACTATCATGGGAGTGGGTTTGTTCTTGCTTGCCCTCTCACCATGTGATGCCCTCTGCCATATTATGACACAGCAAGAAGGCCCTAACCAAATGCCAGGCACCATGTTCTTAGACTTCTCAGCCTCCGGAACCATGAGCTAAGTAAATTTCTTTAGAAATTACCCAGTCTGTGGTATTCTGTTTAGTAACAGAAAACTGTCTTTACTAAAGACAGTAGTAAATCTTTGTGACCTTGGGTAAGGCAATGATTTCTTAGATATGACTGCACAAGTGACAAAAAATAGATAAACTGGACTTCATCAAAATTTAAGTTTTACATTTCAAAAGATACCATTAAGAAAGTTAAAAGACAACCCACAGAATGAGAGAATATTTGCAAATTATATATCTGACAAGGAACTCGCATCTAGACTATTAAGAACTCTTGTAACTCAACAATAAAAAGACAATTATCCAACTTAAAAATGGGCAAAGGACTTGATAGACATTTCCCCAACAAAGAAACAAATGAACCAAAAAGCGCATGAAAGAATGTTCAACATCATTAGTAGGAAAATGAAATGAAAATAAAAACAAGATATTCCTTCATACTCACTAGGATGGCTAAACTCAAAAGGAGAGACAATAACAAGTGTTGCTGAGGATGTGAAGAAATTAGAATACTCATAGACTGCTGGTGGGAATGTAAAATGGGGCAGTCATTTTGGAAAAGTTTGGCAGTTCCTCAGCAGTTAAACACAGTTACCATATAACCCAGAAATTCCACTTCCATGTACCCAAGAGAAATGTCCACACAAAAATTTCTACACAAATGGTCACAGCAGTATTATTCAAATAGCTAAAAAGTGCAAACCCAAATGCCCATCACCTGATGAATGAATAAATAAGATGTGGCAAATCTATACAATGAAATGTTATCCAGCAATAAAAAGAAATGAAGTACTGACACATGCTTTAGCATGGATGACCCTTGATAACATTAAGCTGAGTAAAAGAAGTCAGTCACAAAAGGCCACATACCATATGATTCCATTTATATGAAATGTCCAGTAAAGGCAAATTCTTAGAGACATAAAGCAGACTAGTGGTTGCAGGCAGAAAGAAGAGCCAGTGCAAAAATCTTAAGGCTTCAATCAAAAGACTTTTATGTTCATTTCTTGATGGTGGTCTACACGGCTGCTGTTGGATCTTCAAAATGAATTAAGAATCCATAGCACAGGAAAGGCTCTTCAAAAGTCAATCCAATAGTAAGTTATGGATTTAGAGCTGACTTTCTTTAAACCACTCAGTCAAAACCAAGATAAAGGGTTATTTTTTTTTTTCTTAAAATCTCTAGGGAAGAAGAATCCAGTCACTCTTGGAAAATCAATCCAGTATACTATATAAATCTATCTTCTTATACTTCAGAACCACATTTCCAACTATCTGCTATACATTTCTACTTGCATGCCTTATAGATAACACACATGCAACATGTACAGAGCCAGGTTTGTTACACAGTGGACAACTGTTACTCTTTGGCTGAACATTCTACTTTGTTTCGGCAATAGCAACCTGATTTCCTTCTGCAGAATCACCTTTTCCCCTCAATATAGTTTGAAGAGAGCATTAATAAAGTCCCTGTTTGCCTCTAATCAAAAGAGTAAAAATGAAGGGATAGGAGGAAGGAGATCCAATGCTTCCTCCCTAGAGAATGGATGATAAGCAATACAACCTAAACACTAAAGATAGCTGGCATTCGCTCACTCTAGCAGCAATGCCCCGGCTGGCTGACTGCCACTCTGACACTTCTTAGCCTGGCTCTTCAGTCTTCCCTTTCAACCTAGGGGTCCCTCCTCTCCCTACTAATATTTTAATAAATTTCCTTCTTGCTTAAGCTAGACAAAGTCCCTTTCAACTGCTTTGGAATCCAAGAACCCTAAGTTCCACACATTACTTTTCCATGTCTGCTGTCTTAGTTAATGTCATCATCAACCTCATTCAGGCTTGAAATTCAGGTTAGCAAAGCCTCCCTCATCCCCTCATTTAATTAATCATCCAGTGATAAAAATTCTGCTGCTTCAGGGCCTCTTTCACATTACCATTCCTTTCATTACAACTTTCTGAAACTCTCTCTCTCACTAGGTTAATTATTCATTCATGAAACAAAGTTGCTAAAGCACAGACCAGATTTTGTCTGTCTACTGAAACAACTCTGGGGCTCCTCCACAAGGCTGGCATTATAGGCCTCTCATAATCTGTCTGCCTTTCTTTCCAATCTTAATGCTATTTTCAGCTACTTCCTTAAAATTTCAGGTCATTTCAACAATAACCTGAAGTAGAGGTAAAAACATGTTAAAATTTTGATCTTATGTGATGCCTGGGATTTGCTTCAAAATAATATGGGAGAAGAAAAATATGGAAAGGGGTAGAGAATGGGGATAGGGCAGAATTGGCCATGGGTTAATGGTAGCTGAGGCTCCATTATATGCAGGCTCAGTGCACTATTTTATCTAACCCTGTGTTATATTCAAAATTCTCTACATTTAAATCATTTTAAATGTCTTCGCTTATTTGAGAGGGGAGTCCATAGTATTTCAATCCTGAGGACAATAGAGAAATGCAGATTCAAATTCTTTTTTTTTTTTTTTGAGGCGGAGTTTCACCTGACCTTAGGTGATCTGCCCACCTTGGCCTCCCAAAGTGCTGAGATTACAGGCGTAAGCCACTGCGCCTGGCCTCAAATTCTTTTTAAATTCTTTTTAATGTAAAACAATAGAATTAGGAATCCAAAAAAGAATAAAGAAAACTGGACTGACATAACAAAGACAGGAAGAAAACAAACAGAATGCATAATTATCAGTATAAAAGATGGCATAAAATCAAATGTAGCAGTTATTACAAAAGAGAGTCAAATTCCCCTACTAAAAGGTAAAAACTCTAGAGTTAAAAGACAAAAGCTATATGAGACAATGTACTTTTAAAAAAGGGTATACCCAGACAAACCCAAATTATCTCCTTTGAGCAATAAATCTCATCTGCAAAAAGAGATAACATTCATACCTGAAATGATTCCCACTTAGAATCTCAAGACCTTCTGTTAAGGCACAGTGCAGGCTGGTCTGGGCTCCCTGCTGAGGAGTCTTGATGAAAAAGGAGAAAAGCCACCACATCCATCTCATGAAAGATGAGTGCCGAACCAGTTCAGATTGGACTGTGCCAGGGTGTACAGAATACGTCGTAACGCCAGAGCCTGGTTGGGGGTGGCATGAAGAGAGGGTAAGACAGGACTTGATTTTGCAGAATAGCCCAAAACAGAAAAGGATGTAAATAAGCATGTGACCTTCACATATGGACTCTTTTGCCCATGGTGACATCAGAAGTACTGCTCACAGTAATTTATACTTCCATCTCACAGATCTAAGAAGGCTCTAGAGTAGACAGTGCTAAGGACCTCTGTGTATTTCTGACTGGAAACTCAAGTCAGGAATCAGCAGAGCCAAGACTCATCCTCTCAGCAGCACTTAACATCGTTGACCACCCCCTTCTTTTTTAGAGATGGGGTCTCCCTATGTTGACCAGGCTGGTCTTGAACTCCTGGCATCAAACAATCTTCCCACCTTGGCCTCCCAAAGTATTAGGATTACAGGCATGAGCCACCACACCCACCCCATCCCCTTCATTTTTTTGAGACAGGCTTGCTGTGTTGCCCAGGCTGGAGTGCAGTGGCATGATCTTCCTTCTGCCACTGCCTTCCAGGTTCAAGCGATTCTCCTGCCTCAGCCTCCCAAGTAGCTGGGACTACAGGGGTGCGCCACCACACCAGGCTAATTTTTGTATTTTTAGTGGAGACGGGATTTCATCATGTTGGCCAGACTGGTCTTGAACTCCTGACTTCAAGTGATCTGCCCACCTCGGCCTCCCAAAGTGCTGGGATTACAGGCGCCCATCCCCTTCTTAAAGTCTTCTTTTTCACTGGCTTCCATAAGCCTATGCCACTTCTGGTTTTCCTAACCTTTCTGGCTGCTCTGTCTCAGTTTTCTGGACCAGTTCATCATCTTCTACACAAACATTAAATGTTGGAGTTCTCGTGGCTCACCAGACTCCCTCTCCATAATTCTATGGTGCTCACATTTTGTCCACAGTCCAAACTGCTCCTCTGAACTGCAGACACACTGGGAGTCAACACAATGTGGTGGTTATGGGCATGGATTTTGTAGACAGACTGCCCAGTTTCAAATCCTGGCTCCACTCATTAGCTGTGTAACCTTGGGCAAGTTCCCTTTTGTGACTCATTTCTTCATCTCTAAAATGGGAATAATCATAATACTTACAACCTCACAGGGTAGTTATGAGGATTAAATGAGTTCATATATGTTAAAGGTCTTAAAAGAGTGCCTGATGCAGCTGGGCGTGGTGGCTCACACCTATAAGCCTAGCATTTTGGGAGGCCAAGGCAGGTGGACTGCCTGAGCTCAGGAGTTATAGACCAGCCTGGGCAACACAGTGAAACCCCGTCTCTACTAAAATAGAAAAAATTGGCCGGGCATGGTGGCGTGCACCTGTAATCCCAGCTACTTGGGAGGCTGAGGCAGGAGAATGACTTGAACCAGGGAGACAGAGGTTGTAGTGAGCCGATATCGTGCCACTGCACTCCAGCCTGGGCGACAGAGTGAGACACCGGTGCAAAAAAAAAAAAAAAAAAAAAGTGCCTGATGCATGGTAAGTGCTAAATGATACTTTTGCACATGCTATTTCAGGCCCCCAATCCTTTATGGAAAACGCTGGGGCCAGACATACTTCAATTTTTTTCTCTGATTGTAGAAAGGTAATATGAAATGTATACATACACTGCCTATTAATCTAATCTCCCTAGTACAGGAAATGTTTTGCTGCCAAATGAGTTTTGGTGTAAAGCTTTGAAGAAACAGAATTTTTCTGGTCTTTGTGGACTGACAGCTGCAGACACAGCTGTATTATTCCCAACTGCCTACTCGACATCTCCCTAGATGACCCATAGTAATGCAGACTCAGAGGTCCCAAATTGATTTCTACTTTTAAAGCCAAACCTGGTTCTTGCAGTGTTCCCGACATGCCCAATCAGGCAAAAGGGTTCTGATGAATGCCCACCTAAAGCATGCATCTCCAGTCAACAAGCTTTCCCAAACCAAATCTCTCTCAGAAGTTTCTACTACCCTCCAATTCCACCACCTAGTCCAAACTACCCTCATTTCTCACCTCTGCTGATGAAATCAACTGCTGCAACCCCTCTTGCCCCCATTTTGAAAAGGCTTTAATTTTAACCGTTTCCCATTGCTCTTAGAATAAACACTAAAATCCTTACTGTGGCCTCTAAGGGTTTGGCATCTACCTACCTCACCAGTCTCAGCTCAGATCTTTATTACTCTTGCTTTCTACAACCTACCAATGGTAACCTTCGCTGTTTCTCAAACTGAGCCCGGACCTTTGTACATTCTCCTCCTTCTGCCTGGAATGTTTCTCAGCCTCCATATTCCTTTTTTTTTTTTTTTTTTTTGAGATGGAGTTTCACTCTTGTTTGCCCAGGCTGGGGTGCAATGGTATGATCTCAGCTCACCACAACCTCTGCCTCCCAGGTTCAAGCAATTCTCCTGCCTCAGCCTCCTGAGCAGCTGGGACTACAGGCACACGCCAACATGCCCGGCTAATTTTGTATTTTTAGTAGAGATGGGGTTTCTCCATGTTGGTCAGGCTGGTCTTGAACTCCTGACCTCAGGTGATCTACCCACCTCAGCCTCCCAAATTGCTGGGATTACAAGCATGAGCCACCACGTCCGGCCCTTTTTTTTTTTCATTTTTTCAGACAGAGTTTTACTCGTGACGCCCAGGCTGGAGTGCAATGGCATGATCTTGGCTCACTGCAAACTCTGTCCCAGGTTCAGGCGATTCTCCTGCCTCAGCCTCTCCAGTAGCTAGGATTACAGGCGCCCGCCACCACACCTGGCTAATTTTTGTATTTTTAGTAGAGACAGGGCTTTCACCAAGTTGGCCAGGATGTTCTCGAACTCCTGACCTCAGGTGATCCACCAGCCTCGGCCTCCCAAAGTGCTGGGATTACAGGTGTGAGCCACCGCGCCCGGCCTCAGCCTCCACATTCTATCAGTACCTCTAATCCATTTAATTTCTAATCATCCTTCGGGGCTCAGCATGCAACTCACTTCTTCAGGAAAGTCTTCCCTGAACCCTCAGACTGAATAAGGTCCCCCCAAGACTCCCACTAAAATCCATTGTAAGTCCTGGTACTTCTCCTTTATAACATTTATCACAATTATAATTAAACAGCCACAACAAAAAGGAAACAATCCAGATGTTGTTAAGGAAATACATAAATACACTAAGGCACATCTATACTACGAAATACAACACAGCCAATACAATTAAGGGGTAAATCCATATGTACTAAATGGAAAGATCTCCAAGATACTGTGTTGGAGTTTCAGTTCCTTGTGCATGATACATACATATGTAAATGCATAGGAAAATTATTGGAAAGGGGCACACAAGCTGTTGATAATGGTCATATGAAGGGAGAAGAGCAGGGGGAAGAGGGGAATAAATGAAGGTGGTTTTTCACCTTAATTCTACATACTTCCATATGCTTTGAACTCTTTTTTTTTTTTTTTTGGTAGAGGAGATGAGGTCTCACTATTTTGCCCAGGCTGATCTTGAACTGGCCTCAAGTGATCCTCCGGTTTTGGCCTCCTAAAGTGCCTGGGATTAAAGGTGTGAGCCACTGTGCCTGACCTTATTTGAGCTTTTTACAATGAGAATTATTCATGCATTACTAGACTGATTTTACATTTAATAGTTTGTATAAAGACTTGCTAATTGTCTTTCTCCCCCGTTAGATGTAAACCAAACCAAAGAAGAGACTATACCTATCTTGTTCACCAATTCATCCCCTGTCCCCTAACCCAGTGCACGGAACAACATGGGCACTGAATACGTGTCTGCTGAATGGCTGAATGAATGAATCTTCTGTCAAACCAGGGTTCTTTTACTGCACCATAATGATTTTCCACTGAATCCTCACAACTATCAGAGTCACCTCATTCATGTATTAGTGAATTCTCACCACTGGACCCATCTTTCCACCTCCAGGCCACCCTAGCTCCCTGATCAACTCTTTGGATAGTTTTCACCATCCAGTTACCCTTATCTATCCTAAACTGATAAAAGATGTCATGCCCTGGGCACAGACTGGGCATAAGGACTGAGCTAACCACCAGTTTCCTTCCCATCTCACAGATGTTCATTTGGTAGGATGATCCTATTCCAACTATAGGGCACCTGTGCCTGATTCCTTGAGCCTGCATTCTGCCTGCCTCAATTCCTAGCACAGTTCACCCTCGATTTCCCTTCTCTTTATTAGAAATCCAGAGTAGACAGTGCTAAGGACCTCTGTGTATTTGTGACTGGAAATTCCCCTTCTCAAGCATATATTTCCCTCTTATTTGATGCTTTGCAAGGGAGACCCTGCCCCTCCATATTCCCAGTACCTGTTTTAGTCTACTGCCTTTATCTAGTGCCAGTTCAGGTCCTTCCCTCATACTCAGTCTCACTGTGAGTAAAAAATCTTGACTTGCTTATGAAGCCTGAATTAATTATGACAATAAACTGTGAAGTAGTCCCATTTACATATGAAGAAGGAAGTCCTAAAAGTTAAGTAATGGCCAGGTGCGGTGGCTCACACCTAAAATCCCAGCACTCTGGGAGGCCAAGGTGGGTGGATCACCTGAGGTCACGAGTTCAAGACCACCCTGACCAACATGGTGAAATCCTGTCTCTACTAAAAATACAAAAATTAGCCAGGCCTGGTGGCACGCACCTGTAGTCCCAGCTACTCAGGAGGCTGAGGCAGGAGAATCACTTGAACCTGGGAAGTGGAGGTCGGCAGTGAGCCGAGATTGCACCATTGCACTCCAGCATGGGTGACAGAGCAAGATCCCGTCTCAAAAAAAAAAAAAGTTAAGTAACTTGCTATAGATCACACAGCTAGTAAGTAGTAAAGCCAGGCCTTCAGACTCAAAGTCAGAGTCTCACTGTCCCAGCCAGCCACCTCCAATATTCAGTTGTAGACTACTTACTAAAACTGTACCCAATTATAGCCACGGAAGCAGGTCCTCTCCAGGTGATGGGCTCTGGAAACAGTTTCCATTCCTGTGGCTTTTACCTGCCTCTCTCTGACTCATGTCTCCACATTCATTTCCTCTAGGCCCACCTTTTAGTCTCCGGGCCAGTTCCTGGGTGAAGAGGATGTTGGCTAGCTTGCTGTGACAGTAGGCCAGGCCTGCATTGTAGAATTTCTCGCCCTGCAGGTTATGGAAGTGGATCCTTCCCAGGTGATGTGCGAGGGAAGACACATTTACTATCCTTGATGGGGCTGATTCCTTTAGTTTCTCTAGCAGCAGATGGGTTAGGAGGAAGTGACCTGTTGAGAAATACTAGAATTAATGAAGTTCAGGGCCATGTAGGAATGACAGGAGTCGTGGTGAGCAGGCCTCACCTATGGGAGGCAGATAATTCAGAAATAAGGTCTTTCCCTCCAACTTTTCATTATCAACTAGAAAACAAGTTTAATGAAGGTTTAGGGAAATAACAACAGCCAAAGACATGAGGCATCCTTATATGAGCGAGATAGGTCTAGACTATGTGAATATGAAGTCCCAGCTCATTCCTACTTTGGTTAATCTCATTCTTAAGAGCTGGTTGGCTGGGTGCGGTGGCTCACGCCGGTAATCTCAGCACTTAAAGAGGCTGAGGCAGGAAGGTGCCTGAGGCCAGGAGTTTAAGTACAGCCTGGGCAACATAGCAAGACCCTGTCTTTACAAAAAAAGAGCAGATGACCTATACCTGATGCTGGCCACAAGGATCACTACTAAGAAAGCAACACAGTCCCCTAAACCAATTAGTCTGTTAAAAAATGCGCCAAGGCAAACCAAATCTAAATCACAGATTAAAAAGCGGGCAGAACCTGGAGCAGCCCTCAGGTATTCCTCAGCTATCAGGTAGGACCAAACTATTATGCACACATGGTCTATTATGGTCCTGAGGTTCAATCACACAACAAGAAGCCTCAATCTGACCCCTAAGTTTCCCAAAGAGAATTTTGGGTCTCTCTAGCTTTGTGATAAGGCCAGATTTCTTACCCAAGTGGTTGACTCCTATGTGCATCTCAAAGCCATCTGCTGTCTTCGAGTACGGACACATCATCACTCCTGCATTGTTGATCAAAACGTGGAGGTGCTTTTCCTCTGCAGGGACAAGACGATGGAGCGTGGAAGTGGCTAGCCAAGGCTATTACATCTTAGAAAGCTGCCTCACGCTCAGGCTTTGAAAATGAGGATGCAGGACTTCAATCTTCCCTCCATTTTTCCTTCATATTTATTTTCTATTGTTTTTCATTTTAAGACTTTAGTTGAATCCCACCTACTTTTACTATGGGGCAGAATTCCATTTTATACTACCAAATGACCTTCCAGATCCTTGTAGTTCAGGAGCTACTTACTCACTGCTTTTGGGAATTGTTGCATCCACCTCTCTCAATAAAAAGACTTCCCAAGCTGAATGGAAAGATTCCAAAGCAAGAGAAAAAAGAATGTTCTCTATGTACCTCTGCCCTGGGATTCAGGTCCCCAAAGAAATAAATACTGGCTTCACCTCTTTATTGCATCTTCCAATTCTCTCTCATGGTTCATTTCCTCATGTGGTTTGTAATTTATGACTATGAGTTCACACCAGTGAAAGCTTTTTCCTTGGAGGCCTAGATCCCTGGGCTATAAGGGGATATGCCTATAGAGTGCTCTTGGATTTGCTTTTGATGAGACACTACAGGTTTTTACGTTAATTTTCCATAGAGTATTACACACACATACAAAAATCAAACCCATAAATATCCTCATATCATTTGGTGGTACGAATTCAGACCCCACACATGATGCCAGCTCGGGTTCTAATTTTTTGCAGGTAAGTATCCATCTATGTCTAAAGAGATGGTAAACTTCTTTGTCATGTCTCTGAGCTGGTGGCCAGGATTTTTATTAGCTTCTATACTATGGACCAGATGGCCCTTTGTGAATCTCAACTTTGTGTAGAACCTCAAATACAGCTCCAGCTCTCAAAGGCCTGTGGCCTCATCTCCTATCCCTGTGTAAGTATTTAGACCCCAGACCCTAAAAAGCCTGTACTGAGTGCTGAGACTCCCATGAGATTTCTGGCTTCAGCTCTTACTCACTGCTATGACGTTTTGAATTCATTTTTTGTTTCTGCCTCTGGAAGATATCCCTTTGACATAAATTGTGTCCCAGTGACTATGAGTTCAGCTACAGAAGTTTTTGGCTATATTTTATCCACCACTTCTATGAGGAAGAGGGACCTTTTCCTTTTAGTTGAATCTGCCATGTTGACCTCAAGACCCACAACATAGTCTCTCTAGTTCTACACTTACCAGCTAAGAAGCCCTTAGCAAAAGCTCGAATAGACTTAGTATCAGACAGGTCCAGTTTCCGCACCAACACCTGCTGGTTCCCTGTCGTGGTCTGGATCTCTTTGGCCACCAATTCCCCCTTTTCCACATCCCGGCAAGCTAAATATACTCGAGCTCCTGTCAGCCAACATATGAAAGAGAAATGGTCAGCTCTGTTTTTGAGCTGGCATTATAAATCTAATGTTATTTCCAACATTTTTTTAAAAAACACACATTTTTACCCTTTCTTCACAACAGAGGTATCTGATTAGCAAATAGGTAAAGAAAAATAAATTAATAATATTCATTAAGGGTCCATTATATGTAGAGCATAGTACTAGTTTCAGATCAGCAAATCAGTGGAATCCTTAGGTGTTCTTGAATTCCAAAACTGGGAAGAAACAATGAGAATGAATCATCATTACTGTGAGGGGTAAAACAGCAGTAATAGGAGGGAATTGAAAGGAGGTGAACTTGCCTCTCTGAGCCAGCTCTTTGGCTGTCTCCTTCCCGATACCTGTATTAGCTCCTGTGACCACAACTACTTTCCCAGGAAGCTGAACAGTTGATGTACACACCCCACTGGACAGCATTTTCCTGCAGACAGAGAAGGAGAGCTCATCAATTCTTCATTCTACTGTCTCAGCCAGTAGGTTCCTGCAACTCCCTGTGTCTTCTGGCTGAGGTTTGCTTTAGTTCTTTCCACTGTTGTCCTTTTAAGGAAACAGTGTCCATTTAAGGAAAGTTGGAGGAAAGATGACAAAAGTTTTCTGCTTTTGCTCAAAGACAAAAGTGATTCTATTACAAGGGCAAAGCTTACAGCTGTTCTCTGCAGCACAAGAACTGGATGAATACCTGCTTAGCCAGGCACCTGGCTTTGGTTTGAGCTCTCTAAGGCACTTGTGACTTAGGAAATCACAAGATTCAGCCCAGAAGAAGAAATAACTAGTTTCTGTAGGTCAATCTGTCCACAACTGGCATTTTATGGCCTTGAGAAATGGCTAATCCAATACAAAAAGTTAAAATTATGAAAGCTTGTGACTCTGGGACAAAATAAACAAGAAAAAAAAAACACACCCACACGCATGCACATACACACTTAAAACAAAGAGAAGATTATGTATGTACAAAGGGGAGCTGGGATTCAAGTCTTGCTTTGTGTAATTAGAGTCCTTGTTTCTTTCTTTCTCTTTCTCTTTTTTTTTTTTTTGAGACAGAGTTTTGCTCTTGTTGCCCAGGCTGGAGTGCAATGGTGTGATCTCGGCTCACTGCAACCTCCACCTCCACTGCAACCCCCATCTCCCAGGTTCAAGCGATTCTCATCCCTCACCCCCTCACCCATGCGCCACCACGCCCAGCTAATTTTTGTATTTTTAGTAGAGACAGGGTTTCACCACGCTGGCCAGGATGGTCTCGAACTCCTGACCTCAGGTGATCCGCCCACCTCAGCCTCCCAAAGTGCTGGGATTACAGGTGTGAGTCACCAAGCCCAGCCTAGAGTGCTTGTTTCTAAGTACTATACTATATTGCCTTTTCCAAATGAATGAATGCACAAACACAGATTGGTGGTTCTCAGACTGGCCTATTCTCTTCTTGGCAATGTTGGGACTCTGGTTAAAACAATCTGTTGACCAGGAGATGCATTCTTAAAGAGCATTTCAGCCTTTTTCATTGAACTTGGAATTGCAAGGTACATACTCTTAGCCATTGAAGCTACCTGCATAGTGCGAAAATGCTGACAGGGAGGCAGATTAACTCATGGTCCCCACAAACCATCACCTCCCTCCTCAGAAAACAAGCCTCTAGGCTGTTTCCCACATCCCCTTACTGTATGTAGCTCCAGGAGTGACAACTTAGTAGGACCTGTACTTAGTTCTTTCTTCTCCTTAACCAGCAGGAATGAAAGAGACAACTATAAAAGTCCAGCTCTGGCCCGACTCCCATAACCCTGCTGAGTTGGGAATACAGCTCCTGGAATATATATATATATATATATACACACACACACACATATATATATATACACACACACACATATATATATATATATACACACATATATTTTTTTTTTTTCCAGAAAAATCCCTCTGGGGTATGAGCACTATTTTCAGTTCTGGTTCAACTTTTCATTGAGATTCTATGTGGATAAGAGGATCTTGTAGTGAAAAAAAGATAAAAAGCAGTGTTTTCATCTGAGTGTGAGAAACCATGTGTGCCTAGAGGTGGGAGAACTGAGTGTTCAGAAGGCAGAAAAAATATAACTGGAAGAGGGGCACCAGAGAAGGAAGAGAAAATAAAAATAAAAGAAGGAAAGTAGGTGACTGTGGTAAGAAATGACTGTGATCTGGCCTGGCTTCAAGTTCTATTGGGACTAAGACCGCCCACCTGGGGAAGGAGTGTGTCTGTCTATTCAGTCACTGGTCCGTCACCACTGGTGATTTACTTAGAACCAATAAGCAGGCTGCCGGTTTTACAGCCCGCTGCTGATTCACTGGGGCACTTGGCCAGCCTTGGGCTGATTGATCTATCACCTGGTCAATACCTTCCCACCATTCTCCCAGCCCTCACCGCCCCAGTACCCTAGCTCCTAACTCAGATCCCCCGTGCTCCTGCTCGCAAGGCAGGATAGAGCTCATAACCAAACACTCTTCCTTTTCACTTTTCTCCTTTACAACATCCGCCCACAGAACAAGCGATTGTAACAGCAACGAGAGAGCAAGGATGGGGCCGCAGATGTTACGATTGCTATCAGTTTCAGAGGGCGAAATGTGGAATCGCTCCTTTGTACCTCGAAGGCTGGTTTAAGGCGTGGGGAATAAGGGGAAAACAGCGTCGGGCCATATCCCATTGAAGAGTCCGAAACTCAAGCGTTTGAGGTAGCCTTACCCTCGGGATTCCCTGGAGCCAGAATCAGGGGGTGCTTAGACAAAAGAAAAACAGGCCAGGGAAAAGCAGTGTGCCCCGGACTGCCGCCCTTTCTCACCGCCTGGGGTCTCGGGTGTCCTCCTGGCACCCAGGACAGCTGGACCTCGCCTCCAACCCACCGAACTCTGGGCTCCGCCATCTTGGAGCCCCCCCAGGGGAGTTTTCCAAGAAAGCTTTGGTGGGGATTCTATGTTTCCCTCCCGCCCCGCAACAAGAATTCTCAAGAGAAGGCAATACATTTGCACAGACCTGATTTGGGGCGCAGCCATATACAGAAGGAAGGGCAGAAGGAGGAGCAACAGCGGGAACATGAGCTCAACCATCTCTGCCGGCTGCAGCGGCACCAGAGCGGGATGCTCCAGCGTTGCTCGCCGACTATGGCTTCTCTTTCTAGACACGCCCCAATTCAAATTGCGACAGCCCGGGGAGCAGACCTTCTGGGAAATGTAGTCCAGAGCTTGACAGCCTCAGGCTGGCTACGTGGGAGCGCTGCCGCCAACGCTGGCAGAAGTTGAATTATACATCGCTAATCCCCAACCATCTAGGGCTTAGGGCCTGTGGGATCATTCACCCAGCTCTCAGTTATTTTTTCTGCCTTCTGAATACTCAGTTCTCCCACCTCTAGGCACACATGGTTTCTCACACTCAGATGAAAACACTGCTTTTTATCTTTTTTTCACTACAAGATCCTCTTATCCACATAGAATCTCAATGAAAAGTTGAACCAGAACTGAAAATAGTGCTCATACCCCAGAGGGATTTTTCTGGAAAAAAAAAAGTATACACTATAGGAATAGTACACTTATTCCTATAGTGTACTAGGCACCGCGGTGTTTGTGAAATCTCTGCAGTCCTCTATCTCCCCAGACCCAAGTCCAGTGCCTGGTTCAGTTTTCCCCAATCCTGGTTAGGCAGTTACCGCACTGTTTCTCCTGGAGATCAGATGTTGGCGTCTGGGAAATGAAAGGCGGATTAGACAGGAGAGGAGCGGTCCGAAGTCTGACAGTTGGGAAGGTGGGGGAATGTAAACCCTTCCTCCTCGAGGATTCCTTTTTCCAGAGAAGAGGAAGCAATAAGTCCTTGAAGACATTCTCAGGAGAATCACTTTATTGTGTCTATCTTGAATTATGGTGGCAACTATCATGATTTTTCTAGTGTTTGAGTGTTCATTGATAATAGAATATCGTCTTCCTGATGGCTTGGGTCACATACATTAACTCCCAGGGTAGCAATGAATATCTCAGATTGGCACAGTTGGTTTTGCCAACTCGTGAAAGTATTTAATCCTGTCTTGAATTAAGGCCATGAATATGTTCTCTGTGAATAAATAGGTTCCCTGTTCAATAGTTTCTTTCATCTGAGGCCTATTTCCTGGGGGTGAAAGTGGAGGGTGTTTTAACCAATCAATATCTGTCTGTGATTCCTTAATTGTACCCAGTAATATTTTCTGGTCCTTTTGCATAATTTCCATTTGGTTAAAAGACACGGGTTCCAATGAACTAATATATTTTATAGCAAATTGGAGAAGAGAGGGTTTCCTTCACACAATACTAATTCCTACCAATTTAACATTAGATTACCTAGCAATCATCACATTTTGTCACATTCTCATTATTGTGTTACCTAATATTTGTATTGGGTTTTATAACTTTATAAAAGCCTTTCATTTGTTTTGTTCCTTATTCAGTCATTCACGCATTTGACAAACATTTATGGCATTCCTATAGTGTACTAGGCACTGTGCTGATGTCCAGCAGGAAGCCAGGAACACATAATCTCTGCTCGCCCGGAGTTCATGGACTGTCAGAGAAGACCTTAAATAAGTAATCACTGTAAATAAATCATGGTGAAGGTTATGAGGAGGATTAGAGAAAGCTCTGGGAGCTTTTACAAGGGAGAGGAGTTCTAGATCAGGAGAGGCTTATTTGAGGAAATAACATTTGAGCGGAGGCCAGAGGGAAGTTAGTAGGCAAGCAACATAGACAAGAGTGTGCTGAGCAGAGGAAAGACCCCACCTGAGGGTTCACAGTCAGAGAAAGCAGGGTGCACTAGAGCAACAGAAAACCGTCTAGGGAGAAGGGAGAGTGCCAGAAATGGCAATAATAGCCAGTGCTTAAATACTGCTTAATTATGGCCAGGCCCTGTCCCAATGATTTATATATATATATTAACTCTTAATTCCCATAACAACTCTAAGAGGTAGGTACTATAATTTTCCCTATTTTACAGACAAGAAAACTGAGGCACCGTGTAAGCTAGCCTAGGTCAAAGAGGCAGAGCTGGGATTCAAACTGAAGCAGGTGGTGTTCCATGAGAGGGCCCTATATGCAAAGTGGCCCCCAAATGCCAGAGGAGCCAAGACACCAAAGGTTGAGGCAGACAAATCCAGTTTCTTGGTAAGGGTGTTTTACTGTGGGAATTTACAGACAGAAATGTGGGCTTGGGTGGCAGATTTCTGTACATGTAAGCTCCACACTCAGAGTTTATATACTGTAGGGAAAGAGTCAAACTGCTCTGTGCAAGACAATTAAAGGTAGCCCTCCAGAACAGGCAAGAATGCTACATGTGTAATAGATAATAATTTGTGCAATAACATCAAGGTTGACATGTTCTTACACTAGGGACAGTAAATAAAGTAGGAATCAGGAGATATTCACAGGACTGGGGCTAATCAACATTGCAGTCAACATTGAAGTCAGCATTGCAGATTAGCATCCCAGATGCAGTCACTTTTGTCCACCAAGTTGTATGCAGGGTCTATTGTGCCCTTAACTATTGAGCTATATTGCCAAAAGATGAAGCTGGAAATTTCTCCCCATACTTGTGTGTATTTGCATATCCATATAAAATTTGCATATAATTTCAGGTGGTTTATAGACACATTGGAGCCATAATGGAATCTAGATTAAAAACCATTGATTATCTCTACTAAAAAATTAGCTAGGCATGGTGGTACACATCTGTAGTCCCAGCTCTTTGGGAGGCTGAGGTGGGAGGATTGTTTGAGTCAGGAGTTGGAGGCTGCAGTGAGCTAGAATTGTGCCACTGCACTCCACCCTGGGTGGCAGAGCAAAAACCTATCTAAAAGCAGAGGGAAGCTTTGAGGAACCCTAACATTATGAAATGGGTAGAGGGAGGGGAGCCCAAAAATTGACTGAGAAACGGCCAGAGAGGTTGGAGATGTATCAGACAGGGTTCAATCAGAAGTGAGAAACTACACAACAATTTGAACAGGGAAAGTTTAACATAAAAAAATTATTAACTATAATGGGATTGGAATAATGAGGGACTGGATAGTATAGGAGCTGTTATACTTCTCCTGAAAAGAAAAATAAATATTTTATGCTCTGAGGAGGATTTGGTCTCTGTTGCAGCTACTCGACTCTGCTGTTGTAAATGTGAAAGCAGCCATAGATAATATTTGAACAAATGTGTTCAAATGTTACTGTGTTTACTGTTCAAATGTTACTGTGTTCCAATGAAACTTTATTTACAAAAACAAACAGTGGGCTGCATTTGGCCTGTGGGTCATGGTTTGCCAACCTGTGTGCTAGTAAGAAGAAAAGAGAACTCTAAAGAAGATAAAAGGGCCAGGCATGTTGGCTCATGCCTGTAATCCCAGCACTTTGGGAGGCCGAAATGGATGGATCACCTGAGGTCAGGAGTTTGAGACCAGCCTGCCCAACATGATGAAACCCCATCTCTACTAAAAATACAAAAAAATTAGCTGGGCATGGTGGCAGGCACCTGTAATCCCAGCTACTTGGGAGGCTGAGGCAGGAGAATCACTTGAACCCGGGAGGCAGAGGTTTCAATGAGCCAAGTTCGCGCCATTGCACTACAGCCTGGGCGACAAGAGCGAGACTCTATCTCAGAAAAAAAAAAAAGATAAAAGGCTGGATGTGGTGGCTCATCCCTGTAATCCCAACACTGGAAGGCCAAGGCGGGAGGATCACTTGAGCCCAGAAGTTCGAGACCAGCCTGGGAAACCTAATGAGTCCCTGTCTCAACCAAAAATTTAAAAAATAAATGAATAAATAAACAAAAAATAAATAAATAAAATAGGCAGTGTACTGGTGTGTGCCTTTGGTCCCAGCTACTCCGGAGGTTCAGGTGGGAGGATTTCTTGAGCCTCACAGGTTGAGGCTGCAGTGAGCTGTGATTGTGCCACTGCACTCCAACCTGGAAGACAGAGCAAGACCCTATCTCAAAAAAAAAAAAAAAAAAAAAAAGAAACAGAGAGAGAAAGAAAGAAAGTTATGTGGATGTAAAAAATCTTCACCTTTTTAAAGCTTTTTTTTTTAAAGTGATCAAAACACAGTAAGTCACAGGAATTACCTTGATAAAACATTAAGAAAAATTTTAGGATAGTTACTAAAAAGTAAAGAAAAACCTTTTGTAATATGATTGTTTTTCTTTATTGGAACTCTATTTAGATAACCTGGAAGACAAACTCAATGAAAAGAATACTTGGATTTAGGCTGGGCGCGGTGGCTCACGCCTGTACTTCCAGCACTTTGGGAGGCCGAGGTGGGCGGATCATGAGGTCAAGACATCGAGACCATCCTGGCCAACATGGTGAAACCCCGTCTCTACTAAAAATACAAAAATCAGCTGGGCGTGGTGGTGCGCACCTGTAGTCCCAGCTCCTTGGGAGATGGAGGCAGGAGAATCGCTTGAACCTGGGAGGCGGAGGTTGCAGTGAGCTGAGATGATGCCACTGTACTGCAGCCTGGAGACAGAGCGAGAAAAAAAAAAAGGATACTTGGATTTAATTAAAATACAGGAAGAGTGTGTCCAGAGTTATGAGTGTACACTATATTTTTGAGGAAAGTAAACAAGGAAACTTGTATCTTAAGCAGGACAATAAATATGTCTCAGTAACAGCATCAAAAGTGCCCTGGTTATAGGAAATAATTTAGCTATATCGAGAAAAGCCAAGACTACAGAATCAAGTTATATTGGAGGAAAATGGTTTTGTTCCAGAGCTTTAAGATAAACATTTTAGCATCAGGCCACACCAGAGTTAGAACCAGAGAAAAAGATTACAGAAGGCCGGGCACAGTAGCTCACGCCTGTAATCCCAGCACTTTGGGAGGCCGAGGTGGGCAGATCACGAGGTCAGGAGATCGAGACCATCCTGGCTAACACGATGAAACCCCGTCTCTACTAAAAATACAAAAAATTAGCCGGGCGTGGTGGCGGGCGCCTGTAGTCCCAGCTACTCGGGAGGCTGAGGCAGGAGAATGGCGTGAACCTGGGAGGCGGAGCTTGCAGTGAGCCTAGATCGCGGCACTGCACTCCAGCCTGGGTGACACAGCAAGACTCCATCTCAAAAAAAAAAAAAAAAATTACAGAAGTTGGCTGGGCATGGTGACTCATGCCTGCAATCCCAGCACTTCGGGAGGCCGAGGCGGGTGGATCAGCTGAGGTCAGGAGTTTAAGACCAGGCTGGCTAGAATGATGAAACTCTGTCTCTACTAAAAATACAAAAATTAGCTGGGCACGGCGGCGAATGCCTCTAATCCCAGCTACTCGGAGGCTGAGGCAGGAGAATCACTTGAACCTGGGAGGCGGAGGTTGCAGTAAGCGGAGATCTTGCCACTGCACTCCAGCCTGGGTGACAAGAGCAAAATTTCATCTCAAAAAAAAAAAAAAAAAAAAAAGTCAAAGATTACAGAAGTTGACAAAAAGGTTGAAGGAGAGGATTATCATTTCAACCAAGAAAAACATGTATCTTTTTAAGGGTATAAAGAACGAACAACAACGATTCATGACTTGGGAATCATGTGCAGCGAGGTATAGCACAAGTAGAATTTTTTGAGATATAAATTTGAGAAGTTTTAGAAAAGAAATAGATTGTAGAATTTAAAATCAAAAGCTCTTGTAATTCACTAAGAGCAAATTTATACTTTAAGACAATGTTATTTTAACATAGAGGACCAAAATCTCAATCTTTAGAAACACTTATAACTTTTTTTTGATTATAGCCAACTTAATCACATATACATTTAAAAAAATTTTAAAGAACTTTATTATAATTTCTTTTTTTTTTTTTTTTTTTTTTGAGATGGAGTCTGTTGCCCAGGCTGGAGTACAGTGTCACTATCTTGGCTCACTGCAAACTCCGCATTCCAGGTTCAAGTGATTCTCCCGCCTCAGCCTCCCGAGTAGCTGGGACTACAGGCATGCGCCACCATACCTGGCTACTTTTTGTATTTTTAGTAGAGATGAGGTTTCACCATTTTGGCTGTGCTGGTCTCGAACTCCTGACCTTGTGATCCGCCCACTTCAGCCTCCCAAAGTGCTGGGATTACAGGCATGAGTCACCACGCCAGGCCTATTATGATTTCTGTAGACTATTTATGACATGTTTGAACTTTTGTTTTGCCCTACCCTTTCTCTTTTATAATTAACCTGTCATTTTGCTTTAGGAAAATAATTTACCATGTAATAAATTATTATCATGCAGTGGCATGATCAGCTCATCGTAACCTCAACTCCTGGGCACAAGCAATCCTCCCTTCTCAGCTTCCTGAGTGGCCAGGACTACAGGTAAGTGCCACCATGCCAGACTAATTTTCAAAATTTTTGTAGAGACAGTATCTCACTGTGTTGTAGAGACAGTGTCTCACTATGTTGCTTAGGCTTGTCTTGAACTCCTGATCTCAAATGATCCACCTGCCTTGGCCTCCTAAAGCATTAGGATAACAGTCATGAACCACTGTGCCCAGCTTTTTTAAAAATTTAATATATATATATTTTTTAAATGGAGATGAGATCTCATTATGTTGCCCAGGCTGGTCTCAAACTCCTGAGCTCAAGTGATTCTCCCACCTTAGGGTCCCAAAGTGCTAGGATTACACACATGAGCCACCATGCCTGGCCTGTGCTCAGTTTTTTAAGTTTTTTTCTATTAACCATTTTTATAGCCTGTGAATGTCAGATATTTACCTAAGCAAGAAATTTAAAGTTAAATACATGGGTATTTTGTTGATAACTCAGAAGGTTTAGCTGTATTTCTTAAACCAACAATATTAAATTAGTCTTACTTATAAAAAAAATCACACAAAGATTATTTTGGTTTTGGCTGGGTTCATAGTTTTTTACCTTTGTGCCAAATCCTGACCCTGTAAAATATTTAATAAGACAAGTATAAATCTGACCATAAATCTAGGCAAATATGTATGTTGACAATTTTGAAGACATTTTAATATTTATTTTACTAATAATTTTAAAGCCAGTTTATTTATTAAAGAATTACTTAAGTCATGTGAACTTGGAAAACCTTTGGGCTTACTAATTTATGAGTGCTCATTTATCTATAAGTCAATTGGGTATCATGTAGATACAACATATAACATATTACATGTATATATGTAAACACATCTAAACACACATATATATGCACAAATAGAGATCTTATACCTTTATTTTTTGATTTGTCTTTTGAAACAGGGCCTCACTCTGTTGCCCAGGGTAGAGAGCAGTGGTATGACCATGGCTCACTGCAGCCTGGACCTCCCAGGCTCAAGTGATTCTCCCACCTCAGCCTCCTGAGTACCTGGGACTACAGGTGCGTGCCGCCATGCCCAGCTAACTTAAAAAAGTTTTTTTTTTGTAGAGTCAGAGTCTCACTATGTTGCCAGGGCTGGTCTTGAGCTCCTGGGCGCAAATGATCCTCCTACCTTGGCCTCCCAAAGTGCTGGGACTGCTGGCATGAGTCACCTCATCTGGCCCTTATAGTTTTCATTTTAGAATTTTAGTCATGAGATAGTAATACAAACTCACCAGTTTATAAAAGATAGTTGGATCTAAATTATTTTTGGAAAAAATTGGGACCTGTTAGTTCACATGGCTAAATTTTATTTGTCCCAATAGGTAATCTAATGAAGGCTGTGAGCCAAAATTTTTGGGTAAGGTAGTTCGATGGCAGTTTTATTTTAAAAATCTTTTATCCTTTTATTCAGTTTCAAATGAGTTTAGAGTTAGGTTTTTAATGTTAACATTTTAGCTTGAACTGGCTGAATCGTATAAGAAAAACAAAATTTCTAAGTCTTCTTAAGTTAGTAATACTATAAACAGTGAGCTTTATCTCAACACAAGTAGAAAAGTCAGTAGTTTCAAAGTAGGCAGAAAAAATATATAGAGGTAGACAGAGAACTTAGACGATCCTACATGTTAACTCTGTAGTTCTGGGTGGACCACTTGAGTTCTAATCTGTCTATTATTTTAAGATGTGCACAACAATGGGCCATAATATGTATCTAGCTGGAGTCTCAGAAAACCCAGTATGTCTTTTTTTATTTTTCCGAGACAGAGTTTCACTCTGTTGCCCAGGCTGGAGTGCAGTGGCATGATCACAGCTCATTGCAACCTCTCTCTCCTGGTCTCAAGTGATCCCCCAACTTCAGCCTCCCTAATAGCTGGGACTACAGGTGCATACCACCGTGCCTGGCTAATTTTTGCATTTTTTGGGTAGAGATGGGGTTTTGCCATGTTGCCCAGGCTGGTCTCAAACTCCTAGACTCAAGTGTTCTTCCCACCTCAGCATCCCAAAGTGCTGGGATTACAGGCGTGAGCCACTGTGCTTGGCCTGGCATGTCTTAATGTTTGAGAATCTCATTTTTAAAATATTAATCTCTCAGTTTAGAAAAACTGTTGGATTCGTATTTTTATGATCTCAGTAGTTCTATTTTCATTCTGCAGTTGTTTTGTTTGTTCCCCTTGTTTTAAATTTAAATATATTTCCCCCTTTTGAGGGAAGGAAATGTGTGTATTGTGAAATTCTAAAAAATCTGTGCCTAAGAGGTGTATGGGAGCCAGGAGAACAAACAGGAAGAGCTGAGTTCTGATTACGGGGGTAGAAGGAGGAGGAGCAGCTAGAGGCAAAAAGGAGAAAGCCTCCTAAATCATTAAAATTTTCAAATCGTTTCACATATCTTTTTTACCTCTTGAATTGAGGCATTTTTAAAATAATTTTTTTAGAAGCTTGTAGGTGTTATTGGAAGTAAATCTTCCATTCAATTTGTCTGTATCTAAAACCAGCTTTTTTTCAACTGTGTGTGCAAATAAATTATCTTAGGCATTTTCGGAACAGCTCCATTTTGGCCACTGCTGCTTATAACCACCCTGGGTTAGGGGATCTACTGCTTATCTAGGCACTTGCAAGTGGAAGGATGGTAAGTATTATACCTAAAACTCAGCAGGTGTCTTAGAGTGCACTTCCCATTTTAGCTTTGTGTGAGGACAAGTTATGGAGTAGAGTAAGAGTGCCCTCATGCGACTGGAAAAGGAAAAAGCTAAGGAAAGGTCTCACCCCAAATCACCAGGGAAACAATTTACAAAGCTTCTATTTTACCCTGCCCTAGTATTTAACAAAAGCCCTTATCTTGAATTCATAGCAGCAGCTCTCGTTCTGAGACAGTCATTGTACCACGTAGCCAAGGAGGAAACCAGCTTTAATAAACCAGAACATCAACCAAGACAGGAACTTCATTGATTTCAGGAGGAACTCATCTGTAGCACTCAGCAGGGGCATCTAAGTCCAGGAACACAATGGATTTTGTGCTGGCACATGCACAAAGGTTGGAAGCAGGTCTAGGTAGTCCAGGGAGGTCACTCTGAAATCCTGTCAGCTATGCCATTTTGTTGATGGAAATTAAGGCTGTTGAGGCAGAAATAAATTGATAAAGGTTTATTGGAAGCCAAATGTGAGGATCAATCTGGGAAGACACGCCAATAAAGCTGGGTGTATTCCAAAGTCTGTCGTTAGAAGTTGGAATGATTTTATAAGAAAGTTTAGAAGAAGGGATGGAGACTCTTCATACTGGAGTTGTCCTTTTTCATTGAATGGCACAATACAGAGGTTACAGTCCTTGGCTACAGATGACAACATACAAGTTAAAATGTCCATGTTTAAGACAATCAGTAACACTTCATGATTCAGAAACAAATCAGTGTCCTTTTCAGTGTCAGTAGGTTACATATTAATGTGTACGTCAACAGTTTGAGAAATTTTCAATAAGATTTGAGAGACTCATCGTAAGATTCTTTACTCAGAAATGCTATGTAAGCCATGAATCATAAGACTTGCCCCAGGTAGGCTAATTTGGAAGACTGCCAAACGTGACCTGTAGGTTATCACAACTAAATGCAATGTGGGGTCCTGAATTCAATCCTGGACCAGAAATAGGACATTAGTGAGAAAACTGGTGAAATTAGAATAAAGCCATTAGTTTAGTTAGTGGTGTTGTACCAATGTTAATTTCCTGGTTTTGATCATTGTTCTAAGGTTATTTAAAATGTTGACATTTGGGGAAGCTGAGTGAAAAGTATGCAGGAATTTTTTGTATTATTTTTGCAATTTTTTGTAATATTTCAAAATAAGATGTTTTAAAAGACACATTTGATCAACCATGACAGAGGAAAGGCTGAATTATCTTTTTATTTTCCCTAGGGAAAATGATATTTACAAAATAATTTTTATAGGAGGAGGCACTCAAAAAGTATACAGCCAAAAATATAAGAAAAAAATATCATTAACTATGTCAAGCAGTTAATTAGTAAAGATATCAGGTGCAGTGGCATGTGCCTATAGTTCCAGTTACTTGGGAGGATGAGGTAGAAAGATCCCTTTAGCCTAGACGTTCTGGGCTTGTAGTGTATTGTGCCAATCAGGTGTCCACATTAAGTTCAGCATCAATATAGTGACCTCCTGGGAGCAGGGGACCACCAGGTTACCTAAGAAGGAGAGAACTGGCCCAGGTCAGAAACAGAGCAAGTCAAAATACAGGCGCTGATCAGTCGCAAGATAGTGCCTATGAACAGCCACTACACTCCAGCCTGGGCAACATAGCAATGCACGTCTCTAATTTTAAAAATAAAATAAAAATATAATGTCATTTTCTGGATTTTGTGATATTTGTAGTGTGAACCCAGAAAATTTGTGACAGGTCTCAGTTAATTTAGAAAGTTTATTTTCCAAGGTTGAGGACGTGTCCCCACGACACAGCCTTCGGAGGGCCTGACAACATATGTCCAAGGTGGTCAGAACACAGTTTGGTTTTATACATTCTAGGGAGACACGGGACATCAATCAACATATGGAAAATGAACATCGGTTTGGTCTGGAAAGGAGGGACAGCTCGAAGCATGGAATGGGCTTCCAGGTCACAGGAAGATGAGACACAAACAGGGGCATTCTTTTGAGTTTCTGTTTAGCCTTTTCAAAGGAGGCAATCAGATACGCATTTATCTTAGTGAGCAGAGGGATGACTTTGAATAGAATGGGAAGCAGGTTTGCCCTAAACAGTTCCCAGCTTGAATTTTCCCTTTGGCTTTGTGATTTTGGGGGCCGAGATCTTTTCCTTTCACATTTTCTCCACCCTTTAAAAAAAATCTTCTGGAGAAAGCATTTTAGAAGAAAATGAGTCTCTGGTCCCAGCTTTTTTCTAATCTCTCTTGGTTAGGATGGTTCGTTCCTAGACAGGTAGGTCCTAAGTTATTAGCAAAGCTCATTTTTAGAAGGTTGTGAAGTCTCATGTCCTATGCAGAGAAATTAGGGGGAGGAAGGGATACAAACAACAATAAACAAAAGAAAAATCCTGGAAAATTGATATAGGCCACATTACTCTGTAGTCCATACATCAGTAGGCAGGTATGAAAGCGGTTTATGTATGTAAATAGGTTGCTGTTATTTTCTTCTGAAGTTTAAGTTGTCTAGCTTCAGTTTGCAGAGCTTTACGAAAGCACAACTTAGTTTTTTAGTGACTCCAAATTAGGAAAAATGGGGAAAAAAGAAGGAAAACAATTGAAAACATTATTTTGAAGACTTGTAGCCAACAAAAATTAGAATTCAGTCCAAACTGTAGAAAACAATAAAAATTGCAAAACATTAGGCAAGACTAAAATCTAACAATAGGTGTACTACACTTTTTGAAACAATCTTTTCTCTCTCCAGTTTCCCATTTTTACTAAAGACAAATTATGGTAGGACTTGTTTGCTTTATTATACTTGGCCTAATTATTTGTATACAGAGCAGCAAGAATATATATATATTTTTTGAGATGGAGTCTCACTCTGCTGCCCAGGCTGGAGTGCAGTGGCGTGATCTCAGCTCACTGCAACCTCCACCTCCTGGGTTCAAGTGATTCTCCTGCCTCAGCTTCCCAAGTAGCTGGGATTACAGGTATGTGCTTTCACACCCAGCTAATTTTTATATTTTTAGTAGAGATGGGATTTCACCATGTTGGCCAGGCTGGTAAGAATAATTATTTTTTACATAGGCTTTTAAATTGGCTTTGATGAAACTGTGTTCTGTAGAAAGAATCTCAGATAAGACTTCTTTAAAGCTGAGCCCAGCCGTGGATTTGTGCTATCAAATACCTATGAATTGAGTTAACCTCTCCTCTTGAGGTTCCAAGGTAAACTTGGGGCTCCTGGGCCTGTCAGAAAGTGACATTCTTTACCTACCACAGATCAGGAACCCTGTACAGGGGCTGTGTAGATAAAGGTAAGAGGCCAATTTTTCCAAGGGGCTATCTTGGTTCCAGAAGTCAAGTTTGATTCCAAGGGAAAGCACACCATTCCAGTCAAAGTCTTGATAAAATAACCAGTTTCTCCAATTGTGTCCTGTTACAAATGGAAACAGATTCTTACTGCACTTACGTAAATAGCTGTATTGTTATAAGTTACAAATACTCACAAATAATTTCCAAATTCTGGAGAAATTAGGCAGAGAGACACAAATATGCCCCAAGTTTTGTTCATGGGAGTATACTTTAGTCAATTGCTAAAAGCTGTAAATAGCTTAAAAGAAAAGTTTTCTTGACTCTGAAAAACAAAAAAAAGGATCAGCAACGTTTTAAGCAAAAAGTTAAAAATATTACTTTAGTCTTCTATCAGTTTAGTTTATGCAGTTAATCCTGTTCTGCTTGATATTCGTGAACACTTCAGCTCTCCATGAGAGTCCTGAAAGTTTTTTCCTCTATTCTAAGGTTACAATCTCCAAAGTTATCAGAAACCTGCATTTAAGAACACCTGTTAGAGTTCTATAGCTGATTATAAAACCACCTTCTAAGGAGGACCAAAACAAGACAACAATTGTCTGTGGATGATGAAAGGTTTTAGGGCAGCCATAAAGAAACAATTGACAAGGAAATTTGTTATCTCTGTGGCATATGATAATTTAACATAACAATTATAATTATTACTGATAATGTACACTAAGTCATACCAAAATTACAGGAGTTTCCCATGATTTTGGAACACATACCAGTAACATATTTATACAAATACAGCCCAAAGAAAACCAAACACCATTTCATATTTGACTATGCTTCCTGTATAATTTTTATACCAAATAAGCCAAATATGTCATTTTCGGACTCTAGGGAACCTATTAATAATACCTTTTTTTTTTTTTTTTTGAGAGGGAGTCTCATTCTGTCGCCAAGCTGGAGTGCAGTGGTGCAATCTTGGCTCACGGCAACCTCTGCCCCTCAGGTTCAAGTGATTCTCCTGCCTCAGCCTCACGAGTAGCTGGGACTACAGGCATGCGCCACCACACCCAGCTAATTTTTGTATTTTTAGTAAAGATGGGGTTTCACCACGTTGGCCAGGATGGTCTCGATCTTTTGACCTCATGATCCGCTGGCCTTGGCTTCCCAAAGTGCTGGGATTACAGGTGTGAGCCACTGTGCCAGGCCCAACAATATCTTAAAGGATTAATTAGGTCAGAAAAAGACATAATTTATAGTTTGATTTTGGAAAGTTTGTCAAATATCAAAGGTTTAAAACACTTGATATCACAAAATAGAATTAATAGGTCATTGTGAAATAAGTTATTCATTTAACCAAAGTGATAACTCAAGGATTTCCCCAAAAAAGGTGAAAACCTTCATTCTTTGAGAGAGGAGACTTAATTTTCCAAACAATAAGCCCTAATAAAAACAGCATGAAGCCAATTAAATTCATTTTTCAAAATTTTATAAACAATCTATAACATTTTAATCTTGACCATAAGATATAACTTTCATAAGCCTTTCATAACCTTTATAACCTTTAGGAGTTGGTTAATGCTTCAAGAAAACCTTGTTAATCTGACACAGGGGCCCATATGCTGGTCTTGCATCAGTGTGCCTTTGACATTAATGATTAACATGTAGAGAAACAGAACTTGTTTTATCTCTTAAAATTGGCCCTCACAATCTCACATGCCCATCTCTTCTGTGATAGTCCCTGGGCCTTGAGGAGTTTAATAGCTTTAATTTCTGGCCCTGTGTTTCAGGAATACAGTTTATTTTGATTGGCATCTTCTACCAGGCCTGAAGATGGGGGGCTTTAATGGCTGTCAGTGTTTAAAAAATTAGCAGGACTTTGATGTCCTTTTTAGACCAAGGCATCAAAGCCCTGTAACTCAATGTCACAAGTACTTTAAAAGAGCATAAAGAGTGTGAAAGGAAATATCTTGGGCCCCCAAAATCACTAAGGAAATCTCAAGCTGGAAACTGCTTAGGGCAAACCTGCCTTCCATTCTATTTAGTCACTCCTCTGCTCACTGAGATAGATACATATCTAATTTGCCTCCTTTGGAAAGGCTAATCAGAAACTCAAAAGAATGTAACCGTTTGTTTACTATCTATTTGTGACCTGGAAGCTCCCTCCCCACTTAGAGTCTTCCTGCCTTTGTTTTAAGTTGTTCCACCTTTCCAGACTGAACCAATGTACTTCTTACATATATTGATTGATGTCTCATGTCTCCCTAAATGTATAAAACCAAGCTGTTCCCTGACCACTTTGGGTACATGTCATCAGGACTTCCTGAGGCTGTGTCATGGGCTCGTCCTCAAACTTGGCAAAATAAACTTTCTAAATTAACTGAGACCTGTCTGAGATTTTCTGGGTTCACAAGAGAGATACACAGATGTAGTAACCTTAATTTAAAAAAAGTTTTAATCTTTTTTTCCTAAGCAAACCAAAACTTAATAATAATATGACAACTTGATCATATAAAAGTTTTTGGTTTTGTTTGTTTTATAAATCCGCTTATTGTGACTTACATAGACCTTTTGTGACATGCTTGGACTTTCCAGTTTGTCTTGAACATCCCTCCTTCTTAAATAACCAGTCATGTCATTTTACTCTAGGACTAAATTTACCACACAATATTCTTTTTCATATGAAATTATTTCTCTTTAAGCTTTCTTACAAAAAAAATCTTTATTTTTATAACTTTCTTTACATCTCTTTTATTTCCTGGTTCCTTTTACCTTGTTTTATACATGATCTTTAAATAAGCTTTGAATTAGACAAAAATTTTTCACTTTTTTTTAAAGGACACACTTTTTTTTTTAGAAAGAACGTTTTCCTACAATTATATTTTTATTAGAAAATACCCAAATAATGAAATATCTATTATCTAATTTAATATAACTTTAGATTCTAAATTATGATGAATGTGTCTACAAGTATTTATTCTATTACATTTACCTAATTATTTTATTTTCATTGTTTACCTAGATTATTTATGAAAACTGTGATAGTCATCATTTAAAATTATGGAACCACCATTGCAAAATTATAACTGAGACAGTGAAAAAGATTTAACTTAACTGGCCCCATCTTGCTTTTAACCTTCAAACTGTCCTTGTTCATTCCTGGGCATAGGCCAAACAAATTTTGAGAGGAACTTAGTTTATAGTTTAGCTTTGAAACAAAGACGATAACAAACCTTACTTCCTGTGGACTAGACCACCTAAAGCCACAAAATTAAAGTTATGGTAATCTTACTAAATTTAAGGTTTAGCTATTTTTATTAAACCAATATCAATGTCTTATTTATTAAAGATTACACAAGCAGAGATCATTCTGTTTTGGTCTGAGTTTATAGTTTTCTAATCCCTATGCCAAATTTTGACACCTTATAGTGTTTGGCAGTAATAAGTATGAAATTGCTTGATTAATAAATGCAAACAAAAATGTATGCTGGCAATTCTTAAGACATTTCTAATATTACTTTACCAATAATTTTAAAGCTAGCTTATTTATTAAATATTTTACTTAAGTTACATGAACTTGAAAAAGGATTTGACTAGTCTTCCTTTTTCTGATAAAGTATTTGATGATTTAAGTGCTTTTCTTTTTCTTTAAGCCAATTAATTAGAGCTCTTTTATATATTTTCAGTAGTGAAACATTGTGTACACAACACATAAATGCATTGACATATTAGTCATGCCAATAGAAGTACATCTTATAGATTCATAAAGACCTTTTTTCTTTCCTATCTTAGACTTCCAGATTCTTGATAACCTGTTTCACAACACTAGGCAGTTCTCAGCTAAATAGCCTTAAATTTTCATATTAAAGGAAACAACTCAGGTGAAAAGTCAAATAGCAAAATTTACACCATAAGGTACAAAGAGAAAAAGTCTGATGGTTCTAGAGGGAGATTGAAGATGGATGTCAAATCAAACACAAAATTACAGAAATCTATCATAGGATTGTATAAGGAGACAAATTTTATTTAGATAGGGACTACCTATCTTTTTTTTTGAGACGGAGTTTTGCTCTTGTTGCCCAGGCTGAAGTGCAATGGTGCGATCTAGGCTCACTGCAACCTCCTCCTCCCAGGTTCAAGTGATTCTCCTGCCTCAGCCCCCTGAGTAGTTGGGATTACAGACATGTGCCACCACACCCAGCTAATTTTTGTATTTTTAGTAGAGACACGGTTTCACCATGTTGGCCAGGCTGGTCTTGAACTCCTGACCTCACGTGATCCACACACCTTGACCTCCCAAAGTGTTGGGATTACAGGCGTGAACCACCACACCCGGCCTGGGACTACCTGTCTTTTAACTGGATCTCTGAGCTCTGGGAGGAGCCCACACTGAATCCTGGGTCTCCAAAAAGGGAGAATTATTTTGAGGTTAAACCATGTGATGCTTTTATAGTGCACTTAAAAATTTTGTTGTTGTTGTTTTTTGTTTTTTAATAAAGACATTTCTAAGTGTCTAAGCTACATTCTTCCTTAAAAATCCCAGAGTGGCCTCTGTTGCAATAGCTATTAATGAAGAAAACAGAATTCAGTCAACTGAGAAGAAAAAACTTGCAAAAAAAAAAAAAAAAAAAAAAAAGACAAGGTTTTGGGTGAGAAAAAAACAAAACAAAAACATGAAGGCCTTTTAAATACAAACACACCTTGGATGTTAGCTTTTAATTAAGCTGACTTTTAACCATTGAGCTCATTTTAAAAAATCTTTTAAAATCTCATTACTATATTTCATCTAGGACAAATTGCTGCTATTTCAGAAGTACCAAGTATCAAACCAGAAAGGGTTTGATTTAGGAACCAAACCTAGGCTGTTGTGATAGGGAAAAAAAGAAGGCAGAACTTTAGCTATTGAACTACAGGGTGAGGTGACAGCCATTGCTTTCAGTTGGCAGCTAGCAAAAAGGTGGCCTTGTTATGAAAATAAAGCCCCTTTAGTAATCAAAATAAAAAAATGTTCCCTTCTCTTTTTTTTTTCTTTTGCTGGCCATTTTTCTCCTACACCACCCTTTTTTGTGTGTGGGAATTTAACCACTTCAGAGGACTTATTCCCCATAATTTGGAACTTTCCTTTGGATTTGATCAAGTTGGATAGAATTGATGAAACCCAACAGGAAAAAGACTGAAACAACAATAAAAACAGAAATAAACAATGGCACAACTTATATGATCACTGAGCACTCTAATGGTAAGCAGAAATTAAAACCAGCTTTTTGTTAACTTTAGCCAAGACAAAACCTCAATTCAGCTACATACCTAGGGATGGGTCTCAGGCTGAAAACAACTCTCTACCATCCTAGAAGCAGGAAAAACAAACAAACAAACAAACAAACAAAAAACAAAACAAAAAAAAACCTCATTTTCCCTATTGGAAGTGAGCTCAAACTCCATAAAGGAGTTACCTGCTTTCCATCGTCATGGAAGCAGAAAAACTTGCCTTTCTTGTTGAAAGCAAGTAAAACTCCAAAAAAAAAAAAAAAAAAAAAAAAAAAGAGGGGATGTACAGCAAAATAAGCTTTAGATCTTGACCAAATTTTGGGACATCAGGGATTCTCTGGAGGGGATATTCCCAGACCTCAGCAAATTGTCCTGTTGGTTTGAGCCATAAAGTTAGCTCATGCTGGTACCAGGCACTGATAGGAGATTTGTCAAAGGTCAGGGGCATCTCCATTGAGAATCCTTTTGTGGTTAACAAAATGTAAACCCAGAAAATTTGAGACAGGTCTCAGTTAATTTGTAAAGTTTATTTTGCCAAGGTTGAGGGCGCGTACCCAAGACACAGCCTCAGGAGGTCCTGACGACATGTGTCCAGGATGGTCAGAGCACAGTTTGGTTTTATACATTCTAGGGATACGTGAGACATCAATCAACATATGTAAAATGAACATCGGTTTGGTCTGGAAAGGAGGGACAACTCGAAGCAGGGAGGGGGCTTCCAAGTCACAGGTAGGTGAGAGAAAAACAGCTGCATTCTTTTGAGTTTCTGTTTAGCCTTTTCAAAGAGGCAACCAGATATGCATTTATCTTAATGAGGAGAGGTATGACTTTGAATAGAATGGGAGGCAGGTTTGCCCTAAACAGTTCCCAGCTTGAATTTTCCCTTTAGCTTAGTGATTTTGGGGGCCCAAAATGTTTCCTTTCACAGTAGCAACTATTAGATTTAAAAAAATTGTAATTTCCTATTTACTTTTTTCTTGTAATTAACTTCTTGCTTTACTTTTGAGACAGGGTCTTGCTCCGTCTCCCAGGCTGGAGTGCAGTGGTGTGATCACAGATCCCTGCAGCCTCCACCTTCAGGGCTCAAGTTCTCCTCCTGCCTCAGCCTCTTGAGTAGCAGGGACTGTAGGAGTGCACTCCATGGCCAGCTAATTTTTTTTTCATTTTTTTAGTAGAGCTGAGATCTGATTATGTTGCTCTTGGTCTCAAACTCCTTGCCTCAATAAATCCTCCTGCCTTGGCCTCCCAAAATGCTGGGATTACAGGTGTGAGCCTCTGTGCCCAGCTTTGTTTTATTTTTGTACCTAATATTTACTCATAGTTTTATATTCTTTTTATTAAAAAGAGTTCCCTAGCCTTTCAGAAGGAACTGCCGTCTTCCAGTTATTCTCCAAAATGAGGAACACTAAGGGAAAGAGGAGGGACACCAATATATGTTCTCTAGGCCTTTTAGAAAACATGGAGTTGTTCCTTTGGCCACAACCATGCAAATCTACAAGAAAGGTTATGTTGCAGACATCAAGGGAATGGGAACTGTTCAAAAATGCCCCACACATGTTATCATGGTATTAGGGACTGAAATGGGATATAAGTTGAAAAGAGACTAAGGGATTTTTGAAATTAAATGTTAGGCAATTTTTAAAAATAAAAGAGGGCCAATAAGCCCAGGCCTTACACCTGCACTGTGGTGAGGTGCTCAAGATTGCAGAGGCAAACCTGTGCAAAGCTTCTGCCAACTCAAGGCATTCACTGAATGCCCCACACATGTTACCACGGCAAAACTGGAAGAGCCTATCAACAGTGTTCTTGGACACAAACAAATTAAAGGCAAGATTCTTGCTGAGAGAATTAATGTGTTTATTGAGCATATTAAGCAGTCTAAGGGCCAAGATAACTTCCTGAAGCATGTAAAGGAAAAGGATCAGAAAAAGAAGGAAGCAAAAGAGAAAAGTACCTGAAGTGCCAGCCTTCTCCACTTTGTGAAGCTCACTTTGTGAGAACCAATGGAAAGAAGCCTAAGTTGCTTGGAACCTATTCCCTACGAATTCATAGCATAATAGCCGTTAAAAAATAAAAGGGGGGGAGCCCCCTAAATTGAATAGACTTCAGGCCCTACAATATCCAGATCTACTTCTGATGATGTTTTATTTCATAAGCTGGGCAGTAAGTCATGCTGAGTATTCTTTAAATGATTCTCTATATTATTTGGTTTACTCCAAACAGAAAATAGCAAAACATTTTGTCTAAGAGGCATTTCTTTATCTGTCCTTGTCCTGATGTTGGATGCCTATGACTTCACCGATTGCTGTAAGCCCTTGAGTTGGCAGAAGCTTTGCACAGCTTTGCCCCCTGCCATCCTGAGCACCTCACCACAGTGCAGGCGTAAGGCCTGGGCTTATTGGCCCTCTTTTATTTAAAAAAATTTCCCAACATTTAATTGCAAAAATCCCTTAGTTTCATTTCTACTTTACTCTATTTCAGTCCCCAATGCCAAGTTCGTTCTTTTTGTAAGTATCTTCTGAAGGAGTGACTCACCATTTACTTCTATTGGAATCCAAATTTTGCAATACTCACGAAGTTGCAAATAATTAAATTAGGATATCTTAGAATCTCATAACCAGGGAGAGATTACTGTAAACTCAACCATATTCACCACTATTTATTGCATGTCTGCTTCATGCAAACCTTGGTTCCATGTGCTGGGGGAACACAAATGTAGAGCTTATTTCTGTCCCTGAGCTGATGAGATAAGAAGTTGCCTAGAGGCCGGGGGCAGTGGCTTACGCCTGTAATCCCAGCACTTTGGGAGGCCGAGGCGGGCGGATCACGAGGTCAAGAGATAGAGACCATCCTGGCTAACATGGTGAAACCCCGTCTCTACTAAAAATACAAAAAAAATTAGCCGGGGGTGGTAGCCGGTGCCTGTAGTCCCAGCTACTCTGGAGACTGAGGCAGGAGAATGGCGTGAACCTGGGAGGCGGAGCTTGCAGTGGGCCGAGATCACGCCACTGCACTCCAGCCTGGACGACAGAGTGAGACTCCGTCTCAAAAAAAAAAAAAAGAAAAGAAAAAAGAAATTGCCTAACTAAGTTATAAGTCAAACCGCTGTGACTGCTGTACAGAAAAGGCAAATATAGTGTATGGGAGCAAGAGAAGTGAATGATTGATTAGGATAGGTGAAAGCTGCAGAGAGGAGATATATTTAAGTTGGACCTTAAACACAATAAAAGATTTCTTCAGCTGAAAAAAAATTCCATTTATGTTAGAAAGTTTTTAAAAAAGTGAATATGGCAATTTATAAAAAATTTTCATTTTGAAATGTTACGCTTCTTGATTTTCCATGACAGAAAGTGTGTGTACACACGTGTTTGTGTGTATGTCTGCATGTGTACTTCCATTGCATTTTAATCTGAACATTTTCAAACATTTGTAATAGTTTAAAGAATTTTACAGGCTGAGTGTGGTGGCTCACACTTGTAATCTCAGCACTTTGGGAGGCCAAGGCCAGCATACGACTTGAGGCCAGGAATTCGAGACCAGCCTGGTTAACATGGTGAAACCCCATCTCTACTGAAAATACAAAAATTAGCCAGATGTGGTGGCAGGCACCTGTGGGTCCAGCTATTCAGGAGGCTGAGGCAGGAGAATTGCTTGGGCCCGGGAGGTGGAGTTTGCAGTGAGCCGCTATCACACCACTGCACTCCAGCCTGAGTGACAGAGTGAGTCTCTGTCAAAAAAAAAAAAAAAAGAATTTTAAAATAAATATCCATATATCCATAACCTAGATTCTACATTAACATTTTACTATACCAGTTTTATCACATATATAAAACAAATATAGTGAAATGCCTGTTTTACTTCCTTCTATCAATCTACTTTATTTTATTAACATACTTCAAACTAAATTACAGACATCGGTACCCTTCCCCTTTAAAAACTTCAGCATGTATATATATCATTCATTAACTAGAGTTCAATATTTATTTAGTTTTTTTTCCTTTGGATGTAAAATTTGTATACAGTGAAAGGCACAAGTCTTAAGTATATATTTGCTGTTTTGACAAAGGCATAGACTCATGTAACCCAAAGTCCTGTTGAGAGATAGAACATTTCCATCACCTCAGAAAGCCACTCAGTGGAGGTGTGTTTTTGAAGTATATGTGTACACAGATCCCAGCCATTGTAGACTAATGGAGTGATTAGAGGTAAACAGAATTAAGCTGGGAGAAGGTAAAGTTTCTAAGGACAGAAGGATTAGTAGATGGCCAGCATCCTAGGCCCTGAGAGGATATTAATAACTTGCTGTGGACAGTAAGCAGGTTAGCTTGGCTACAGCTGAGTGAAAGGCATGGGATACTAAGTAAAACATTACTGTCCTCTAATCCTTTTCAATACTACATACACCAGGGTTATCCTTTAGGCCTACATTCTGGAGGGCAGTGGTTCCCAAACGGGGGTGATTTTGCCCCATAGTGAACAGCTGGCAATGCCAGGAGACATTTTTGGTTGTCACAAGGGGATAGTAGTGCTCCAGGCATCTCAGTGGGTAGAGGCCAGGGATGCTGGTAAAAATCCTCCTTTACTCGGAACAGCCACTCACAGGAAAGAATTATAAGGCTCAAAATGTCAATAGGCTGGGCGTGGTGGCTCACACCTATAATCCCAGCACTTTGAGAGACCAAGGTGGAAGGATCACACGAGCCTAGGAATTCACGACCAGCATGGGCAACACAGTGAGACCCTGTCTCTATTTTTTTTTAAATGTCAATAGTGCCTGCTGTGAATTAAGAGTAAGGGTTGCTGATCCCTTGAAAAATCAACGGAAGTTACATACTAGCAGCAAAAATTCTTTTTCTTTGAGAAAGACAGTGTGTTTATTTTAGCTTTTAAAATCAAGAAAAAGGAACAACAAGTCATTATTATTGGTTAAAACAAATACAAAAAAATGTGCTTCCATTTTGGTTTGCTGTTTGGGGTCAGGGCATGGGAAGAGGCAGCAAGTTCCTCATGGCTGGAAAAGGAAATAACTGTGGTGCTGTACGGGCTCCTTAGGGAAGTTGGGCAGGGCTTGCAGTAGAAAGATGGAATCTGTCATCTCCCACCTGTCTCATCTGGCTTCCAAAATATGTGATTTGAAGAATAGGGAAGAGGAGAAGGAGGAAGGGAGGAAGAGAAAGAGAAGTTTACAGTTTTCCCTCTCACTCTATTTTGTAAGAGGCTCCATTCTTAGTAGGGTATCCAGGACAGGGATAACCAGGAGACCAGTACAGTATGAGCTGCTAGATGATTTATGACCAAAGGTCAAATCAGCAAGCAGCTTCCCAGCTCTGCTTCATAGCATGTGATCTCCACACATCCCTGCCTCAGTGTTAGCCCTGGGAGGATGGCTGATCCGGGAACCTGACCTGTGATTGATTCACTCACGGTGAGGCTAGAAGAGGATCCTTCTCAAAGGTGTTGCAAGTGATGAGTGCTCTGTCATCACTGAACTTCAGGCCTATTCCTACACTGGTTCCTCTGGTGTTTTCATCTCTTTCTCTCTGTGACTTATGCCTATATCTGTCCCAGATTGAAAATCCCTAAAGAGCAGGTATCCTATTGGTCCCTGGCTTTTTTGATGTTGATTACAATGATGAAGTGGGTGATGATTATGGCTTTGCTTATGTGCCAAAGCATGTTTAAGAATGTCTCGATACCAGTTTGAGAAATAGCTTTATTTGTGATACTGCAATGATTAATTTAACAAAGATAAACATGTAAGTTGTTGCAAAATGATACGGTTTTCAACAGAAATTAAGGCCATTGGGGCAGAGATAAATTGATAAAAGTTTATTGGAAGCCAAATGTGAGAATTTATCCAGTAAGATACACCAACAAAGTTGGGCATGTTCCAACATCTGTTACAAGTTGGAATGCTTTTATAAGACTGTTTAGGAGAAGGAAGGGGGACTCCTCATATCGGAGTTATCCTTTTCCATTGGAGGGTACAATACAGAGGTTACAATCATTGCCTATGGATGACAGCGTACAGGCTAAAATGTTTTATGCACAAGACAATCAGTAAAAACAAATCAGCAGAGCTTTATGATTTAGAAAGAAAACAATGTCCCTTTCAATGTCAGTATTAATCAGTAACCTGACAATTAATAAATACATAGTTTGAGGAACTCGCAATAGAATTTGAGTGCCTCACGATAAGATTCTTTACTCAGAGACAGGATGTAAGCCATCAGTCTTAAGACCTTTTCCAAGCAGTTCATTTGGAAGCCTGTGAAATGTGTCCTGCAGGTTATCAGGGTCTTTTTGCTGAAAAGTTTATTTATTTTTTCTTTTCTTTTTTTTAGAGACAGGGTCTTGCTCTGTTGCCCAGGCTGGAGTGTAGTGGCATGATCATGGCTCAATGCAGCCTCAACCTCCTGGGCTCAAGTGATCCTCCTGCCTCAGCCTCCCAAGTAGCTGGGACCACAGGTGTGTGCCACCAGGCCAGCTAATTTTTAGTTTTCCTTTTTGTAGAGACGGGGTCTCACTATGTTGCCCAGGTTGGTCTTGAACTTCTGGTCTCACGTGATCCTCCTGCCTCGGTTTCCCAAAGTGCAGGAATTACAGATGTAAGCCACAGTGCCCAACCAAAATTTAATGTTTATTTACTTAAGTTTTTTATTTATTCTGTTTCTTAATTATTTATTCTTTTTTTACAGCTGTATACTATCTATTATGTGGCTTTACTATTGATGGACATTTAGGAGGTTTCCAAACTTCTGCTATAATATACAATGCTATAATGGTAACCTTATAAATACATGGAAGTCGAATGTTTAGGTGAATGAGTGCATGCACAGCTTTACTAGACATTACAACACTTCTCTCTATGGAGGCTTTAACAATGGACTCTCCCACGAGCAATGCATCAGCATTATTTCTTCACATGCTTGCCAGTGGATCATACTACAATCTTTTTGACCTTTGGCAATCTGATAAGTGAAAAGTGGCTCCCAGTATAATTTTAATTTGCATCTCTCATATGAGTGAGGGTGAAGAGCCACTTGTATTTCCTTTTTTGTAAACTGCTATTTCAATTGGGTTGTTATTCCTTTTCTTACTGATTTGTAAGAGTTCTTTATCTACTAAATCAATTAGTCTCTTGTCTTCAAAGCCTGTTATGAATATTTCCCCCCAGTTTCTCATTTATCTTGCCTTGTGTATGATGGTTTTTGTCATGCTCATTTTTTAAGTTTTAGTTTTCAGTTTCCTGTCTTACTAGAAAGGTCTTACCACTCTAAAAATGTGTCCAGTGGTTCTTCTTAATACTTCAGTGGTTTCATTTCTCATACTTACGTCTTTGAGGTATTCGAATTTTGGAAGGATCAAGTTTGCTTTTTCCCAGCTGGATACCTAGGTGCCACAATACTTTGTTAATTAAATCATCTGTCCCTTCCACTGATTTGAAATGGCATTTTCATCATATCTAAATGCCCATGTGTATTTGGGTCTATTTCTTGCCTTTCCATTCTGTTCTATTGATTTGTCTGCCTATTCACCTACCTGTACTTAGTAGTATGGTTTAGCATTTTGGTACAACTTATCAATGATATGATGGTGGCCTTTGGATTATAATATTTAACATTTTATTTTAGCAAAGTGTTTGTGTATTTTCATAATTCTAGATGCCTTATGGTCCTTCTAATATCTTCTCTCCAGAGGACTGTATGCTGTTCTTAAGGACTCTCTGCTTCCTGGACAAGCTCAAGCTAAGGTGAGTACCATCTTCTTAAATGCAAGGATCTTAGATTTGAGTCAAGAAGTGTCTGCTGGGAATGATCTGATCACTCCTTGTTCTGTTGGTCAGGTCCATGGGTTTCCCCAGGGGCAGAAACTGTGTCTTCCTAGTATGTTGCACAATTCCTGGTGCAGAGAAACACTCAGTAAATGTGTGTTGAGGATGAACTGATGAATGAGGACATGAACACCTGCCTGCCACAGAAGTCTTTCATGCATGGGTGTTCCTGGAGGCTCCTCTGGCTTCACAGGAAGGGACAGAACTGGGAAATTATTCCTGGGGTCCTGTCCCAGCTCCTTGTCTATTCTTCTGTCCAAGAGAGGAACACAGAGCGAGGAAGGGCAATGAATCCCACTTACCCTTCTCCCATCTCACACACATCCAGAGGCACGATCCTAGCTCACTTCAACCTTGACCTCTGAGCTCAAGTGATCCTCCCTACTCAGCCTCCCGAGTAGCTAGGATTACAGGCACGCACCACCACACCCAGATAATTTTTTGTAGAGACAGGGTCTCACTAAGTTGCCTAAGCTCAGTCTTGAACTTCTGGCCTCAAGGGATCCCCCTACCTTGGGCTCTTTACCAGCATTTTCTTGTATTTCTCCTCATCTTCAATAGCATTCAACTGAAACATCACCCACGTTCATCATCTCTCCCTTTTCTACACCATGGCCTTGAGTAAAGCAAGTGAGATAGCAAGGGAGATACGAATCAGAACAGCTAACCATAACAGCTGACTCTTATATACTGTTTAGCATATGCCAGTTTCGTTTTCCACCAATGTAATAATTGAACACTTAGAACAAGTGGGGATATATATATATATATATATATATATGTATAACACATATATATATAAAACCATATATTATATATATAATCATACCCATTGTACAAGTGAGAAAACTGAGTTAACAGAGAGGTTTAGTAACTTGCCCAGGGCCGTGGAGCTTTTAAATAGATTCAGCGCTAGAGTCCATGCACTTAAACACCATACCTTTCCTTGTAATATGCATGTGCGTGTGTTAACTTCATTGAAGTAAAATATAAAATGCAGAAAAGTGCACAAGTCGAAAGCATACGACTCAGCAGATTTTCATAAAGTGAGCACACCCATGTACTAGCACCCAGATGAAAGAGCAGAGCACTCTCAGCCCTCCAGGAGTTCCAGTCATCTCCCTCCCCAGTCACTGCCCCCTCCTCCCTAAGGTTAACTGCTCTTCTGACGTCTCTCTCCATTCTTCTGGGAGTTTCCTTCCCATCCTATTTTAATCCACTCATATTTTAAGCATCATGGGGTTTGTGGCTAAAGTTAGAAATATTCTATATATTCCATCTTGCAGTAGAGGTGGCAGTGGTTGGGAGAACACATTTCCTAGAGAAGAGAAACAATTGAGGATGGGGGGTTTAGGGGGTACTTGCTTTAGTTTCCCCACATTCTCTTTGCCAGTAAACCTAAGTAAGCTTCAAACCTTGACTCCATCCCCTCCCCACCAGGACTACATCTCCCAGCAGGCTGTGCTCTGACAGCTCTTGGATTTAAATAGGATTCTGGGCTCTGCTCAGAGTCAGGCTGCTGCTCAGCACCCAGGACGGAGAGGAGCAGAGAAGCAGCAGAAGCAGCCAAGAGCTGGAGCCAGACCAGGAACCTGAGCCAGAGCTGGGGTTGAAGCTGGAGCAGCAGCAAAAGCAACAGCAGCTACAGAAGTTGGAACGATGCTGGTCACCTTGGGACTGCTCACCTCCTTCTTCTCGTTCCTGTATATGGTAGCTCCATCCATCAGGTTTGTCTTAATTCAGCAACTCAAACAATCGTTTACAAAGACCTGCACTGGAAGCCGGTTCTCAGCTGCTGAAAGAAGAGAAAGGGAAGGAGGCTGACAGAGGAGAAAGTCAGGGCAGGAAAAGCAGGAAGGAAGGGGGTGTTGTGGATACCATGGTGGAAAACCAGAAGGAAGCATCTGCGGCCGGGCAGAGGTGGGGCTGAGTTCTGGCCCCACCTGAGCTCTGGGGAGAGTTCTACTGCCAGCGGAAGGCTGCATGGATGACTCTGTCAAGTAGCTCAACAAACACCTTAGGTGGGAGTCCTTGCGTTTTCATTTTATTCCTTTGGGTGTCTCTGAAGAACTCGGAGACTCTGTCCCTATTCAGGGTGGCCCTGCTGGCTTGTCATGCTGTTAAGTACCAGGTAGTTTGGGAAAGAAACAAACTCTTCTGCCTTTGAGACTACCCTCAATTAATGTTTTGGGATGGCTTTTTTGCTGTGGGATTTCTAGAGGTGTCAAATAAAAGTGTGTTCTGAGTGGAGAATTTTTAAATTTCTCTTTTTTAATTTTTGCTCTGTCACCCCAGGGTGGAGTGCATTGGTGTAGTCATAGGTCACTGCAGCCTTGAACTCTTGGGCTCAAGCAACCCTCCTGCCTCAGCCTCCCAAGTAGTTGGGAATATAGGCAGGTGCCACTACACCCAGCTACTTTTTAAATTTTTTGTGGAGATGGGGGTCTCACTATGTTGCCCAGGCTGGTCTCAAACTCCTGGGCTTAAGCGACCATCCCACGTTGGCCTCCCAAGATGTTGGGATTACAGGCATGAGCCACTGGGCTCAGCCTAAAAAATTTCTTATGATAAAGGAGGTTAAATGGACCTACCAAGGACAGTGTTATTCTAGGTTCTCCATAGAGATCTGGGTTCAAGTCCCACTTCTGCCACCACTATGTGACATGAACCTCCCTGAGCCTCAGTTTTCTCTACTGTAATGTGGAAATAATACTGGAGAAGTTGAGAGGATTAAAATAAATTACATATGGAAAGTGCCTAGACTAGTAATTGGCAGTCAGATGATGTGCAGGAAATGTTAGTTCTGCCCCTCCGTATTCTGTTTTAGGACCTGTGAAGTCAACTTCATGTAAAAGAGTGCTCTCTGCACAGAGGTCTGAACAAAGGAGGTTTTCTCTCTGTTTGCCATCGGCCAGAATGAAATCTCTAATACAATGGCTGAAAGCCTCGGAAATGACCCACTCCCTAAAACTGGAGAGGCAGCCTAAGATCAGTACCTGTGTATGCCATCCCCCAGAGTGCTAAGAGCAGTACCTGTGTGTGCCACCCCCCACAGAGTGCTGTTCATCAGTTACTCATGATGATGGTTACTGAATATTGACTCCGCTAATGTTTATCATGCATATGTTTTGAATGTAGGTTAGAGGGGAAAGCTTTCCTCTGGAACCTCTAGAGATAAGAGCTAGATGTATTTATTATCTAACAAGGAAAGTCTCCATTGGCCCTGACTCCAGCATTTACTCTGTTTGCTAATATGATTATTTGTGGCTTCTGGGCAAGTGATCTTCCCACCTGCACCGATAAACAGGCGACTACCTTGCCCCATGGAAAAATGTTGTCCTATGAAGGTTAGCTTTTATGAGTCTCCTGACTGCAACTTAAAGATACCCTTCTTTGAGGCTGGATAGAGTTTTTTTTTTTTTTTTTAACGTATCTTAGTGTGAGCTCGTGAAGGATGGTACGTGATGCTCTTGTTTCCCTTGCCGATAGGAAGTTCTTTGCTGGTGGAGTGTGTAGAACAAATGTGCAGCTTCCTGGCAAGGTAGTGGTGATCACTGGCGCCAACACGGGCATTGGCAAGGAGACGGCCAGAGAGCTCGCTAGCCGAGGTAAGTGTTTCCCCTTTAGTCTCCAAAGGGCCATGCCTCCCACCCTTCTTCCCACTGGGGCCTCTGTCCATATTGCTTTGTGTTTCCTCCTAGGCTTGGGGGCTCTGACTAGAAATTCAAGGAACCTGGGATTCAAGTCCAACTGTGACACCAACTTACACTGTGGCCTCCAATAAACTGCTTCTTTCCTATTCCCTCTCTATTAAATAAAATAAGGAAAACGATGTCTGTGTATAGCCAAGTCAGTTATTCTAAAAGGAGATACTAAGTGACATTAAATATCAGAATGTAAAACCTGGGAACCAGGTTCCCAGCCTGGGATTAAACTGACAGCAAGAAGACTGAACAGTACTACTGTGAAAAGCCCGAAGTGGCAATATGTTCACTCTACCGTTGAAGGATGGCTGGGAGAATGAATGCTCTGTCCCCCAGTCCCAAGCTCACTTACTATACCTCCTTTATAGCCTAGGATATGAACATACTGCTCTTTTTTTGTCTTGGACCCAGGAGCCCGAGTCTATATTGCCTGCAGAGATGTACTGAAGGGGGAGTCTGCTGCCAGTGAAATCCGAGTGGATACAAAGAACTCCCAGGTGCTGGTGCGGAAATTGGACCTATCCGACACCAAATCTATCCGAGCCTTTGCTGAGGGCTTTCTGGCAGGTGAGGTCCTGATGGGTAGGTAGAAAAGCAGGAAATTGGGTATGGGAGTGGCTGCTCCACCCTAGACCATCTATGGCCCTTACATCAGAACCATCATCCACCCCACTAGACAGGTTCTGCCACATGAACCAGCAGGACAGGGAATTGGCAAGAGGATGGTGGGTAGATAGACTGGGCAGGATCCTTATCATCTTTTCGCCTCAGCAATGGGAATGTCGGAGGTGTTAGCTCCCTGTCTGGGCTTGCACCTTGGCATCAAGGTGTGGCCACAATGCCACTCTCTTCTTTCATCCTGAGAATCAACCTTGTGTGGCCATAGGCATGAGATGAAGTTGTGCTGCTGGCAAGTTCTTCTGGATCTTGGAAAATGACCAGCTTCTACCACGGACTATGAAATCCATGAGGGACATCCTGGGACCATGTCTGGCTTGTGTTACCACTGGATTCCTAGTGCCCAGCAGAGTGCACCTGGCTCAGAGTCGGTAGTTAGTACACATTTGCTGAATAAATGAATGAACAATGTCCAGGAAGATATGAGTAACTAAAATTACTCATTAGAAACCCAGTGACAATGCTTATTGGATGTCACTGAGATAGGTCCAAATGAAGGATAGTTATTGAGTGCTGAGGCAATACCTTGTTTTAAAAGGAAGGGGCAGAGCAAGTGACTCCTATCAAAATGTTACCCCAACAAAGACAACTAATGAACAAAGGGAAAGGGCAATTATGCAGGTCTGTTACAGGCAGCTAGGGGACTCCTTGCTAACCATAGGATCTCTTTGGTTGTGCCCTATAGAGGAAAAGCAGCTCCATATTCTGATCAACAATGCGGGAGTAATGATGTGTCCATATTCCAAGACAGCTGATGGCTTTGAAACCCACCTGGGAGTCAACCACCTGGGTAAGTATCTTTGGGTGACTAAAAAATGAGGTACACCCACTATCTTTTCTTTAGGAAGATGACACTGTGTAAATGTGGAGAATGTCCAGGGGCCTTCATAGAGCCTAGGAATTCCAATAGACTAGACCCATTGGCTTGTTGTTCACTGTACCTCTCCTGATCAGTCTAAAAAAGTGAGATCTTCCTACCCATACCATTAAGAAGCCCCAAATTTCAGGAAATACCAGGGAGAAGAATGTCATTCTTGGATGGGGCAGTGGCAGTACAAGGCTTGCCAGGCAGGGCCAGACCTGGGGTTATGCAGGCATCTGGGCTTGGCTGGAGGGGTCACATCTACATGATGGCCAACCAAGCCATGGGTTGGTCCACGGAGGTAGGCAATCCTTGAGAACTTGAGTACGAGGCAGGGTGGGGTTCAGCGTTCAAGGCAAAGACTTTAGGGAGGAGAGCATGGAGCATGTTTTCTGATCCTAAGCAAATGTTATCTTCCCTGACTGTTCTATCCTTCTGCCTATACACAAGTGTACCTGGGTCCCTAGTTATGCGATCATGGCCAGAGTGGGAGTTGGAAGCCAGCAGGTGGGTCAAGGGCAGAGGTACAAAGTAATATAATTAAGTATGATTGCCTTACTTGTAGTCTAGCTCTGGCTCTTGCTTTGAGGAATCCACAAACTCAGACCAAACTGACCATTAGAGTTACTCATGGCATCAAAATTGGTTCACACCCAGAAGATAGTGAGCTAACACTGAAGTCCTCTTGGCTCCCACATGCTGAGCCTGGGCTGTCATTCCACTTTCAATCTTCCCTGCTGGCTCTCCTCACAGGCCACTTCCTCCTCACCTACCTGCTCCTGGAGCGGCTAAAGGTGTCTGCCCCTGCACGGGTGGTTAATGTGTCCTCGGTGGCTCACCACATTGGCAAGATTCCCTTCCACGACCTCCAGAGCGAGAAGCGCTACAGCAGGGGTTTTGCCTATTGCCACAGCAAGCTGGCCAATGTGCTTTTTACTCGTGAGCTGGCCAAGAGGCTCCAAGGTAAGTCTGGAGAAAGAGGAATAGCAAAAATGGTCCTCAGACCAAATTAGAGGTCCACAGCAACTTGGGAAGTCAGGCTGTCAAACATGCACGTGTCAGTAATATCTCTGTGGACTAAGGAGAATGAAATTATGAATGGAATAAAAACAGAGTGCTTGCCCCCAGGGAGCTTAAAATCAAATAGGGGTTAAGAACCTCAAAAAGTTACCTTGTATTTGTGTCACATCTTATCTCTTATCTCATTTGATTTTCACAGTAGCTTTTTGCAACAGACAGAGGCTTTTTGTTTTTTTTGTTTTTTTTTTTTTGAGACTTGAGTTTCGCTCTTGTCGCCCAGGCTGGAGTGCAGTAGTGCGATCTTGGCTCACTGCGACCTCTGCCTCCTGGGTTCAAGTGATTCTCCTGCATCAGCCTCTTGAGTAGTTGGGATTACAAGCACGCAATATCACGCCTGGCTAATTTTGTATTTTTAGAAGAGACGAGCTTTCACCATGTTGTCCAGGTTGGTCTCAAACTCCTGACCTCAGGTGATCTGGCAGAAGAGGCCTTTGGTAACAGGTATTATTACTCCTAGTTTATAGAGCAGAGCTGAGGTCCAAGGAAATGGCCAGCTAAAGAGTATATGGCAGGTGAGGGCATCAGAACCGGAATGTGGGTGCTCAGCTTTAAACCTAGGGTGCTTCCTTCTGGGTGCCATTTGCTGAGGTCCACATGGTGATCTGAGCTACAGAGCTGCCACTGCCTGGACTCAGGGAGTTAGGGCTGGATTTCAGACCCCTGGGTCCAAGTTCTTGCTCTACCACATGCTAGCCGCATGTGGATGTGGATGTGGATGTGCCCCTTTAACCTCCCCTGACTTCATCTTCTCAGCTGTAAAATCAGGTCAGGCTGGTTCTTATTCCTTAATGATTCTGTGCTCTCCTGGAGCACTGGGTGAGCTGCTGGCTCTGACATCTGCGGATCTAGGGGTCCATTTGTTACAGTGAATAAGCCAGAGTTTGGGAACAATGATCTTCACTTCCAGAATGCCTACAGTAGAAGAAGACGGTAATCATAAAAATAAACAATAACTATTACAATAATAATTGAGAGGTTTATGTGTGCCATGTACTACACATCTTAACTCATTTAATACTTGCAACATTCCTGTGAGGTGGGTGCTATTATTTTCCCCCACTCTAAATATGAAAAGACAGGCACTGACAGATTAAGAAATTTGCCCAAGGAAGGTTCCTAGCTGAGCCAGGATTCAAATGCAGACAGTCCATTCCATGTTTTTAACTTTACATCAGAGTTCAGACCTTGGCCCTGCACCCTGCCAGGTATAACCTTAGGCAATTTACTTAAACTTTCTGTGACTTAGTTTTCTTTGTTGTAAATGGGTATCATAACATAATATTCTATTTTACAAGCCTCTTTAAGAATTAAATGAAATAATACATTTAAAGCATGTTGTATGGCCCTGGCACATAATTGGTACTGAAAAATAGTGACCGCACCAGGGATATCTTGTGGGGGGGGGGTGTTAATCCCCCACAATCTGCATCACCATCCCTCAATCTATACCTCATGAAATGTGCTTGCCAGGCAAATGCAGCTCAAAATAAAGTCCTACCCACCACCTTCCAATCAGATCGCTACCCCTAAACTCCTCCTTTAGAAATGATAAAGATACCACTGTCAATGATTGATACTACTCACTACATGTTGTCATGTTTATTAGTAGTACTAAAGCCACAGTATAAAAACGACATTGAAATAGAAGGACCTCGAACCAGGCACTCCTTTTGGAACATAGAAGGCTGAGAAGGCTATAGATCTTTCTGAAAGATCAATTCATTCCTGTTCAAATTCCGCCTGGCCAGGAGTGGTACCTGCTGAATCCTGGGGTTATGTTTCCTGAGTCCCTCCTTCTCACTTGTGTATTTTGCTGCAGGAGATAAGCTGTTTTCCTGGGCTCAGAGTGTGTCCCTGATCTAATTGTGCCCTCTTTGTCCCAGGCACCGGGGTCACCACCTACGCAGTGCACCCAGGCGTCGTCCGCTCTGAGCTGGTCCGGCACTCCTCCCTGCTCTGCCTGCTCTGGCGGCTCTTCTCCCCCTTTGTCAAGACGGCACGGGAGGGGGCGCAGACCAGCCTGCACTGCGCCCTGGCTGAGGGCCTGGAGCCCCTGAGTGGCAAGTACTTCAGGTGTGTGAAGGCAATGCGGTTCTCTCCACCACCTGTGTGCATGGGAGGTGCCGGACTCGCTGGGCTGTTCATCCTGAGAAGCTGAGTTTGTGCCTGATGATGCAATCCAGGTTTGGGTTGGGCCTGCAAACAGAATGCCGTTGCTTTGTTAAGGAAACTTACAGTACAAACTTATGTGTTGGGAAGAGTTGCTTTTCTGGCTTTATTTTATACTCGTGTGCCGCTTTTCCATGAAAACTTTGCAGCTTTCTGAAAGCTTTTAAAGAAGACTGTCGCTGTTGGTTATGCCATGGAGATCTGGATCGTTTTTCTCCTTCTTTAAGCTTTTGGCTCACTTGATTCATGAATTTTTAAATACCAATTAGCACAAAGTGCTAGGGGAACGTCCTCTCTCTTCGGTGTGAACTCTGTCCCTCAATGCTGCCAAGATTGGCACTATCTGTTGAAATATAGAAGTAGAAATTTTAGTGCTGAATCTTATCATGAACTCAATGAGCAACTAGAGTCTGGGAGTAAAGGGAAGCCCAGGGTGAAATCTCTTTCCCATTCCATGACAGAATCCAGCCCTGTCTGCTCTGTTGTCCCGCTTTGTTCAAGGCTTTTCATCAGTGCAGTATTTATTCCGTGAAGCACTGGAAATAGTCTTAGTGTCTGATGAGAGGGGAATGGATAAGTGATAATAGCTAATGTTGCTTGAGTTTTTATAATGTGTTTGGTACTCAGTTCTGAGTGTGTAATGTGTATTAATTCATATAATCATCACAACCCTGCGAGGCAGGTAATATTACCCCAAGTTTTCACATGAAACTGAGGCGCAAGATAATTAAGAAACTTGCTCAAAGTCATATAGCTTATAAGTGGTAGATCTGGGATTTACGCCCTGGCAATCTGGCTCTAGAGCTGTGCCATTCAGTATGGTAGCCACTAGCCACATGTTGCTATTGAGCACTTGAAATATGGCTAGTCCAGATTGAGATGCACTGTAAGTGTACAGTGCATACCAGATTTTTGAAGACATACAGGTTGAGCATCACAAATCTGAAAATTCGGAGTCCGGAATATTTCAGTAAGCATTTCCTTTGAGTTGCATGTTGCTGCTAAAAATGTTTTGGATTTCAGAGTATTTCGGGTTTTAGATTTTTGGGGTTTGAGATGCTCAGCTGGTAAGTACAATGCAAATATTTCATAATTCAAATAAATGTAAAATCCTAAATACTTCTGATCCCAAGCATTTTTTTTTGAGATGGATTTTCACTCTTGTCACTCAGGCTGGAGGGCAATGGCTTGATCTTGGCTCACTGCAACTTCAGCCTCCTGGGTTCAAGCGATTCTCCTGACTCAGCCTCCTGAGTAGCTGGGATTACAGGTGCCCGCCACCACACCTGACTAGTTTTTGTATTTTTAGTCGAGATGGGCTTTCACCATGTTGGCCAGGCTGGTCTTGAACTCCTGACGTCAGTTGATCCACCTGCCTTGGCCTCCTAAAGTGCTGGGATTACAGGCGTGAGCCACCGCGCCCAGCCCCAAGCATTTCTGATAAGGGATGCTCAACCTATAGTATAAAAAAAGAAGTGTAAGTTATCTCATTTTATATTTTTAAATGAGATAAAAGATATCTCATTTTTTATATTGATTGCATGCTAAAATGATTTTGCTATTTGTGGGTTAAATAAAGTACATATTTATTAACTCAATAAATGAATGTGTAATTAAATGTTACTAAATAAATTTCACCAATTTCTTTTTACATTTTAAATGTAGCTGCTAGAAAATTCAAAATGACATATGTGGCTCACAATTGTGTTTCTCATCATATTTCTTTCTTTCTTTTTTTTTTTTTTTTTTTTTTTTGGAGACATAGTCTCACTCTGTTGCCCAGGCTGGAGTGCAATGGCATGATCTTGGCTCACTGCAACCTCCACCTCCTGGGTTCAAGGGATCCTCCTGCCTCAGCCTCCCGAGTAGCTGGGATTACAGGTGCATGCCACGACGCCCAGCTAGTTTTTGTATTTCTAGTAGAGATGGAGTTTTGCCATGTTGACCAGGCTGGTCTTGAACTCCTGACCTCAAGTGATCCGCCCACCTCAGCCTCCCAAAGTGCTGGGATTGCAGGCGTGAGCCACTGCGCCTGGTCTTCCCATCATATTTCTATTGGACAGTTGCTACTCTAGAGTCTGAGTGTTTAACATTGCTGCCTTAAATATGTAATAAAATATACAGTCATTAAATATCATATTTTAATATAATATGTAATTAATATAAAAATGTTAGTGATATAATGTTGTAAGGAAAAAACTGGAATACAAAACTATATGATTTTTTATACATAGAGAACAGTCTGGAGGGATAACCAGCCACTGGGCAGTAGTGGTTACTTCCAGGGAGTTTTAGGGAGAGCCAAGCAGAGTGTGAAGGATGATTTTTATCTTTTTATTCTAGGTGTTTTTTTATTATTTAAAAATTTTGCCAGGTGCAGTGGCTCATGCATGTAATCCCAGCACTTTGGGAGGCTGAGGTGGGTGGATCACTTGAGGTCAGGAGTTGAGACCAGCCTGGCCAACGTGGTGTAACCCCATCTCTACTAAAAATACAAAAAATTAGCTGATCATGTTGGTGGGTGCCTGTAATCCCAGCCACTCAGGAGGCTGAGGCAGGAGAATCACTTGAACCTGGGAGGCGGAGGCTGCAGTAAGCCGAGATCACTCCACTGCACTCCAGCCTGGGCGACAGAATGAGACTCTGTCTCAAAAAAAAAAAAAAAAAAAAAAATTTAAGGCTGGGTGTGGCGGCTCATGCCTGTAGTCCCAGTACTTTGGGAGGCCAAGGCAGGAGGATTGCTTGAGCTCGGGAATTCCATACCAGCCTGGACAACAAAGTGAGACCCCCATCTCTACTAAAAATCAAAAAATTAGCCCAGCATTGTGGTGCATGCCTGTAGTCCCAGCTACTCGGGAGGCTAAGGTGGGAGGATGGCTTCAGCCTGGGAGGTCAAGGCTGCATGATAGTGCCACTGCACTCCAGCCTGGGTGATGAAGTGAGACCCTATCTCAAAAAAAAAAAAAAAATCCTCCTCAAACTAGATACAGTATGATCCCGGTTTTATGTAAGAGAGAAAGAGAGAGAGAGACTATATCTCTATTTATATCCAAACAAAGCAAAAAAAAAAAAAAGACTGTACAGAAAGCAACTAAATGATAGACTTTTCTTTTTTTTGAGACGGAGTTTCGGTCTTGTCGCCCAGGCTGGATTTCAGTGGCGTGATCTCCACTCACTGCAACCTCTGCCTCCTGGGTTCAAGCCATTCTCCTGCATCAGCCTCCCAAGTAGCTGGGATTACGGGTGCCCACCACCACACCCGGCTAATTGTTTTTTGTATTTTTAGTAGAGGCAGGGTTTCGCCTTGTTGGCCAGGCTGCTCTTGAACTCCTGACCTCAGGTGATCCACCCACCTCAGCCTCCCAAAGTCCTGGGATTACAGGTGTGAGCCACCGTGCCCAGCCGTGATAGGCTTTTCTTCTTTTATCAGCACTGCATGTTCCGAATGTTTTACAGGACTTTTATAATTAGAAAAAAGGAACATTAAAAACAAAAAACATGGGGGGAGCGGGGAGGGATAGCATTAGGAGATATACCTAATGCTAAATGACGAGTTCATGGGTGCAGCACACCAACATGGCACATGTATACATATGTAACAAACCTGCACGTTGTGCACATGTACCCTAAAACTTAAAGTATAATAATAATAAAATTAAAAAAAACAAAAAAAAACATGATGAGAACTGTGTTCTGCTCCCACCCCCTATCCCTCTAGTCCTCAGGGCCCCTGCTCATTCCAAAGCAAATCTGGAGGGCTTGGTCTGGGGTTCATGGTATGCAAGTGCATCTGTCCCCAGAATTCAAGAGGCCTGTGAACTTGGATGGGAAAATAACTTCATCTTTAATTTAACCTCCAACTGAGATTTGGCATTTTCTTCAATTACGAATGTAGGCACTGAACTGTAGTAGTAGTAGTGATACCTGTGACTTTGTCACCAATAGAATTATAAATATTTTTATATCACATTGCAGTTGTTGCAGATATCCTAGAATGTCACTTCTGCTCGCCACTACTTTGAAATCCTTTGATTATTAGACCTGGTACTAGATCTTGTTATAGAATATATTAATAAATAAGCCTGTGTATTACTATATCACAAATTTGTTTTTAAAATATTTTTGGAGTGCATTTTGTATAATTAGTTTCTTTGAGTCTGGCATATATTGTATTTTATTCATTTAGAAACATTCTGAGAAAGGGACCATAAAGATTTCCAGACTGCTAATTCTCATTCCTGGAATTTACTGTCTTTCTCTGCCCTCCAGTGACTGCAAGAGGACCTGGGTGTCTCCAAGGGCCCGAAATAACAAAACAGCTGAGCGCCTATGGAATGTCAGCTGTGAGCTTCTAGGAATCCGGTGGGAGTAGCTGGTGGAAGAGCTGCAGCTTTATCAGGCCCAATCCATGCCATAATGAACAGGGACCAAGGAGAAGGCCAACCCTAAAGGATTGTCCTCTTGGCCAGCTGGTGCTGCGAATCCTGCCTGCTCTGATCCTCTTGACCCTTCTGGGAATGTTTGCACACCTGACACTCTTGTGAGACTGGCTTATGGCATGAGTTGTGGACACCTATAGAGTGTTCTTCTCTAAGACCTGGAAAGTCAGCAACCCTCTGGGGGCAGCAGGACTGGGCAGATCCCAGGCTGGGCATGGGGGTGGCAGAAGAGCCCGAGAAATTGGGTCAGTTCCCTCATCAGCACCAGAGGCTCAGCTGAGGCAAGAAGAGCACCATCACTGCCTATTTCTAGGGGCTATACACTCCAACTCTTGGTTGATCTCTTTCTTTTTAAAAATATTTGCCACCACCCTGGAGTCTAGACCAACACACAAAGATCCTGGCTAACCCTGGCCTATTTAGATTCCTTCCTCTCACCTGGACCTTCCCATTTCAATCATGCAGATGGTTTCTTTTTGTAAAGAGTTCCGTTTGCCTTTCAATTTTTAGAGAAAATAAAGACTGCATTCATCTCATTGTCTTATTTATTTTCTCAGGGCAGCAAGGGAGAGAAATGGAACAAATCAGGAAACCAGCCTGCTAGTTTAGTGAGTAGCATTTCACCCTACCCAGCCACGGGAATTGGGAATAGCAAGGGAGCAGGCCTAGGCCTAGAACTCAGGGCAAAGACAGCAGCTGGAATGTAAGATCCTCAGAGTGTGTAGCTGCTGGGAGGAATCCATCTGAGTTAGGCAGACAGAGAAAAAGCAGTTTCAGTGAGAATCTGGCACCCAAAAGGAAAGGATTTTACTCCCCCATGGCCTAACTGCCTTAGGAAATTTGAGTGCTGACGGAGACACTCTTCCCCTTGAGTTTTAGGAAAGGGGTGCTATTCTCTGCGTTATCCCCATCTCCTTCCTTCCTGAAGGAGGCTCCACTTGCAGAATGCATCATTTCCTGCCGCCCTCAGCAAGGATCACAGCTTGGCCAGCTCACAGTGGTACAGGGCTGGGAGTGGATACTCCTAACTGCAATGCTGTACTGCCTCTCATTTAAAGACATTTTGTTAAATATCTGGCTAGAGAAAATATTTTAAATCTGAAAGTTTCCATCATATCCCAGATTATTAGATGCACTTACAACCAACAGCAAATGACACCAAATATCGGGAAGCTGAGCAGCAAAGAATGCAAAAGAAAACAATGATAGGCATGGGTGTTGATTCGACATGTTGTTGGCATTTTCAGAATATTAAGCCACAGTCGTTCCCCTTGTTCAGATTCCAGACTCCATCATTTCTCGTGGTGTTCAGGTGCTCCCACGAGACACAGCCTCCCTCAGCACTACTCCTTCAGAATCGCCTCGTGCTCAGGCTACATCTCACCTCTCTGTAGTGTCTCGCCCGACACCAAAAGGACCATCTAGTCTGCTCAGCCTGGGCAAGGAACATGTGCCAGTCTTGGCCTCTTGTCATGTTTCCAGAAAAGACTTGCCGCAAGTTAACATCTGAGCAAGTGAAAGGCCTTGGCTCTGCACAAACAATGCCGGGGGATTGGTGGCCGAGACACCGTTCGACCTTCCCATCTTGGCTCCCTGAAATCCCCTGCAACCTTCGGGGCTGTTTTTCCGCTATTGACTTGTGCTTGGATATGGATATGGCTTCCTGCCTTGGCAGAGTGCCCCTCAACATACAGGAAACAAGATCCTGGATGAGAAGGGCTCAGGGATTTCAGTTGTTCCAGACTTCCCTCCTAGGTGCTTCTCTAACTGCCCCAGTTCCACTGCCTTCACTATTCCTGGCTTCTCTTAGCCTCTGACACCCTTAGCTAATCTAGCCTGGGGTGGAAAATCTTTTTCTTTTGGCTCAGCTGAGACTGTCCTAATTTCCTAAAAATAACACTTCAATGGGAAACTAAAGGAAAAGGAAATCAAAGAGACATATGAAACTCAAGAAACAAACAGTTTCAGAGCACCGATTTCCTAGGTGGTGACTAGCTGCCACAGATTACCTTGGGTGGCACTTGGCCCTTGTCCAACTCAACTTCGTATACAATGTTGCCATGCGTCCCAAGCTCAGGAGGATATACCTTGTGTATTTGGTCTCTTTTAGTTATAAGATGGACACTCAGTTTGAGCAAGCTTAAGTCCCAAACCATGCAATATTTTGCTCATAAACTCAAGGAAGGGTTGAAACTGGAAAGTGGGAATGGGCAGAGATGTATCTTAGAAATAACTAGAACTCAAGCGCCAAGCAACACCAGACTCCTCTCCCTCTACCATTGAAGAGTTCCTGCAGCCATTTCCTATTTTTAGAATTTAAAAAATTCCAGGTTTGGCTTGGGTCAAATGCTCACTGTGAAGCATTCAACTGTAGTTGGGTATTGGGTATTGAAACGTCTCTTCTACGGCTATCATATTCTCATATATGCTATTTTGATATCGCTATCATATTTTCATATTGTAGAAGAGGCATTTCAAATCAGTCAGAAAAACATAGACAATGTCATAAGTGGTGCTGGACAAATAACTATCCAAATGAAACATAAAGTTAGATTCTTTGCCTCACACCATGCATACAAATGAGTACTATGTGGACTAAAAGGCAAAAAAAGTTGTGAAAATATTAGAAAAAAATATAGAAGAATATCTTTATGCCCTTGGAAGAGGGATAGCATTCTTAAGACATGAAAAGCAAAAAGCATATGGGAAAAGAGGAATACATCCAAAAAGCATACCTCAAACAAAGTTCAAAGTCAAGTGATAATGGTGAACATATTTGAAATTGTTTTACGTTATGTATTCTAGAAAACGGACTTCGAGATACAGACATTTGCACACAGCAAATTTATTAGGAGGACTGTTAGGATTGGTATCTATAGGGGAGTGAGAGAAGCGGGACAGGGCAGAGGGTGAAGTTGATCTGCGATGCAGTCACACTAAAGGGTTAGGTGATCCTGTTCCACAGAGAGCTCTGGAGCTGAGCTGTCTTGAATTGAGGAAAGGAGGTTGGTCTTTAAACACCCGCAGTGACCAGTAATTGGGTGTGGGCAGCTTCCAGGGAGGGGGCATGACCTGGGTGAGGGCAAGTTCTAGATAAAAACTCAGCTGAGAGTTGGCAGCTGTGTACATTTCCAGCATCTGGGAGAATAAGTGCTTCATTTCTTTTTCTTTTCTTTTTTTTTTTTTTTTTTTCGGTAGAGACAAGGTCTCTCTCTGTTGCCCATGCTGGCCTTGAATTCCTGGGCTCAAGCAATCTTCCTGTCTTGGCCTATCAAAGTGCTGGGATTACAAGCATGAGCCACTATGCCTAGCTGTATGCTTCATTTCTAAAGGGAGTATATTAGTCTATTCTCACACTGCTATAAAGATCCTACCCAAGACCGGGTAATTTATAAAGAAAAGAGGTTTAATTGGCTCATACTTCCACATGGCCGGGGAGGCCTCAGGAAACTTACAATCATGGTGGAAGGTGAAAGGGAAGCAAGGCACATCTTCATAAGGTGGCAGGAGAGAGAGAGAGTGCAGGGGAAACTGCCACTTTTAAAACCATCAGGTCTCATGAGAACTCTCTCACTATCACGAGAAGACAATGGGGGAAACCACCCTCATGATTCAGTCAACTCCCACCAGGTCCCTCCCTCAACACATGGGGATTACAATTTGAGATGAGATTTGGGTGGGGACACAGAACCAAACCATAGGAGGGAATCTGGGTGGTGCAACACAGCATCTGCTGCAGATGTATATGTATATATGACCTATCTTATATTTACATAGATAATATGTATCACACAAAAGAGTAGTACCCATATTTTTATTCATTTTTCTTTCGACTTGGGGTCTCGCTTTATTGCCCAGGCTGATCTCAAACTCCTGGACTCAAGTGATCCTCCCACCTTGGCCTCCCAAAGTGCTGGGCTTACAGGTGTGAGTCACCACTCTCAACTTATTATCATATAAAGAACTTCTACTTCTCAATAAGAACAAGACACAGAACCCAACAGAGAACTTTGCAAAAGTTATAAATAGGAAATTTTCAGAAGAAACGCAAATGGCCAATGTACCTAAGTCAAGATATTTAACCTGACCAGTGATCAGAGAACTGCAAATTAAAACAAGATGCCATTATACCATTTTAAACCATCACATTGTCAAAAATTTGAAAGCTTAGCAAATATTGGCAAAAATATAGAAAAATAGATATTTTTATACACTGCTGCTATGAGTGGAAGAAATGGTGGAGCCATTTCTACCAGCAATTCAGCTTCTTAATATCTGCAGTAACATTAGCCTATGTATGTAAAGAGGAGGCATTGTTCATATTAGCAAAAAAATGGAAATAGCCTAAAAGTCCATCAGTTGGCGAAAAACTAATCTGTGGTATGATTATACAATCTGACATGATTATATAATAATTATATACTAATATACTTATATATACTAATATACTTATAAATATATACTTATAAAATATATACTTATAGAAATATACTTATATACTTATAAATAATTATATACTAATCTCTGTATGATTATATGATGAAATAATTATTTTGGAGTAGTTATTCCAAAAATCATTATATTAAAAAAATAATTATACACGTATATACTTGGATAAATCATACTGAATTTCAGAATGATGTGTTCTGTGTAGTAAGACTTATATTTTGAAATTACACACATGTAATATATATTTTCTATGAGTACATATATAGGTATGTAAAAGCACAGAAAAAGATATAAAACAATATAATGAATGTGTAAGAGAGGTTATCCTGGGGAAGGATTAATGGGAAATGATTTTTCAATTTTTTAAAAGCAGAATATTCTTATATCTTACTTGAAAATTAAACATTAATAACTTCAGCAGACACTGTTAGCTGTCACCCAGTAGTCATTCCCTACTCTGACTTTGTTCCAGTGTCTACCTCTGCTTTCTGTGAATGATTAACTGATCGCAGTTGTTCTCAACTCTGGCTGTGTATTTTTAAATATTTAAGATGCCAAAGTCCAGGCCTCCCCACAGAGATCCATATTCAATTGTTCTCGCCTTGGGAAAATGTTTTTGAAAGCAACCCAGGTGATTCTGATGGGCTGCCAGGGCTGTGAACCACTGGCCCAAGGCAACCGTGCGGATCACATTTTTTTGCAAGTGACGGTGATGGAAAAGTCACGTGGCTCAATCATGGCCGGTGGGATGTGGAAGGAGCCTCTTTGGTAGCTTCTAGGAAAGGCTTCCTCATTGGTTAAAACATGAGGCACAGGAAGAAATTTTCTGTCTTGTGTTGGATGCTGTCATGGCTAAACATGACACCTGAATCTGCCACAATCATCTTGAGACCATGAGTGAAGCTGGCTGGCCCAAAAACTAGCGCACACGCCGAGGGTGGTGAAAGGAAAGATAGAGAGAATCTGGGTTGCTGATGACGTGGTGGTGAGTCACTGAATTAACCAAGACTGGAGCTGTGCTCCCTTGGGACTTCTTGTTACACAACATAATAAATTGACCTTATTAAGTCTGTGTCCTACTGATGCTATCGTATTATGTTGAACCCTATAAAGTTGCTGACATTCTACCATTTTTAACCTACTTTTTAATTTTTTTTTTTACTTTTTTTTCTTACCATTACTGCTAGTCCAAGGCAGATATCTTCCTGACCTACTTTTATCACCCTCAATTTCCTCATCTGCCAAGTGAATATTTGACAACTTTTTCATTACATTTTTCTCCACCCCCAAGTTCTGTCATCTTCCATTGATTTCTGAATATGACAGATATCCATGGAGAAAACTGACCTAATATCCTAGCACAGAGAATCCTAATAGTCCTGGCACACCCTTACAGGTGTTCACCCAAGTTTTAATCTATATGTACAATCTATTTTTTCTACATATGGATATATAATCTATATTAGCCAAAATGATCAGCTAAGAAAATCTCAAGAGAGGAGGTACAACTTGCTCTGATAGGAGGAGATTAATTATTGTAACAAACAATGTTAACTTTAGTGGTACAATATAATAAAAGTTTATTTCTCGCTCATGTCACATTCCACTGCAGGAATGGGGGTGGGAGGGTGGTTCTGCTCCCCATGGCCAAGAAAAAAATCAATGGTTCCATTATTTCCCAGGACCTCAGTGTTCTCTATTGGATCCCCTGTATCCAGCTGCCAGATGATGCAAAAGAGTGCATCCAACTATATCCAGCTATTCCATTTCTGGGCCAGGGATGTACAGTAATAAAAGCCCACAAAATTTTTTTTTCCTGTTTTCATCTTAATAAAATCACTATGTTGTTATAGTCATCTAATAATTTATGTTCCAATGACAGCAGTTACTTAAAGGATTAAACCAATATAATTGTATTGAAAGTATACACAATTTAATATATTCTCATAAAAATGGAAATCAAAGAAATGCAAAAAAAATTATTTAAAAAATGTTTTAGATTATTTTTCTTTTAAAATATTTAAATTATCTATTATAATTAAAAGACAAATTATAATTTTGAGTATCAACATTTTAAATCCAAATTATTTAAATAATGTGGAATATTTTTATTTTTTGAAAATTTAGTTAATTTTATGATTTTTGTAAAATAAAACAATTCACAATTCTGAAGTTCATTGTCCATTTAGTTGCTAATGTAAACAATGGATATCATACTTCATGCATGTTTCCTTTACACCTATACACCTACCAGTTTAAAAGTGCCAGGCACTGTGGCTCATGCCTGTAATCCCAGCACTTTGGGAGGCCAAGGCGGGTGGATCACGAGATCAGGAGTTCGAGACCAGCCTGGCCAAGATGGTGAAACCCCTATCTCTACTAAAAATAAAAAAATTAGCCGGGCGCAGTGGCAGGCGCCTGTAATCCCAGCTACTCAGGAGACTGAGGCAGGAGAATCATTTGAACCTAGCGGGGCAGAAGTTGCAGTGAGCCGAGATCACACCACTGCACTCCAGCTTGGGTGACAGAGTAAGACTCTGTCTCAAAAAAAAAAAAGTAATATGAATTGTTTAATATTGCAAATTTTTAAAGACTCCATAGACAAATGTTGCAAACACACATTGGAATATGAAGAAGGACAAGAATATAGACCCTCGACTACTGAAAATGATACCCGTTTTAATGCAAGTATTTATTATACTCATGCTGGGGAAGAATTTGACAAGTTAATGAATTTGTCTTTTCTCTTCCCCAACTGCTTCTTTTATTCCAATCCTCCCTATGCTCAGAAGCAGAAGCATAATCTGCACACCTTCAAAGCCTTTGAATGCAGTTAAGTAGAGTTTTCCTGGCACCTAAACAGTGTTAATCATGAGAGTAAATGTTTAGGGTATCAGGTTATGTTATGTCAGCACTGAGTTCCAGAGCCTTATGTATTTGTAAATACACTTATTATTTTCTTGTGCATTCTGGTGAAATATAAGGCTTTTAAAGTGGCTGGCCAAGGGAAGGAGCCCTTCTTGCCTGGGTCTAAGGGCAATACTATTCATGTAGTTCATATTCATGTAGTTCATATTCATGTAGTCCTCACATGTCCACTGGGGGCCTAACCCTAGGAATTCTCAGAGAAGAGGGACCTTTGATGTGCCAGATAGAAATATGGTAGATGCCAGGCCCTAACTAGCATCTACCATAGACGTTTAATGTCAATCTGGCATAAAAGATCAAGTGTTTATTGAACATATGAGAATTCTGCCTTATAAAGTATTTGAGAAAGTGTGATTAAACAGTAAATAACTCACCTCAAATAACAACATGGTACTGAAGGAAGACCAAGTGAATGGTGTGATAACTGTAATACACATGGGTTGCCCAAAGCACTACTATTTGAAAACGTGACACATATTCACTCAGACTCAGTTCCCTGACCTTCTCCTAATCACTGACTCCTAATCACTGCCTTCTACTCTTCTTCAGTCCTCAATTCCCATGACAAAGACTACACCTCCATCACATGAACTTTCTGCTCTCCAGATAACTTTTAACATCCTACTCTAGCCACAACCTCCTACTCCTCCAACTTTCTTCCTTGCTGATTCACTTGCCCCATTATCATCCCTGTCTAGTGAAGAACAAGCGCCCACGGAGCGGTCCATCTCTCTGATTTCTATATACCAAGAGTATGGCTGGAGAAAATCACTCAGTCTCACAGATTGGAGCTTCCATGAATCACTGGTCACCAACATCAACTGGGGTTTCCATTATGCTAAATAAACCAGACACAAAAGGACAAATACTGTATGATTCCACTTGCCTGAGGTACCTAGAGTAGTCACATTCACAGACAAAAAGTATAGTAGAGGTTACCAGGGACTGTGAGGAGGGGTAAATGGGGAATTAGTGTTCAATGGGTGCAGAGTTTCAGTTGGAGGATGAAAAAGTTCTGGAGATGGATGTTGGTGATGGTTGCACAACAATGCAAATGTACTTAATGCCACTGAAGTGTACACTTAAAAATGGTTAAAATGTTAAATTTTATGTCATGTATATTTTAGCATAATAAAAAATCTTTCAAGTCTTTCAAGGATCCTAGGCTCTGTATCTGCTTAGATTCTCCATACCTCAATATTATAGAGAAGTCCTTTGATTCTTCTAGAATTATTATTTGTTCATATGGAGTTGGTAGAAGGTGCAACTCTAGGATGAATGTTTGAGATGAAGAGTCTTCTGCAACAGTCAGGGGAGGAGGTGATAATGATCTGAACTACAGTGATGAAGTGGAAGGGACAGGTTCTTCTGGCTGGGAAGGTAGGATGATAGGATTTGGCTTTGGACATAGCTTGGACATAGCTTGATGCATGGCAGGTACTTGAATGTTTTCAAATGAGGAGGTGGGGGAAAAAACAGTCAGCACAGAGTTCCTTCCTTCCTTCCTTCTTCCCTTCCTTCCTTCCTTTCTTCTTTCTTCTTCTTCTTTTTTTTTTTTTTTTTTTGTTTCAGGGTCTTACTCTGTCTCCCAGGCTGGAATGCAGTGGCACAACCTTGGATCATGGCAGCCTCTAACTCCTGGGCTCAAGCGATCCTCCCACCTCAGCCTCCCGAGTAGCTGGTACTACAGGTGCCCACCACTATGCCTGGCTAATTTTCTTATTTTTTGTAGTGAGGGTCTCATTATGTTGGCCAGGCTGGTCTCGAACTCCTGGGCTCAAGTGATCCTTCCACCTCAGCCTTCCAAAGTGTTGGGTTATAGGCATGAGCCACTGTGCCTGGCCGGCACAGAGGTTCTAACCAGGCAGCATGCACAATAGTAATAACAACACTCCTTAATACTATATATTAACAGCTGGGTGTGGTGGCTCACACCTGTAATCCCAGCACCTTGGGAGGCCAAGATGGGCCGATTGCTTGAGCTCAGGAGTTTGAGACCAGCCTGAGCAACATGGTGAACAAACCCTGTCTCTACAAAAAATACAAAAAGTAGCCCAGCCTTGTTGTGCACACCTGTAGCCTCAGCTACTCAGGAGGCTGAGGTGGGAGGATGGCTTGAGCCCAGGAGGCAGAGGTTGCAGTGAGCTGTGATCACACCACTGCATTCCAGCCTGAGGGACAGAGCCAGACCCTGTCTCAGTATAATAATAAAATAAAATAAAATAAAATAAAATAAAATAAAATAAAATAAAATAAAATAAAATAAAGCAAAACTATATATTCACTGAAGAAGGAAGTTCAGGTTTGTGGGTAGAATTGAATGCATTCCATTTTGGACATGCTAATATTTTTAGGTGCATGTCAGCCTTGGGGTGAGTTCCAGGAGGTAGTCAAAAGGCAGATCTGGTGTGGGAAAGAGTTAAGGGGGGCAGTCAAGATGACTGCTGAAGCTAAGGGATTGTATGGGAGAGTATGAGTGTCAAGAGGGAATAGCTAGAACCTTGAGGAATTTGTCTTTAAGTGGGATGAAGAGAAAGCATAGGCAGAGAAGTGAATAATCTGTACAGGAGATGGCACTCGATGCAGGACTGAGGGAAGAGGTTTGACAATGGTAGACTTGAGGGTAGGGTAGAGGAGGTGCTGAAGGAAGGGCTCCAAGAAGAAATAACAACATGCAGAATTAGCGAGCAGGAAAGCATTCCACCAAAGAAGCCATTCAGTGACCAGACATCGAATGAATTTGTTGTGGAAGAACTAAACATTTCAAGGATAGGTCAGTCAACATTATCACTGTGGAATAAGAGATGAAGGCCAGGAAAAGGCCATTTCCTCTGGGGTTACTGTGGCTATCGATATTTGGTTGCTTGGGTATTCAAAGAGTCTAATAGCCTTTGATCTACTTTGCTTAAGCTCCAGCCAAAGATATCTGGTAACCTTGGAGTGTCTCAGGTTTCTAAATATAGCAGTCATCTATCCTAGGTTTAGAGTGGGTGTTCCAACTTTCTCTGTTGTGACATATCTTTGTGCTACGTCTACTACCAGGTGGTTTTCAGGTCTACTTTAATCATTACTGTTGTTTGTTTTTAGATCTTTTTTAATTTTTAAATTTATTTATTATTTATTTTACTTTAAGTTCTGAGATACATGTGCAGAATGTGCAGGTTTGTTACATAGGTATACATGTGCCGTGGTGGTCTGCTGCACCTATCAACCCGTCAACTAGGTTTTAAGCCCTGCACGCATTAGGTATTTGTCCTAATGCTCTCCCTTCTCTTTCCCACCCACGACAGGCCCCAGTGTATGATGTTCCCCTCCCTGTCTCCATGTGTTATCATTGTTCAACTTCCACTTATGAGTGAGAACATGCGATGTTTCGTTTTCTGTTCTTGTGTTAGTTTGCTGAGAATGATGGCTTCCAGCTTCATCCATGTCCCTGCAAAGGACATGAACTCATTCTTTTTTATGGCTGCATAGTATTCTATGGTATATATGTGCCACATTTTCTTTATCCATTCTATCACTGATGGGCATTTGGGTTGGTTCCAAGTCTTTGCTATTATAAATAATGCTGCAATAAATATATGTGTGCATGTCTCTTTATAGTAGAATGATTCATAATCCTTTGGGTATATACCCAGTAATGAGATTGCTGGGTCAAATGGTATTTCTGGTTCTAGGTCCTTAAGGAATCGCCACACTGTCTTCCACAATGGTTGAACTAATTTACACTCCCACCAACAGTGTAAAACCATTCCTATTTCTCCACAGCCTCGCCAGCATCTGTTGTTTCCTGGCTTTTTAATAATTGCCATTCTAACTGGCGTGAGATGGCATCTCATTGTGGTTTTGATTTGCATTTCTCTAATAACGAGTGATGATGAGCTTTTTTCATGTTTGTTGGCTGCATAAATGTCTTCTTTTGAGAAGTATCTGTTCATATCCTTTGCCCACTTTTTGATGGGATTGGTTTTTCTTGTAAATTTATTTAAGTTCCTTGTAGATTCTGGATATTAGACCTTTGTCAGATGGATAGATTTAAAAAAATCTCTCCCATTCTGTAGGTTGCCTGTTCACTCTGATAGTGTCTTTTGCTGTGCAGAAGCTCTTCAGTCCATACTCTACACATTCAGAGAAACTTCTCTAGTAACGAACTATAGAAATGATCCCTCAAAGTATAGTTTGTTTTTTTTTTTTCACATGAGAAATTGGATGAGATCATGTTTCCGGGGAAAGGAGATAATGAGCAGTGATGCCACTGTCCATGGCTCAAGTATCATACTGCAAACATATGCCTGAAGTGGGTGGCAAGAAAACAGTTTAAGCTAAGTTTGAGTTCTGCTTGCCCCAAAGACCCTACACCTGGTTTCAAAGATTGACAATTTGGTTGATATTGAAAAGATATGTAGAGCTTTTAAAATGACAACAGCTTTTTAAAGCATTTTAGAGGGCTGGGGCACAGGGCCAGGGGAAGTAGCCCTGTAATTCTAGCACTTTGGGAGGATGAGGCAGGATTGCTTAAGCCCAGAAGTTCAAGACCAGCCTGGGCAACATAGTGAGATACTGTCTCTACAAAAAATAAAAAAAAATTAGCCAGGCGACTGCACTCCAGCCTGGGTGACAGAGCTAGACCCTGTCTCAAAAAAAAAAAAAAAAAAAAAAAAAAAAAAAAAAAAAATTCACTAAAGAAGAAACCTTTCACCCATCGGACTAGCATAGATCCAGAAAATTTGGTATTCTGAACAAGATAATTCAATGCAGCATAATCTGTAGTGGCGAAAGATGGCAACAACATAAAATGTCCATCATTAGAAACTGGTTAAATAATTGTGGTATAGCTTCACAGTGGAACACTTTAGTCATTTGCTCTGGAACTGTACACTAGACACTGATAACAATGGTGGCCTCTGGGAGGGGACTGGGCTGGGTGGACAGGGTGGAAGGGACTTTTCACTTACCTTTTGCACCTTATAAACGTATTACCTATCTCTACCCATCCCCCAACTGAAGCAAAAAAAAAAGTTTTCTGGTGGTAGAGGGTGCACTAACAGTGTTTAAACACATAGGAAATGAGATAAATCCTAAGCAAAGTCATTAGTCATTATGGGGATTATTTAGACTAAGTCTGAATTGAAGGCCATCTGATCTTCCCCACTCCCTTTTCTTTCCACAAGGAAAAAGGATGCAAAGGGTAGGAGCAAGACAGCACCAAGAAGTTATGAAGCCAAGAAACATGTTGATAGACACTTTATTGTGGCTTGTTTGTAGTAAAACATTCAACCCCTCAACATGGGTATCTGTTTTGGTGGTGTTTTTCTGTTGGAGACTACAGCGTGGTGTTCAAAGGCTTTTAGCCTCATCTCATATCAGTCTAGTCAGTGGTTGCCTATAATTTGATAGTTCAATGAGTTAGAGGAAAATGTCAGGAAAATCTGGTCTTATCCCAAATTAAGGGCTGCAAGATTTGTGACCCATTAGTATAAAGTGCTTATGTTCAGTGCAAAAAAGGCAGACTCAGAAGGGCAAGCAGACGCCAGAGAAGGACATTTCCTGGGAGATGGATACGTTCTATGACTCAAGGAAGGAAAAGCCAAACTTTAGCCCAAATGGGTCTAGTAGTTTCATTACAGTCTTTCTCCTCTCTAACAGGACCAAAACTTCTCATCTGACAGATGTCCATGAGTTGTTTATTTTACTACTAAAAATCTTGGTTCAGAGGGAAATCCACAGGGTTTCTGAGCACCAGAGACACTGACTTCAGCTTCCAGTTTCTGTTTGTCTCAGCATCATGGATGGGACCAATAGGCTGAGCTCTGGCCAGTGAGAGGTTCAGAGCTGCAGAGCTTTCTTTAGGCCCCACATTTGCAAATTGAAGTCACTGAGTATGACACACCTTTTCTCAAACATTGTCACATCTTGCGTGGGAAGACAAGACAGTGCATATTAAAGAAGCACTTCACCTAGTTTTCCACCAACCAGATGTGACCTATTCATTATTCCCTCATTCTGACTCTGTCCAGAGGCCCAATTCCAAAGCCAACCCTTGACTCCCTTTTCTAAGACAGAGAAAAGAAGCGCACTCCCTTCCCAATGACCCCACATGTCTGCATATCCATCCTGTGGTCCTGAAGAGACTGAAGGGAAGCAGGAGGGAAAAGGAAGCAGCTTCCTAACCAATTCAAGGAGCGCAAACAGGACTGCAGCTCAAATAGGTAAAATCGAGTCATTCAGTCCTAGGATCCTGGCCACCTTTTCTCTCCCCAGACTCTCAAAGAGGAAGTCCCATTCTCTCACCCACCAACTTTGCAGCAGGGACATTCACAACAGGCAGCTCTGTGCTTGTGAGCACCCGCTCCCCCCACCACCCCCCACCGCCTCCCCTGTATCCCTGTTTGGATGGTTAGCCTTTCTTTCCCTCTTGCCCGTGTTAGCCTCACAGACCTGATCATTTATACACATACCCACAGCTTTCAGATGCCTGCACCTGAAAACCCTTCTATTCAGACTACCTTCCAAAGACTCCAGGACTTCTTGTGCTTGGGAGAAGAGACACCTGGAAAACAGGTTTATTCCACAGGTAGCACTTGCCCCAAAGCCATCTCTGAATTTTGGAATGGGAAGGAAGGAAAAGAGGCAATCCTTTTGGTGTTGCTCTAATTCTCTGTAAAAGCCCTCTAGGTAAGAGGAGCTACTAAAGCACGTCCACAGAGGGGGGACTATACAAACAGGACAACCCGGGTCAAGAACCAAAACGCAGGGAAGGTTTTCAGAGTGGCAAGTCTAAAGTAAAGTGCCTCTTTTAAATGGAGAAGAGTTTCATTTGTTCAGAAATGCTTGGGCGTAAACATCAGCGCACAGGAACATGCACACGTGTGTGCACACATACTCACTCACTCACTCTGAGGTAGAAAGAACTGGCCATCTCCAGACAAACACACATAGATTCCACAATTTTAGAGAAACATGGCACTTGCGTGAAAGGTCCTATCCTTGCCCGGGAAGGCAAGTAGGGTCCAATCCAACTCTTTCCAACCTAGGGCAGAGCCAGAGAAGTCCCACTCCACTGGAGGAAAGAGGTGGAGGGCATCGCCATCACTGCTGTTGCCCAGCTCTCAGGCCACGTGTTCCTGGCCCCACTGCCCAAGGTCACTTCCTGGAGCCTGGGCCATGGGCACCCCGGGGGTGGCTTGTCAGAAGCCACTGGGCACAGATGTCTTGCACTACTGCATCCCCGCTGCTCTTGGCGGCCTGCTGCACCTGCTGGACAAGGGCTGTGGCCCGTGAGTGTTCTTGCTTCACAGCAATCAAGTAGGCAGAACGCAGTTTGCAACATATCAGGTAGGCCCGAACCTGGCAGTCAGTTATAAGAGACAGCGGAAAGGCATCCATCACCGACAAATCAAGTATACAGAGCTGCAGCAGAAAGCTCGGGCAGACAGACACCATGTCTCACCTGCCACGTTCATAACAGGATTCATGTATTTTATGGTATTATAACAACTCTTTCAATATTCTGGACATATGCTATAACACTGTGTTATTTTATAGTGTAAAAAGTTATTACAAATAAGCTAAGAATTTAAAAAAGAAGGCAGGCCAGCAGGCAGTTTGGTCTCTGTCCACTCCCTCTGACACTCTCCTCCTCACTCTCCCAGGCTCTCCAGCATCTTCTGGGGTTCAGGATCAGCATTGCTCTCGCCCAGAGTTGTGATTTTGTAGTTACTTGAGTGATTATTTGGTTATGCCTGTCTCCTTGATCAGACTTTAAGCTTCATGAGGGCAAGAGTAGTGTCTGTTTTTTCTACTCCTGTAGTATTCCTGGCACCTAGCACGGGGCCTGGCATGTAGTAGGTGTTCAATGAATATGTATTACAGGAATGAATAAACCATCAGAACCCTCCCAGAATGGACACATAGATCCTCCTCTATTTTTCTGTTTTCGGCCAGCTGAATCTAAAGTTTTTTTTATAATCACAGGAAATCTGGGGAGGAAGACACACACACACGATTGGAAAAAGTCGAATTAACGTCTAACCCCACTTAGACCTGATTTGACTCTGCCTGCTTGGACCAAAGGCAGCTGTTGCAGGATATGCGTATGTGTCTATGTCCCAGGATCGCTATCTCATGAATCCCCAGCTTGGTGGAGACAAAAGTCCCTTCCTTTCTGGCCCTGGTCTCCCCAGCACCCCCTGGTTAAACAGTGCTCTAGGCTGGTGAGCAGAGAGGCCTTCATAAGCTGCCACAGAGCTTCTGCCAGCAGCTCCCTTTCTGCTGCAATAATCCCTGTTGGTTAGTGGAGGGGACTCGCCTTGCTTCCTGTATCAATGCTCCATCTGTTATTTGTTTTGGTCACTAAAGTTTTTCTTTCCTTTCTAAGCTGAATTATAGATAATCTCCTACAGCTAGATGATGTCTGGCATGTTCTGAGGTCACTAAAGTGATCCAGTCCTGTGCCGCTTGGGAATCCACTTGCTGCCCTAGGATGTTAGCTCTCCCCAGGCCTTCAGCTCCCCTTAGCATCTATGTACACTAAGCTAAATACATATCACAAGTTGGCAGGCAAAATTCCTACCAAGAGAAGAAGGGCATTTTGCCAGAGAGTCTGGAATGGAGTTGAATGAAGTTGTTTTTTGGCAAGCCCCCATGGCCTAAGCTCATTTAACTGCATTAGACAGCTGCTGAGAGAAAAATACCTGAAAAAGTAATAAGGACTGTCTCTATTTTAGAGCGTGTCTTTCCCAGAAATAGCGTCTCTGTCCTGCTGAGTGGGAGGCTCAGTGAAGGCTTGAGAAAGAACTGCAGTCTGGGAATCAGAGGACCTGGGCGTCTGTCCTGGCTGTTAGGTTCTCAGTCTGACTCTAGAAAAGTAATTCTCTACATTTCAGGATGTCAGAATTTCATCCTTTCTGACATCATCATGATGTTACAGAAATAAATGAAGAAATGTTTAGAACTTATTCTCCTTAACCCTGGAGACTGAAAAATGCCCATTAAGTTCAGTCCCAGGATTAGCAATACTGCCATGGGGAGCGTGTAAGAAGCTCTTTGCCTGACGTCAGTTTTCATCACAGGGGACTCAGCTGTCAGATAATTTTTCTGCCACTGGCTTTCTCATGCCCCTCCTGGCCTGGGACCCTTCCTGCAGATGGCAGAAGGATCAATCCAGTGGTCAGCCACAAATGGGGGCATCTGGGAAGATTTTTATTCTGACTGGCACTCCTCCCAAAGGCAACGGGAAGCAAAGGTTCACCATTTTCCCAAACAGGGACGAGTTCTTTGGCCCCTGAGGAGAGGTTCATTCTGGAGACCGAGACATTGTTGGACATTGTTGGTCAAAGTGTGGGGTGGGGATTTTTTTCTTACTGTACCTTTTTCCCTCTAGGATAAAGAGATACCTGCTTACTCTGGGAACCTCAATCCATCAGTCCACCCAAAGATGGAGGTGAGGTGAGGGATTTCCTAGGGCTCTCTGAGAGAAGACATCAGTATAAAATGGAGATTCAAGAGCAGCCTAGGACATGTTTGTCTTGGGGATAAAGACTTGGGAAGGCAAAGACGCATGCAGTCCATGTTCACCTGCTCCTCATCTATTCCCTCCTTTCTACACCCCTATCCAAGCCTCAGCTCCACCTCTGATAATACAGAAGCTGAGATACGGGTTGTATGGAACTATTGTGGGGAGCAAGGGATAAAGGTGACTAGGCAAGCCTGAGACACAATTCATTGGCATCACCAGCGTTTGGAGACAATTCCGCTCACCTTGTTGTCATCATTGTGTATTGCCTGGATCAGGCCCTCCAGCTCCTGTGCAGAACAGAAACAGCACTGTGAGAGGGAGAAGAGTCCCGCAGTCTGGGAGCCAGGGCCCAACCCAGCCTCAGCCCAGCCATTCTGACTTCAGAATGAAAATGTCTGCCTGACTTTTTTTTTCTCAAAGACATGGGGTCTCACTATGTTGCCCATGCTGGAGTGTAGTGGCTTTTCACAGGCATGATCCCACTATTGATAGCAAAGGAATTTTAACCTGCTTCATTTCCAATCTGGGCCAGTTCACCCCTCCTTAGGCAACCTGGTGGTCCCCTGCTCCTGGGAGGTCACCAAATGGATCATGAACTTAGTGCAAGCACTAAGTTCTCACACTAAGTATGTATCAGCGTAATACACTATAGTCCAAAACTCCTGGGCTCAAGTGATCCTCCCGCCTCAGCCTCTAGAACAGCTGGGATTACAGACATGTGCCACCACACCCGGCTGACTCTTCTTTTTAAACTCAACTCCTGCTTTAAGAACAAGAAAGAAGGCCAGGTGCAGTGGCTCACGCCTGTAATCCCAGCACTTTGGGAGGCCGAGGTGGGTAGATCATGAGGTCAGGAGACGGAGACCATCCTGGCTAACATGGTGAAACCCCATCTCTACTAAAAATACAAAAAATTAGCCGGGCGTGGTGGTGGGCGCCTGTAGTCCCAGCTACTCAGGAGGCTGAGGCAGGAGAATGGCGTGAACCCAGGAGGCAGAGCTTGCAGTGAGCTGAGATACTCCAGCCTGGGCGACAGCGCGAGACTCTGTCTCAAAAAAAAAAAAGAACAAGAAAGAAAATTTAACCATAACACTAAGCTTCAGAATTTAGGGAGAAGGAACAGTTCCCAAGAGGCCTGTCCTCGGCCTTCACAAATGGATGTGGCTCTGTTCACTCCACAAAGCCACCATGGGAGGACAATTCCGCAGATAACAGGCTTCAAAGTTCATCTGCTGGCCCACCCTGACCTCCTCTAGAATTGCAGGAAGAAGCTCAACTCCATAGACACATCCAGGTGCAAACAAATTTACACAATGGGATGTTGAGGGTCACCTTCTGGGTATAGATGTCATCTCCATAAATTTTCTTTACAGGGAAGGGTCAATTATGGTGAGGCCATTATTGCAGAGGGGTTCAGAATGATAAAAGGATCTTGTAGAGTTTCAGGCACATTATGGAAAACAGAACAATAAAGATGGGGATGTGAAGACACTGAAATTGATGGAGGAGCCAAGAGGTACGGGAGGGAGTGTACCTGGGGCGGAATTCTCTTGAACGCTTCCAGGCAGTTGAGGAGGATGGTGTCCCCGTCACTTTTGGCTGCCATGCCTGACTCACTGACACATTTGAGCAGTTGCTGGATCTCACTGTACTTCTCTTTCTCCACCAACTGGCGGGCAGCTCTGCAGTAGGTCATGGCAGCATCCAGCTGGAAGTCCTAGAACAGAACACAACATGATGGGCTTAGGAGCAGGAAACGTTAACGGTGGGGAGGGAGGCAGCATTTAAAAGCTCTCACTATGCTTGGTGTAGATAAGCCATATTGATTGTGGTCACAGTAGAAAACATAAATATACCAAACAAAAAGCAAGCGTCAATTCCTCTTTGGAGTTAGGTAGACCTTTAGGAAGCATCCACAAAAACTGCAGCTGTAGTATCTAAAATGGTACATTTCACTTGCTGCGGTGGCACTCACTGAAAATATTCTTATCAAAATCCTAAGACTAGTTCACTTTCTTGAGAAATGGGCATTGGGGGATGGTATTTGCTGCCCTGGACACCTGGTGCTCTGTTAAGACGCAGGTGACTTAGTGTTCAGAAACAGACCCATTCACTGAAAGACTCATTTGCTGAAAACTGCCAGATAAACACCTTAAACCTGGTCTAGGAGAACCCTTATGCCACAGGGCCTGGGTGGAGCTGCCCCTCTGCCTGCCTACCAGGGTATCTGTGTGTGGTGAGCTCTGTCCAACACCAAAAACAGATGGGAAGAAAAACACCTGACTAATCATGTATGAAGCCATTGATCACTGACACACTCACAATGCATAAATACCCTGCCTGCCCTAAGCTGCCTGCTCTCAGCTCCTGGGGTATCTGCATGGAGCTGTGTGGTGGTGGGCAGGTCTGAAGAGACTCTGCCCCTCATGGTCTCAGTGCCCTGCTCCAGCCCCTGCTCCAGTGCCACAGCCCCACCTGTGTCCTTTTATCACAAGCAATAGGAAACATATTCCTCCAGCCAGCTCCTGTACAGACCAAGGATGGGGAACAGCCCTTGTGGCCAGTGGAAAGCCCCTGGCCACCCCTCCAGCCATATTCCCTGTGAGAACCAGCAGTGTTTCTCAGGGAAACAGCTGTGGGGAACTGTCTGAGACCTGGCTCCTGGTATTTATTTGGTAGCTTTTGATGAATTTGTCATGGGTTACTTGGCTTCTGGCAAAGTGGCCTAGAGTCTTGAATTTGACCCAGTTCTGTAACAGTCACATCCTTGATTTCATCCCTAATGTGCATGTAAATCCACTTTTCTTGGGATAAGAATTTCCTAAAGAATAATCTCTCCCGGAACTGTGGTCAGGTGCTGATTGTCCTCAGTATGATTTGAATGATCCAAGTCATACCTGCAGAACACGGAAAGCAATTCCAAAACCATCTTCTACATTTTTCCCTCCCAGCATGACCTGAAAAGGAAAGGGAATCATGCTTAAAAACATGGCAATTACTAGAGAATACTCTTGACCAAGAATGAAGGCCTCTATTTATTCAATTATTCAACAAATATTTGTTGAGACCCTGCTAAGTGCCAGGCACTAGGGATATAAGAATGATCAAAATGGACCTGATCACCAGTCTTTGGTGGCTCATATTCTAGTGGGGAGGCAGCCATCAAACAAACAACTGAAATAATCACTAGACAACTGCAATTATGATAAGTGTTCTAAAAGATGACAATAGTCTGCCAGAGGTCTGAAACGCTGCATGTACCTTGCAGGCAACATCCATTTTCATGTGGTTATTTCCAAACAGGGTTGGCAGAGGCAAAGTGGTGATTTGAGAGGTCCCAGCACTTTCGCACCGATGCAAGAACCTGGTCACTTCCATCTGCAGCTGAAGTGTGTTCATGTGCCTGTGGTGACAGAATATGCACAGTCCAGCCTCATGAGGGGCCCCAGGTGACTGAGGCCAGGAGACTGAGAAGTCGAATAATATGGCAATGAAAAAGGGAAAACAAATGATATAGTGGGAAAAGAGACCTCAAGTACCTTGTGAGCAGTTATGACAAGACCAAAAAAATGGTGATCTCGTGTCCTGCACAGACTCACAATATTATGGTGCACTGTGGAACCAGATAGGGTCCAGTCATTGAATCGATAAGCATTTATTGAGCACCTATGTGCCAGGTACAATAACAGAGGTCAAGAGAGATGAGCCCTGCCCTCAGAGTTTATAGGCTGGAAGAGAAATGAATAGTAAACAAACACATAAAATAGTTAGCAATTAAGCCTCTGGAGGCAATAAATGGTAGTGGTAGAGCATTTACTCCAGATGTTGTGTTCTATGTAGAGGGACTGGCAAGTATAAAAGCTGAGAGGAATTAAGGACTTGGTGTGTTGAGGAGCCCTGAGGAGGCCAGGGATCGATGCTTAGCAAGAAGAGAGTAGCAGGAGATAAAGATGGTGACATCAGTAGGGGCCAGAACGTGCAGGAGCCTTTTGGCCTACTGTAAGGAGTATGGAGTGTAGTCTGATTGTAGCCTGTGATGCTAATCCTCCCTCCACTCCCACTCCCACTACCAGCTCCTCTGTAGGCTTTCTAGGCTTGTACTACACACTGTCATCCAGGGATGATTCCCTTTAGATTTTTTTTCAGGATTCAAGGAATGGACAAGAGTAGCTTCATCACCTACAGACAACTGCTCCCACCCTTTCTGCCCCACACCAATAGTCCCCTGAACCTCCAGCTACCTTGACACATCAGCTGCAGTCATCTTCTTTCTGAAGAATGTGGTTTTCTTCCTTCCAGAGCTGCGGGATGTTTCTTGGAGGTAGATCTTCAGGTGGTCCTTGGCCTTAAGTAGCCATGAGAGCTTCTCTCCCAGTTCTGTATATGACTTTGCTTTGTGACTGAAGAACCGAATACAGGTCATGGCGGCCCGAACTTGGTCCTAGAAGAGGAAAATAAATGTTCAGGTCAAAGTAGATCAGGGGTTTGGAGGGTGGGGTGTGATGAGAATTCTCATCTGATTTCTGCCTATGAGACCTTGTTTCCAGCACCCACTCCCACCACCAGCTGAACTGCTATTTTGAGCCAGTCACCCCCAAGGTCCAAGAGATCCTGAAGTGCACTGACTGGTGGAGCTCTTGGGTAGGACATTATTCCACCACCGAAGAGATGCTAAAAGAAGATATTTCTGATTCTCCACTCAAATTGGCTTCACTTGTACTTTGGCATTAAATAATTCAATTTAGTACTGACTATCCTCAGGCAGATTGGGAGGAACGTGTTCCTTCTCCCTTCACATATTTTCTCTAAAAACACTAACGTTTCCATCATTCCTTATGAATTCTACATTCACGCCTCATGCTTATCTTGAAACTACCATTTATTTCTTTTTTTTACCTGTTCATTTCTTGCTTTCTGAAGAATGCCTTTATTGACAGGATTAAAGTCTGCCCCCAAACTTAGGATGGAAATCCTAATATTATTTAACAATACTGGAGAGCAACATGGATTTGCTCTAGGGTCAGCCAAACAGCAAGGCCAGGGACCAATGACAGTCTCATTCCCTCATCGTGCACTGCCTCTCCTGCAGGGTGGGGCACCAGCAACAGAGGTAGAAGGCAGGAAGGGGCTGCCATTACCTTCATAAACTGCTGCAGCTCATACAGAATGTGGTAGTAGTTCTTCTTCTGTAAATGTTGGCAGGCAGCAATCAAGTACTTTCCCCAGCTCTCCAAGGTTGGATCAATGGATTCTAGCAAGTTCTCCAAAGTGTGTAGCTTCCCACTTTTATAGCTTGGTTGGAAAATGCCTTCTATAAAAACTTCTGGAGGACTCTCCTGGAGCAGGGCAGGGCGAGAAGTCAGAAGTCTTGAGCCTGGTTCTGGCACTGTCTGGGATCCACTCTGAATTTCCTTCTATTGATGAACCTTCAGCATCCTCCCAATGCAGTGCTTCTTAATCTTTTATGTGTCACAGATACCTTTGAGAATCTCATTCTAGCGACTGCTTCACTTCTCTCCTTCCTTTTACAGAGAAGCCCCTAGACAGGGTTATCTACCCTCACTGTCTCCAATTCCCTCCTGTGATTTTTCTCTTGAACCCACTCTAATCTAGCTCTGCACCCATAATTCCCATTGAAACTGCCCCTTAGGTCACCAGTGACCACTAAACTGTAAATCTAACAGTTAATCCTTGATCCTTATTTTCTATCTGATCAATCAGCAGCTTTTGACAGAGATGGCTTCTTCCTCCTTGAAAAGCCTTTTAAAAATAATTGAGAAAAAACTCTCCTCAGTTGGCCTCCAGCACACTATCCTCTCCAGATTTTCTGTCTATGTCTTTGGCTGCTTCTTCTCAATTTTCTTAGCTGATCCCTCCCAATCTCCCCAGGGCTTCGGAGGAACCTACACTCTTTTCTATTTATACTCACTCTCTTGGTGATTTCATCCAGGCTCACTGTTTAATATACTGTTGATTTGCTGATGATGCCTAAATCCCCATCTCCAGATTGTTCATTCCTCCTGAACTCCAGAACTGTACATCCAACTTATATCCAATTGTCTACTGAACATGGCCACTTGGAGATCTAACTGAATACATCTACAACTACATTCCTGCTTGTTTCTTGAAACCTGCTCTTTCCACAGTCTTCCCTTTCTCAGTCTGTGTCTCCATTCTTTTAGTTGTTCAGGTCAAAAACCTTAGTCATCTTTTCCCTCACACTCCTTCATCAAATCCATCAGCAAATTCTATTGGCTCCACCATCACCATTACAGCACACAGAATCTGGCCACTTCCCACCACCTCCCCTGGACCACACTGGATCCCTGCCATCATCGTTTGTCTGGATTATTGCAACAGACTCCTCCCTGGTCTATCAGCTTCCATTCTTACCTCTTGTCAGTCTAACGCCCACAAATGAGCCCAAGTGACTGTTGAAACTGAAGCCAGATCACGTTACTCCTCTGCTCACAGTCTCCCAGGGGTTTCCCTTCTCATCCCTCACAATGTCCACAAGGTCCTGTGTGATTTGGCCTGTGACCTTTCTGACTTTATCTGATAGTACCCTGTCCTAGTGGACTCTGCTCTAGCCACCCTGGCCTTTGCCCTCATCACACCCTCTGCCTTCCCCATAGATCTGCATGATTTGCTCCTCGTGTTCTTTGGAGCTTTACTCAGATGTCACCTTCCCTGGGCACCCAGTCTAAAATTATACAAGCCACCCCTTCCTCCTCCCTGTTTTATTTTTCTTCTTCTTATTCATCATCTACAATATCTATTTTATTTCTCATGTTTACTATCTCTCTTCCTACTATGGGGCAGATATTTTTGTCTTTCTTTCTTTCTTTCTTTCTTTCTTTCTTTCTTTCTTTCTCTCTCTCTTTCCTTTCTTTCTCTCTCTCTTTCTTTCTTTTTCTTTTTTTAAGACAGAATCTCACTCTGTAACCCAAGCTGGAGTGCAGTGGCGCAATCTCAGCTCACTGCAACCTCCGCCTCCTGGGTTCAAGCGATTCTCCTGCCTCAGCCTCCCAAGTAGCTGGGAATACAGGCTCGTGCCACCATGCCCAGCTAGTTTTTGTATTTTTAGTAGAGACAGGGTTTCATCATGTTGGCCAGGCTGGTCTCAAACTCCTGACTTCAAGTGATCCACCCACCTCAGCCTCCCAGAGTGCTGGGATTACAGAAACGAGCCACCCTGCCCAGCCTTTTGTCTGTTTTTTTACTACTGTATCCTTAGTGCCCAGAATAGTCCTTGGCTATTTAATAATCATCTTGGCATTTAGACTTGAGGTTAGGAGTAATTAACGGAGAGTCAAGGATGGCTATAAAGTCACAGTGGTATAACATGCTAGCATAGTGACACTGGGCACAAGCTGTTTGGAAGCAGAATGGATCTGGGTTTTGAGAACATTCATAGTGGGTGAGGGTTAGGGGCTTCTTTCCTGATTCAGGTTGTTCCTAACAGAGAAAACCAGACCTAATCTAAAAGTTGTAGGTCACATTTTAAGAAGCAGGGGCATTAGCTCTACAGGAGAGATAGAACACCTCAGAAGGGCAGCACCTCAAGAACTTCCATGCCATCCATTTATCTATCCACTCACTCATTCATAATTGGTACTAGGTCAGGTGCCTGAATATACAGATAAGTAAAATATAGGCCTTCTTGGTCCAGATGGAAAGACTCAATTGTAAACAAACAGTGGCAATCCAGCAGGATAAATGCAGTACCAGGGGCAATGGTGGCTAATGCTGCTTGAGTGTTCTGTGAATGCTCAACAGAGAGGGCCTGAAAGGATACTAAAAGGATAAATAGAATTTTATTTATTTATTTATTTATTTATTTTGAGATGGAGTCTTACTCTGTCGCCCAGGCTGGAGTGCAGTGGCGCAATCTTGGCTCACTGCAACCTCTGCCACGCAGGTTCAAGCAATTCTCCTGCCTCAGCCTCCCGAGTAGCTGGGATTACAGGCACCTGCCACCACACCCAGCTAATTTTTGTAGTTTTTAGTAAAGACAGGGTTTCACCATCTTGGTCAGGCTGGTCTTGAACTCCTGATCTAGTGATCCACCTGCCTCAGCCTCCCAATGTGCTGGGATCACAGGTGTGAGCCACTGCTCCCAACAAATATGAATTTTTTAAGAAAACAGGCTGGGCACGGTGGCTCACGCCTCTAATCCCAGCACTTTGGGAGGCCGAGGCGGGCAGATCACAAGGTCAGGAGATTGAGACCATCCTGGCTAACATGGTGAAACCCCGTCTCTACTAAAAAAAAAAATAGAAAAAATTAGCCAGGTATGGTGGCGGGCGCTTGTAGTCCTACCTACTTGGGAGGCTGAGGCAGGAGAAGGGTGTGAACCCAGGAGGCGGAGCTTCCAGTGAGCCAAGATCGTGCCACCGCACTCCAGCCTGGGCGACAGAGCCAGACTCTGTCTGAAAAAAAAAAAAAAAAAAAAAAGGAAAACACAGAAAGGCAGGGCACTCTAGGTAGAAGAAATAGCACATAAAGATTCGTGGAAATAAGACAGTGCATGGTGGCCAGGCGCGGTGGCTCACGCCTATAATCCCAGCACTTTGGAAGCCCAGGCAGGCGGATCACAAGGTCAAGATATCGAGACCATCGTGGCCAACATGGTGAAACCCTGTCTCTACTAAAAATACAAAAATTAGCCAGGCGTGGTGGCATGTGCCTGTAATCCCAGCTAATCAGGAGTCTGAGGCAGGAGAATCGTTTGAACCTGGGAAGCAGAGGTTGTAGTGAGCTGAGATCTCACCACCGCGCTCCAGCCTGGCAACAGAGCAAGACTCTGGCTCAAAAAAAAAAAAAAAAAGTGCATGGTATATCAGGAAAATTTAAGTAATTTAATGAGTCTGGAATGTAAGGTACACATAGGATTTGTGGTGAAAATAAATTAGAGAAATAAGGAGGCCTGATCCTGGTTAGTTCTGTAGCATGCTAAGGAATCTGAAGTTCTTCCTATGGCCATGGAGATCCTCTGAAAGCCTTTTAGGGAGGGGAATAACATGAATCTATTTATGTTTTAGAAAGCTCAGTCTTTGGGCAGAGTGGGCAAAGGGACAAAATACACAGGGAAAAGGCTAGGGACAGAATGTCTTCCATGCTCCAGGCATTCAGGTGTAATTTTCACAATGTCTTTTCTCCTCTCCCTACCTGCTTGAGAATAAATGTAAGATATTTCAGTTCAAGGGTAACTATGATTACAGCAGAAAAAAAGAAGGCTTATTTCCTAGCTCTGACAAATATAAAGCAAGGGCACTGCTGTCGTCAGCTTATACCAAGCTAATGAAGTAAGCAGCTTAGCTCTCTGGATTACAGCTGTCAGAGGGAACGGAACTAGGTGATTTCCATTCCCAATTTGTGCCTGGGAAAAGCATCTTTACTGCTAAACTCATCTGGAAACTGAGGAAAAGGAAAAAAGTTAGCAACTCAACTCCATATAACATGACTTCTACATTATTCTTAAGACCTGGTTAGTAGCTAAGAATAGTCAGTAGCTAAGCACTGGTAAAAACACCCCCCTTCAGTGTCCTGTAGGGGTATAGTCATAATAACTTTGTGAACTGCTGATTTCACTTGGATCAATCTTAGAAAATATGTCTATCTGTACATTTGCATTGGCTGCTGTTTTGAATTAGGGTGGCAGAGTGAAATTAAAGTCTGCCTTGAGCTCCTTCAATTTCCTACAAAATTTGGTACATCTCAGCCAATTTCTCCAAGTTATTATGGAACATTCAGATAAAAAAAGGAATGTAGCTGGGTGCAGTGCATGTGCCTGTAGTCCCAGCTACTCAGTAGGATGAGGTTGGAGGATTTCTTGAGCCTAGGAGGTCAAGGGTGCAGTGAGCTGTGATCATGCCACTGCATTCTAGCCTGGGCAACATAGTGAGTCCCCATCTCGAAAAAACAAAAACAAAAAAATGGGTCACGGTAAAACGAAGTCCTGATTGCTTATTAAGAGCTCCAAAGATGTAATGTTCTTCAGTGGTGCCTTTGCTTCCAGTGGGAGGGGGGCAGAGGATGGGAGAAGAAAAAAAGGAGAGCATATTCTTCTTTCATCATCTATTTGGGGTTCAACTATAGGATTGGCACCATGGTTACTTCCTGGCCCTTGTAGTAACAACTCTGAATGGACCAGCAGCTGGGTCAGAAGCTGGACACCATCCCAGGCCAGGTAGGGAGGCGCGTGGAAGCAGACTCTAAGCAATATGCCCAAGGCCACACAAGACTCACACTGAGCATCTCATTCCAGAGACATGCTCTTAACCACTATCCGATTCTGCTGCATGTTTTGGCAGAAGGAATGAAACATGCCTTTGCTGGTGAGGGCAGTGATTTGGGATCTAGGCTAAGACTTTTCACACTCACTGAATAACAGTTGTGCAGAGTCCCCTGTTTTGACTTGACTCTGCTAGAGATGGCCCCATAGCTCAACACAGGGTTAAGTGTCAGGGGGTTATTGTCCCGCTTAAGGCTGAGTGGTCCAAGCCAGAGGAGTAAGGCAGGCACTGCCTTTTTGAGCTGTGTCCATGTCCCACCTTGTTGAGAAGGTGCAGAAGAGCTTCCCGCAGGCAGCTGTGCCTCACGTAGAAGCTGATGATGGCCAGGTTGGTGCTATAGTTGTGCAGGTAGAAGAGGCATTCCTGGTAGTAGGTGTTGTTCATGATTTTCCCTTCAGGAATCACTGCCAGAGAAAGGCTCTGCGTCCGAAGGGTAGCTTCCAGTTCCCTCAGGGTGGCAAAGTAATCGTCATCTTGCTGACAGCACAGGGAGCGAGAGAGAAAAATGAAACTCAAAAAGTTCTCAGCAGGCACTGAAAATATTGCTTGCAAAGAATATTTAACAATGTGCACACCAACATGGCACATGTATACATATGTAACAAACCTGCACGTTGTGCACATGTACCCTAGAACTTAAAGTATGATAAAAAAATAAAAAAACAAATAAAGAAAGAATATTTAACAATGTGGAAAAATGTTCATAATTTTTCAGTGTCAAAGGCAGAACAGGCAGGATACACAATTCTACATATTATGATATGGGACAACCCCAGTTTCATTAAACAACATAACATAGAAAATTCACCAGAATTTTAACACTAATCAGTCTGTGTATGGGATTATATGTCATATGTCATTTTTATCTTTTTAAAAATTGTCTCCTTTTTTTAAAAAAAATTACATCTATTACTTATCTAACCATATATGGTTACTTATCTAACTATATGTGATGGAAAAAAAAAATTTTTAACCTGCTTGATGCTGAGCCAGGACTGACACTGTTAGCTGAATTTCCACTGATTCTTTTCCCAGGTCATTGCTATTCCTGGGTCTCCCTCCCTGAGCCAGGCACTCTTCCTGCCTTGCTCTTACCAAGGATACAAAGGGCCTCACTGTGGACTCTAGGTACTCAACCACATCCTGCACCAGCCTTGAGCCATGATTCAGCTGATTGAGGTCAAATGGGGGCTTCAGACAGCGACTGAACTTCTCCCGTGCAGCAGTGAGGTTCCCGGCTTTGAGGCAGGCCATGCCCCAAGCATGCCACGCCCCGGTGGTATCAAGCCCAGTCTTTGTGGAGACCTGGGAGAAAAATTGCCCCTTTTAGTGAGTGGTAGCTACATTCAGGCCTAAATGTCCCAAAGACCTATTCTATTCCCAAGTTGCCAACCACCTCATTCCCACTATCTGCCATTACTTCTCTGCTGGCAAACTAGTCATGTCCCCGATTCTACCCCATGGGCAGGACAACTGAGAGACGGCAACACCTGTTTGCAAGGCTAAGCAAAAGCAACTTGCTACAGTGGGGTGGAAGTAAGCTTTGTCTTTGTCTTTGTCTCACCTCAACGCCCAGTTGGTAGTACTCGGCTTCCAAAAGCTGGTTCCTTAGCCTGGTTACTGCAGCTGGCTGCAAGATCTGATCCAAAGATGGCACGTGGCGATAGGCAGCAGCAACTAAAATATTCAGCACATCTACCTTGCTGATGTAGCTACAAGGAGGAAAAGGGCAAGGCCATGAGGCTCCCTAGTGTCTTACTAAGAGTAGCCGCTTAAAGGTTTCCTATTCCATTTTCTTTTTTCTGTTTGTTTTGAAACAGAGTCTCGTTCTGTCACCCAGGCTGGAGTGCAGTGGTCCGATCTCGGCTCACTGCAACCACCGCCTCCTGGGTTCAAACGATTCTTCTGTCTCAGCCTCTCCAGTATCTGGGATTACAGGTGCCTGGCACCTTGCCCAGCTAGTTTTTGTATTTTTTTAATAGAGACAGGGCTTCACCACGTTGGCCAGGCTGGTCTTGAACTCCTGACATCAGGTGATCCGTCCACCTCGGCCTCCCAAAGTGCTGGGATTACAGGCCTACTCCATTTTCAATGTGAAAGTGATCATGAGAATTGAGAGTTGCATAGCATAGATGTCATGAGTGAAAGCTCTGGAGTCACACTGAATTATGGCTCTATTACTTAGTAGCTCTATGACCTGGGGCAAGTTAGTTAACCTTTCTCTGCCTTAGTTTACTCATCTGTAAAATGGATATACAGTCATGTGCCACATAATGACATTTCAGTTAGCAATGAACTGCATATACAATGGTGGCCACATAGGATCATAATATCATATTTTTACTATACTTTTTCTATATTTAGATACACAAATACCATAGTGTTACAATTGCCTACAGTATTCAGTACAGTAACACGTTGTACAGGTTTGTAGCCTAGGAACAATAGATCATAACCTAGGTGGGTAGAAGGCTATACCCTCTGGGTTTGTGCAAGTGCACTCTATGGTGTTTGCACAATGACGAAATCACCTGACAATGCATTTCTCAGAACATATTACTGTCGTTAAGCAATGCATGACTGTGACAGTGGAGTTTTAAAGATAAAATGAAATAACCCAAGTAAAAGGGCTTAGGATAATGTCCGGAACTTTTCTGGCACTCAATAAATGTTAGATATTAATGTTTGGAGTGGGGATGCTCAGGGGTATTTGAGGCAAGGCCTTTACACTGTATGTTAGGGGCTTACAAGTGACCCATCTGCTTTTTGGTCCTTTTGAACCCTTCTTCGTGAGTGAGAGAGCACAGATTCAGTATCAATGGCCTGTATTCCTGGTCAGTGCACAGGCCACATCGCTACCATTCCCTGGAGATGCTGCTGGGTGGAAGCATCCTGGTCCTTCACTCTTATTCTAGACTTGACATCCTCACCCTGGGTTAAGGATGGGCCCTCATTATAGCCTAGTAGGGCTGCCTTCTGTGATCTCACCTGATGCTTGTAAAAACCTTATAAGGATAGAAAGCCCAGAGGGCTGGATTATACTGTCTAGTGCTGCTGAGACAAGCCTACACTCAAGGTTCCTGAATCTCGTCTCATAACTGCAGCAAAAACCTCTGTGGATCCTGACTTATCCACCAATTACCTAGAAAGGGATTCTGTACATCAGTGATTCTTAACAATGTAGGGATGGGGGAGAGGAAAGTATAGTGTATAAGAGCATCGGCACTCATAATATTTTTGCATATTTGGGAAATGAAAACATTTGTAGTAGGTGGTGAGTTTATTTTTATGTTTTTAGAGACAGGGTCTCACTACATTGCCCAGGCTGGTCTCGAACTCCTGGCCTCGGGATCCTCTTCCCTCAGCCTCTTGAGTAGCTGGAATTACAGACAAGAGCCACTGCACCCAGCTGAGTTTTGTTTTTAAGCCTATATTTATTTATTTGTTTGTCTATCAGAAGGGGGTATGAGTTAAAAACATTAGAAAAATACTCTGAAATCCAAGAGTTTGTAAGTGATTTGCATGGCGACACATGTGAGCAATGAATCCACTCCCATCAACAAACTGGTGCAAAGGGAAAGATTCTTAGAGTGGGCGTGTCTGAATGCAGGATCAGAGAAAAGGCTGTTTAAATAGAAACCATTGCTGTAAACTGTCAAAGACGCGCAAGACACCTTGGGGTGGGTGAGAATCCTATTAAAGTGAGGACTTCCTTACTTTCTGCTGCCCTGAGCCTAAAAATGGATATTTCCTTCATCTGTATTACATTTTAAAGGAAATACAGGACTTGATGTGAAGTTTGTTTTCTCCCCAATCTAAATATCTTTTCCTTTTTTCATTTACATTACTGATACTTGAGATATATTTGAATATATTTTTACTTTTGCCTTAAGTCTTTTTTCATGTTTCCTTTGTTTTCCATCTTTTTTTTCCTCCTCCTATCCTTTTCTCATAATTAGGTAGATTTTTTATTCTTTTCATGGTTATTTCAAAAATTTAACACATATCTGTTTCTTCATTTATCAACTTGAAAAATGATGTAGAATCTATTACCTCTTGATATAAAGGAATCAGATTAGTTCCTTTTCACTTCCTTCTACTTTGTTTCACCTCCTCCTGCTTTTCTCAACCTTCTAGTTTTTGTTACTAAAAATAATAAAAATTACTAACATTTTCGGAATACACAGTATATACCAGGCTTAGTTCTTCACCATTTACATGGATGATCTCATTTTATCCTCGTAACAGCCCCATGAGATCAGTATTACTACCCCATTTTATAGAGGAGGAGACTGAGGCCTAGAGGGGTTAACAGAGCTAGGAAGTCGTGAAGCTGGGATTTGCTGTGCTCCATGCTGGCTGCTGAGTCTGTAGGCAAGTATTCCAAGCAAATGTCTGAGGGAGGCAATGATACCGCAGAGAAAATTATGCTCCCTTCTCCCAAATCTGGTTAGGACTGAGTGCTGGGAACACACAATCTGAGTCACACATTTGAGTGGATAAGCAGGGAATTAGGAGTCACTGTCAGGTTAATGGATGGAGTCAAAACCGGTTGTACAGGAACCTGAGGGAGGTCTAATCATACCTTTTCCATACACACTTCTACTTTATGACCCCAGTTCCTACCTGGGACACAGGAATAGACCAATTCCCAGAGTGCTTTTTAAAATCTATTATCCAGAATTCACTGAAGTCACAGTTTGAATTTGGTCAGGATTGGAGTAGAGTTTTGTTCAAGGCTAATCACTGGACATTCAAGGAGGACACATTTTCTTTAAAAGCCAGAAAGTCCCACAGAGACTAAAGGTGGTTCCCTACATTGACTTTAATGACAAATCAACTAATGAAAGTCTTTACTCTCTTTCTGACTGGTATAGCTAGAGTAAACTCTGCTTTGAGGGTCTGCTCTGAAAAAGAAAAGGACACAGGGTGTCAGGTAGGATGGGGAAGAACACTTGAGATCTGGCAACACCGTTTCATCAACATTACACAGATGAAAAATCTTTCAGCATGTCTTGTCAGAGAGGATGGTGAGATAAAAAAATCACAGTGGGGTCAGAAAAAGAAGCTGGCTAGAAACTGCTCCTGTGTAAAAGAATAGAGACCCACTGCCCTCTACCTGTCACAAAGAGCCAAGTCTTGGCTCTGGCCGGCTTTGACGAACATCATCTTGGCGCTGAACAGCAGCTGCTTCATGATGTCCGTGAGCAGCCCGGCATCCACCTCTGGGTTGGTGAGGCCCTTGGAGAGCCTGCAGCAGTGCTCAATCAGCTGGTGACCACAGGCAATGCTGTCCCGGTGCAGATTCAGGATGGCAATGCACAAGGAGGCGCTGGGGGCCTGGCCGGGGTGGAAGAAGGGAGAACACACGGTGAGTCCAGGGGCCAGAGCATTCTCCAAAGGCAGCTGGGTGGCAGAAATTATCCTTCCCCTTTCAAAAGGCTGAAAGACCCTGGAAGAAGGAACCAGATTCTACAAGAAAGCAGAAGTGGAACTAAACAAATTTCAGATGTTCTAAGTAGCACTGCCAAAACTCTGGCTTTTAAGTTATGTCATTTTACTGGGAAGAAGGGCACTGTGTCCACCTCTTACCCACTTCTTTATTTTTTTGAAACAGGGTCTCACTCTGTTGCCCAGGCTGGAGTGCATTGGTGCGATCTCGGCTCACTGCAACCTCTGCCTCCCAGGCTCAAGCAATCCTTCCACCTCAGCCTCCCAAGTAGTGGGGACCACAGCTTTGTGCCACCATGCCCGGCTAATTTTTGTATTTTTTTTTGTAGAGACGGGGATTTCACCATGTTGCCCAGGCTGGTCTCAAACTCCTGGGCTCAAGCGATTCACCCACCTCAGACTCTCAAAGTGCTGGGATTACAGGTGGGCACCACTGCGCCCAGCCTTGTTACCTACTTCTTGACAATGTCCATAGGTCCCCTCCTTTCTCTGGTCCACTAGTGCAAGTCCTTATTGCTGACTTGGACAACAATGGTCAGCTCACTTGTCTGACCACCTAGAGGAGTTTCTGCTTTAAGCCATGGACACACTGCTGCTAAATTAATATTCCTAAAGCACACTTGGAAACCTTTCATAGGCCCTTGAAACCTATCAAGTAGATAGTCCTTACTGCAGAATGTAAGGCCCTATATATAAATAATCCTTTTCAAGCCTACCTTTTATGAGCTCTCTATTAACCCTATTGACTCTATGTTCCCTTCAAATTAAAGAGCTTCCACTTCTCCAATCATGCCCTGCAATTTTGGACACGGTGTCTTTGCTCAGATGTTTTAATTTTGTATTCTTTGTCCTTCCCCATCCCCACTCTCCTCACGACCCCCAGCTTTCTGCTTGTCACACTCCTACCATTCTTCCAAAGCTCATCTTAAATGCTACCTCTTCCACGAAGGCTTTCCTGGTCTCCCCTTCTGCAATTCCCAAGATGTTCATTATTTTCTGCCTTAATGGATTTACTGGTTTAGCTCCCATATTATTGCACTATAAACAAGTAAAGGCCAGGTGTGTTCACCTACCTCTGTATTTCTTGTCATACTGCTACACATCATAAAGAAACTTAAGTGACCATTGCATTTTATTGCTATTACCTGCTCATAGTAAAATTCACTCCGCACCAGCTCATTTTCCTCCTCTTTGAGATCCAAAATCCATTCCACCTCATCTGCTTTGGGGACTCTCACCACAAACGAGTATGGAGGGCTTTCATTCTTGGAGCTGTCTAGAGCTGAGAAGAGAAATGCCATTCATGTGTCATTCACTGGCTGGCAGTTCAGTCTAACCCAGTCCAGTGAGCTGGCATGAGTTGCAGGTAGACACTTGCCTGCTATCTCAGGGCCCCTTTCTCTCTCCTTGGTTCCTTTTGTTTGCTTTAGGACACCCCACTAAGCACCTCAAACCATCTTCCCCAGGCATAGACCTGAGGCGAGTGTTACAGTATTTGTCACGTAACCTTCTTGCTTCACACAAGAAACCTTCAAAGGGGCGTGTTTCTCAAATAGATGGCTGAGCCACTGGACACTCTAAAAACTAACCTGTTGTGGACAGATACAGGCCAAACTGTTAACAGGGATTACCTAGGGGTAAGGAGGGAGCATGGGGAGGTAGGATGGTAAAGGGAAACTTAAGAAAAACTAAAATAAAATCACCTACTAAAAAGTTAAGAACCAAATTATTTGGTTGCTGGCCTTCTCAATGCTGGAAGCTAATAGGCCAGTGTAATAGGTTAATATGATGAACTTCAGAGGAAACAGGCTGATACAAATGCCAAGAATTTGCTTTGGCAAACAAGTTGGATGGAGTGCATAAGTTGGACAAGTATATCAGTCACAGCTGATATGCTGAAGATAGAGTCAACTTAAGTACACAAATGAAGAGTCACAGAGAACGGGATTTGGCCTTACCTTCTGGTTTTTCTGAAGGCTCCTCTGGTACACTGAAAACAGAGAAAGAAAAATTATTAAATAAATGCCTGAGTCACTTCTTTGTTTTGAGCTTCGTAGACAGCATCAACTTACAGTGTCTCCCTGGTACAATGGAGGGCTCTTTGAGGGTAGAATTGTTGAATGAAAGAGTCCCCCATCAATACTAACTGCCCATTTCAAATCTCAGCAGTATGGTGTGTGGGTAATTCCTCCAGGAGGGAGGGAGGCAGTGGTATGCTAGGGTCACGGAAACTGTAGAGTAAGTATGGTGTGTCTTCCTTCCTATGCGATCAGTAATCATTATGGTAAATAATGACCAAAAATGTTCACATCAGGACAAACACAATAATGCTATGGAGGAGAATAGAAAATCTATTTAAGTTTGTAAATAAAACATGCAGAATTCAAAGTAACTGGTTTTGGATGGTTGCTTTGGCCCATATTCCTAGATGCTCTAGGAGTCTTAGGTTCATGCTTCTTTGCTACTAGAAGTAGTGGAAACAATTGAGCAACACTGAGCCAACAAACAAAGTCTTGATCTGTCTCGCCAGAGGTATGAGCAGTTTCTGAAATTTGTTACCAGGTGAACTCTGTGTAGGCAAGTATGGAGGCTCTTCTAATTACGGATTACAAGCAAGAATGACTACCTAGATCAGAGTTGATATAAGCGATGCCCAACCATTCAGCAGGTGTGAACATGTCCATTTGAGTCCAGCTGAGACCAGTTGAAGCAAGAGAGGCTGGAAAATAGGTGAATTGGTGAACTAAGCTCAATGGCCTCTGTCTGGGGAAGGGCTAAGGAATCAAAGTCCTGATTTAAGAACATCATGTAAGAACCTTGAACACCTCTTCCTCTCACCCTACTTTCTCTCTTAGTGGTTTCTCTGACCAAAGTCAGTGTACAAACCCTTCAGTGTAGAGTTAATGGCATTTCAGTGTGAATGTTAAACATTTCTGGATTTGAAATGCTCTCATAATGAGACTCCTAGGAGTGTAGGGACCTGCGGAAGGGTGCAGCGGTCAATAATAGCAACAGCCCTGCTGTAGGACACTCACTCTTTGTTGCAGTAACTATAGCACTGATCACACACACGAGCAGGGTTCTCTCTGCAGCCTTCAACCACCATTTTCTTAGTGGAGCAGGAGCTGCACACTAGCCGGCCACAGCGGCGACAATGATGACGCCTGTTAAACTGAGGAATGCCATCAGGAGGAGAAGAAAGAGGGAGGAGAGAAGGGGAGATTGCCATCAATCCATTTATACATGGTATTAACTACCAGTGGCTTATACTTTCTAAGAACACCAACTGCTTGGGTCTCTATTGGAAAAGGACACACCAGTCCTTGCCCTCAAAAATTGAATGTTTAAAAATATCTGTCAGCTGATGGGCAAAGGTGCGAAGTCATGGAGCTTTGCGATAGCTCCTGACAAGTTCTACTTGTGTATGGAGGCAACATGTGGAAAAACAAGAAAAAGTAGTGGAGAAGAAGTCACTTTCTAAGCCAGTGCAGATCACATTTCTACATGGTATTGATGACAATGATTAAAAAGTATCCCTTTCAAAATGCCTTTATTTGTTTTCCCCAAGGTTATTTTAGCAGGTGCCATTTGTAACACATGATAAACATGAAGCAAGACTTTTAGGCTGGGCGCGGTGGTTCACGCCTATAATCCCAGCAGTTTGGGAGGCAGAGGTGAGCGGATCATCTGAGGTCAGAAGTTTGAAACCAGCCTTGCCAACATGGCGAAACCCCATCTCTACTAAAAATACAAAAATTAGCCAGGTGTGGTGGCGGGAGCCTGTACTCCCAGCTACTTGGGAGGCTGAGGCAGAAGAATTGCTTGAATCCAGGAAGCAGAGGTTGCAGTGAGCAGAGATCACACCACTGCACTCTAGCATGGGTGACAGAGCTAGACTCTGTCTCAAAAAAAAAAAAAAAAAAGACTTTAAAAACATAAACACTTAGGTACAATTTAATTTTACACACAAATTCTTAATTTGTATCAGTCAATTCAGAATGTCTCATCAGTCTTCTCCAAATTATATACCTTCTCTATACATCCATATTCTGATGTGTGTAATATAGTAATAATATTACCAAGCTCATCAGGTTATTGTAAAATTTAAGAGAGATAACTTAAGCAAAGCACTTAGTATCATGCCTGGAACATATACAGTAGGCAGTCAATAAAGGCCAACTGTTGTCATTATTAGAATTTAAAGATTAGAAACTCTTTCTATAATCTACCCTATATGTAAGTAAACCTTCTATATGGTGGTTTCAAAGCTAGAGAGCAGCTTGTCATGCAAAACTCCTTTTGGTGGCTTGTCATATGTCTCAACAAGCCACAACCAATTGTCCTCCTTGAAGATTTGTAAGTTTAAATAAGGAAAATACCTGACTCTGCTTTCCTAATATCTTTTTTTTTTTTTAAATCAACTTTTATTTTAGGTTCAGGGGCACATGTGCAGGTTTGTTACATAGGTAAACTCGTGACTCAGGGGTTTAGTGTACAGATTATTTTGTCACCTGGGTAGTAAGCATGGTACCTAGCAGTTTTTCTTCCCTGAACTTCTCCCTCCTTCCACCCTCCTCTGTCTCAAGTACACTCCGTGTCTGTTGTTCCCCTTTTTCTGTCCATGTGTTCTCAGTATTTAGCTCTCACTTAAAATTGAGAACATGTGGTATTTGGTTTTCCATTCCTGTGTTAGTTTGCTTTGGATAATGACCTCTGGTTCCATCCATGTTCCTGCAAAAGATATGATCTTGTTCTTTTTTATGGCTGCATGGTATTCCATGGTGTATATGTACCACTTTTCTTTATCCAGTCTACAGTGGATGGGCATCAAAGTGACTTTAAAGTACTGCTTCATTTCATTCTAATAGAAATATTACACCTCTTTTATAGATGAGGAGGAAACAGACACAGAGCAATTACATCACCATCGTTTTCATCAGCGTTGAGCTGATGTGGCATACTGGGCAGGTACTGCGTTAAGTATGGTGACACATATTATCATATTTAATCCTAACAGCTCCATGAGCCTAAGAATATATCATCCTTAGTTTACAAGTAGGCACATGAGACCAAAATAGTGTATAGTCACACTGTCATTAAGAGGCAGAGCCAGGATTAGAACCCAGGCCCTCTGTCTCCTGAGTCAGTGCATATAACCACTGCTGGGTCACCAGTCTTACTGTCAAAGACATGGGAGCCAGAAACAAGATCCACTGACACCTGTTGACTCCTCCTGCCTCTTTTTTATTATCTCATGACAATGGCAAAGATTTTAGAATTTATGGCTGTTTGAGGGTGTCTACTACCTGTCTGAATCCAGAAAATACATTCTGGTCAGGTCAAAAATGAACCCAAAGTCTTAGATTTGGCAGTTCTGAAAATACCGATATTCTCCTGGGGACAGGCGGTGATTGTAAACTCAGGCTCATGAACTAGAATTCTCCTTTACCTTCTCCTGAGGGTGACAGTGGAGACCGATGCTGCTTACCATGGTGAAGTGCTCCCTGCAGCAGACCATGCAGATACTCTCAGTCTCATCCGGTACCCACTGGTGCCTGGCAGGGGGTGTCGCTGGGGGCACAAATTCCTGTGAGGGCTGGGTTGGTGGGAAACTCCTTTCCCTTAGACTAGGGGAATGTATACTGGAGATACCTGGGAGGCAGAGCCAGAGGTCAGAGTAAAAGGTAATCAATATACCAGCTTATAGATGAAGAGGGAATGATAGAATTTTACCATTTTACAAACCGTTATTGAAAGAATAGATCCAGTTAATGATCATCAGTGACTGTTTGTGTCATAAAAGAGAGACAACTGAACATTGTGTGCCTCCTGATGGATGTGTACACCACCTGCTATCAAGTATACTTACTAAAAAATATTAAGCCTGAATCAAGTCCAGCTTCTAGACCTAACTACAAGTGTCCTGGAAATTCTGGGGATGAAGACGCAGATTGCCACAGGAAGGCAGTCAGCAAAATCCAGCATGTGGGAAGCTCCGGGGAACAAATGACTAGACTCCTCCACAAATAAAAAAGAGGTAGGGGGGATAAACAAGAAAAGAGGCAGGGAACCTATTGATTAAAGGCGCTTTAAGAGGCTGGTGCAGTGGCTCATGCCAGTAATCCCAGCACTTTGGGAGGGTGAGGCAGGAGAATCACTTGAGGCCAGGAGTTCAAAACCAGCCTGGGCAACTAGGCTGTCTCCATAGATGGATAGCAAGACTCCATCTATACAAAAGAAAAAAATACAGAAGTTAGCCAGACATGGTGGTGTGTGCATGTAGTCCCAGCTACTAGGGAGGCTGAGGTGGGAGGATTGCTTGAGCCCAGGAGTTCAAGGTTATAGTAGCCATGATCATACTACTGCACTCTGGCCTGGATGACAGAGGGAGACTCTCTTAAAAAAGAAAAAGAAAAAAAGATTTAAGAGATATTTCACCAAATGCCATGCCATGTATGGACATTATTTAGATCTTGAGTCTGGAAAAAACAACTATAAAAAAATCTTGATGAGACAGCTGGAGAAATTTGAATACTGACTTGATATTTGAGAATAATAAGGAATTATTATGAATTTGTTTCTAGATGTGATAATGGTATTATGGCTTTGTTTTATGAAAGTCCTTACCTTTCAGAGATTTATACTGAAATATTTATAAATGAAATGATGTGATATCTGGTATTTGCAAATTTTCCATAATAAAAACTCATATAGGCTGGGTGCAGATTATGCCTGTAATCCCAGCACTTTGGGAGGCCAAGGTGGGAGGATCACTTGAGTTCAAGAGTTCGAGACCAGCCTAGGCAACAAAGCAAGATCCTGTCTCTACAAAAAATAAAATAATTAACCAGGCAATGGTGGTGTGTGCCTGTAGTCCTAGCTACTTGGGAAGCTGGGGCAGGAGGAACTGACCTGCAGTGAGCTCTGATGGCACCACTGCACTCTAGCCTGGGCAACAGAGTGAGATCCTGTCTCCAAAAAAAAAAAAAAAGGCGCACACACACACACACACACCCCAAAGCTGCTCAGGCTGCCATTTATGCTCAGGCTGCCATTTATACAGATGCATGAAGCTGCTCATATACTTGCAAGGCTGAGCCCTCCCCTCAGCTCGGCTGGTTACCATGAAGCATGGCTAATTCTCAAAGTATGGCCAGAAAATGCCACAGTCTGCTTTATGATATGTAAAGAGATTTCTTACCATTTAGCAGAGCAACACTGGCTGGTCACAGAAAAAGAGAGATGTAAAACATAGTGACTCTTAGTAGCACTCAGAAGAAGAGACCTTAGAATCCTGCTCCTTTGACCATTTGGCAAAACAAAACACTTGGCTGAGCTTCTTTCGAGAGTAGGCCATTGTGTGGGGGCTGGAGACCAGGGGACTGGTGAAAAGGGTGACCAAGACATGGCTGAGGGCTTCAAGGAGCTTGTGCTTTGTGTGTGACAGTATGAACTTGAGGGCTAAGTACGGTCAAGGCTCATTAATACTAGATTGCATATTTGTAAAGTTGCTTGTTTGTTAACATTTGTAACCTCAAAAACAATACTCATCTTGCTTTTGTGGTCATTTGCAAACACATGCGGTCATGAAAGTTTTGAGTCACCCAATACTCAACACTCAAATTCCCAACTGAGGTTGTTTCAACCTCTATATAACAGTGACCTGGCTGGGTGTGGTGGCTCATGCCTATAATCCCAGCATTTTGGAAGGCCAAGGCAGGTGGATCACCTGTGGTTCGAGACCAGTTTGGCCAACATGGTGAAACCCCATCTCTACTAAAAACACAAAAATTAGCTGGGTGTGGTGGCACACGCCTTTAATCCCAGCTACTCGGGAGGCTTAGGCAGAAGAATTGCTTGAATCCAGGAGGCGGAGGTTGCAGTGAGCCGTGATCGTGCCACTGCACTCCACCCTGAGCAACAGAGCAAGACTCCGTCTCAAAAAAAAAACAGTGACCAGAAGATGGGGATGGTAGCGGACAGTGCGGGGTAGTGCCAGAAGCTCAGTGCTGGGGCTAGTTGAATGGGATTTGAATCCCAATTCTGGGACCTGTTAGTGGGGGTGGCCTGAGGCAAGTCACTTAACACTTCTGAATCTCCTTTGTAGAAAAAAGGAAATAGAATAGAATCGTCTAGGAAGAGTTGTTTTTAGGATTTAAGATTACCAACTATGTGAGATACGTGTATACATGTACACATTTCCCTTAGGAACAAGAGTTCTGGATTTGCTGGTTCAGTGTGGAGACTTTATAGACATACTGCCACAAATAACAATAGTTGACTGTATGTTGAATCTTTTGAGATATATATAAATCTGGAATGAACCAAGATAAACAATTAATAATGTTGTAACTGGCAATGAAAAAAAGAAGCAAAAAAAAAAAAAAAATTCTGAAGGATAGAATAAGGCAAGACTAAACTGAAAAATTTTAGTGAATCATCAGAGCCAGTTCTTACCAGGAGGAGCAGCAGGAGAGAACTCTGCTGATGGTGATCTAGGGAGGGTCTCGGGATCTGCAGCCTGGTGGACAATTTCTTGGAGGTGAATCACAGAATCTGTAGAGAGGGAAAATGCTGACAAAATATGGTTCTACCATAAGTATCTTGATTCACCACCCTAGGCATTTAGAACAAAGCTCTGTTGGCTTCTCTGATTGTCATTCCATGACTCTACTAGGTATTAAGAGAATGGAGGAGGTACCTCTAAGCCCATAGCACGCATGTTTCTTAAACGCCTCGAAAAACAAACCATGTTTAGGCATGTGAGATAATGAAATGGACACTAGGATTCTACAAAATAAATCAAAAAATGCCCAGAGGGAAGTGGAAGACGTTGAAATGATGCCCCTGGAGAGTAGGGAGTAAGAAAAAAGAGCTGGCTGGGAACATCAGTCCATACTTATTTCAGTTTCTTCAATGTAGAAGAGGCTGAGTCAGCTCACATACAAGTGATATCCGATGTGATCCTGGGAATAAGGCATACTCTCAATACCAAATGATGGCACTGAAGAGCCCGCTATATCAAGGCCAGACAGAGACCATTTCCAGCATATTTTGCTTTCCAAACCTTTATGTTATTATGTGCATGCAGTGGTTATCTACCACCTTTTAATTCTGGTCATTATTCTACTTCCTCCAAGACCAAGATCTCTCCTATATAATAAAGAGATAGCTCTTCTGAAGTGTATTCATTCACTCTAGATCAACCCAAAATATTAAAAGGGGAGCAAATTAAAACTAAGAATGCAGCATGGCATTTCTTCCTCCATGTAGAATCCCCTTCTAGGATGCTAGCAGTTACCTGATCGTTTCTCCCTCTGAGGGTATGGAAAGTCCAGGGCTTTCTCTGCGTATCTGGAAAGCAGTGAGTCCACCTCGTCCATAGTGAAGCCAATCTCCTGTCCAACCAGCAGCTGCTGGAGAGTCTGCACAGCCACAGTGGCCCAATCCACCTTCATGTTCATAAGCAGCTGCTCCAGCATGAACAGGGGGTTAGAGGACAAGTGGGAATAGCTGGCCCGGTGCTGCTCAGGCAGGGTCAGCAGAATCTGTTTGTGGGGTAGATCCATAGAGTAAAGAAAATAGTACACAAATTTCAGAAAAAACTCAAGATTCTCACTGGGAAGGGGAAGGGTGCATGAGAACAAAAGGTGCATAGCCAGCTACTGAAACAGACTCGCAGTCTTTTAGGAAGGCTGAGCTCCCCACTAAATTCTGCAGATGGTAATTGAGAAGTACTCCAAGTACCTTCACCAGATGAGGGGTTAGTAAACTTTTCCTATAAAGGATCAGAGAGTAACTATTTCAGGCTTCATGGTCCATAATGTCTGTCTCAAACATTCAGCTCTGCACATGTACCTTGAAAGCAGCCATAGGTAAAATGATAGTTGCACGTGTGTTCCAATAACACTTGCTTTACAAATGCAGGCTGGGGACTGGATTTGGCCCACAGGTGGTAGCCTGCTCACGCCTGGCCTGGACCCTCCAGGTATGATTGAGGTCTCCCTGACCCTTAATGCCACCATTCTGTTTATTTGAGGCTTTACTCAGAATGAGAAATACAAGGTAGTGTCAGTAGTCTAATGAAACCTGGCACCTCCTATGTCCTACAGGTAAACGATGAATCTAAGTTCTCCTTAGAAGTCACGATCACTAGGCTTGAAATATGTTCACTGACCCTGTTCACTGCCAGTTTTCAAGGGTTCCCCTACTCAGCTACAGCACATTGGGTGTATCTTCTTAAGGAACATGTTATGTAGTTCAACTCTTAGTAAGTGGGCCAGTGGTTATATTTATGGCTCTCTTAGCACTCGTTCTATTTGTGGGGTAGTATATAGGACTGTCAGGCAGAATAATTAGAAGAATGCCAGAGGGCCCTAGCTCTCTTCAAACTCTGCTTCACTGGATTACTTTTTCTAGCTGGAGGTTTCTTCTATTAATGTCTCCAAAGTTATACATCAAAGGTAAGAACTTATCTCACCTAATTACATAGACAACTAACCCTCTTCCACTAGCACAGACAAGTTTATCAAGCAGTCGTTTTAAATCCTTACATCAGAAGCCCTTTGGAAGATGTCCAGTCCCTATCCCAAGACCAGTTTTACTTGATCTGGGGTAGAGGTGAATAACCTGGTATTTTTTTCTTAAGTCCAGGTGATTCTAATATATTGTCAGCATTGAGAAGCATTGATACAGCAGATACCATGGAAACCATAAAGGCAACTTAAGAGGACCAGGTAGAATTCCCTATGGAGGCAGGACAGGAAGAGAATGACAAGTCCTAGGAGACTCAACTAGGATACAGAGGGCTTCTAGGGTAAAGATTTCATATAGCACAGGCCAGGGATGGCAGGTGCCTGGCAAAAGAGCCATTGAAAAGGCAAGTTCTGAAGAAGAGCTAGGCTCGCAGTCTCTCCCTCAGGTATGCCTTCCCAACACCTCCTTTTCCTCCTTACCTTGGATCCCACATACAGCGCCTGGATTTCACGGTGTATCCTTACCTTGGATCCCACATACAGCGCCTGGATTTCACGGTGTCGGACAGCAGTCAGTTGTCCATAGAAGTGGGTGGTGAGGTAGTTGGCCAAGAAGTGAGAAGTGGCCAAGCTAGTGTGCTGGTCGAGGGATTGCTCTGTCACTTCAAGGCACATGGTGGGGTCAGGGATTCTTCGCAGGAGCTATTGTCAAAGGGTAGAGGAGGAAGGTGTGGCCTGCAGAAGAGCTCTTAGACCAGCTTTGTTTTGTTTGAGAATAGAATATTTAGGTTTACTCATTTTGGACTAACCCTTTCTCTATACTCCTTTTTTTTTTTAACCACCTCTGTAGTTTCCCAAATGCCATGGCTTTGACAGGACCAGAATTCAGCAGAATTCTGGACCCAGCCGCCCCATCTGGCACCTAATGCAAGGCTAGGCCCCTTCTGCTCAAGATGACTATAACCAGCTCCTGAAAGATCAGAAGAGGCATAGCTGAGATTGCATGGGATTCAACATGAAAATAAAGCCATCTGATTTGACTAAACTTCTTGTCCCACCCCAGAAGAAAAATGGAAAGAACTGGGGGCTTACTTGCAGAGCCTTGTCATGATCTCTTCTTTCTAGAAGGTGGAGAAGATGCTTTTGATGAAGGCTGATTAAATGTTCTCTTGGAATGGGGTACAGGCAGCCCCACTCTTCACACAGTTCATACTCCTGGAAGGAAACACACATGCCTTCAACCCCTTTACATGACTGCCTGATTCTTCTCAGCAGTCTTGAGTCTACAAAGCCCCAGGAATGTTTATAAGTGCTGATGGGAACTTCACTATGATGAAAATGATTGAAGCAGGCTTACTGTTCATATCACTTTCCTCTTAGCACTACCATAAAAAAAAGCAGATGACATGTGGCAACAGACACTTGGTGTCAACCCTGGGAAGATTCTAAGGAAGTGGGAAAGACTGAAAAGACTGTTTAAAGGACATAGTCACCCATGCTATAAGAATGGGCAGGCCCAATGTTGTCAGACTTTAAAGTTACAAAACTTTTTTAAAATCATAAAATTTCTGTATTTTAAAATTTTGGCAATAAAGTCAATATGAAAAAATAAAAATTCTGTAGACCAATACTACAAAGGCCAAATAAACATGTTGGTGGTTGGATTCTACCCATGTTCCCCCTCACTACCCCCCAACCCCAATTTGTGAACTGTAGATGAAGTTTGAGAGAATAGAATTCCTAGGGCTTTGTTCAAATATTCCCACATGGTGGTGTCTGGAATGTCCTCCCCACAACCCTGCCTAGGACTGCCTTCTTCAGGATGCTTCCTTGTTTCTCAGGCTATGTTAGGTGCCCTGCCTGTGCTCCCACAATCTGAGCTTACTTCTGTCATTTGTATATTATGTTGCAGTCACCTAGGGATGCATCTTACATCACCCTCTCTCCAAAATGTGAGCCACTCCAGGGCAAGTACAGCTTAATAATTTTTGTTTCACCACCATCTACCACAGTGATTGGCAAATAATAGGCATGCAATAAGTACTTCCTGAATGAACGAACATTTCAATGAGCATCTACACAGTCAGCTTCTTAAAAGGTAGACAAAATCCTACTTACCACTCAGAAATCTAATAAACACATGAACAGATATTCAAATTTATTAGTTATCATGTAAATTAAAACAACAATGAGATACCATCTTATTGCAAACAATGAAAAGTTGGACAATATAAAAAGGTAACAAGGGGCCAGGTGCTGTAGCTCATGCCTGTAATCCCAGCACCTTGGGAGGCCAAGGTGGGCAGATCACTTGAGGTCAGGAGTTCAAAACCAGCCTGGCCAACATGGCAAAACTCTGTCTCTATTAAAAATACAAAAAAATTAGCTGGGCGTGGTGGCTGCCTGTAATCCAAGCTACTTGGGAGCCTGAGGCAGGAGAATCATCTGAACCCGGGAGGCGGAGGTTGCAGTGAGCCAAGATTGCGCCATTGCACTCCAGCCTGGGTGAAATAGCAAGACTCCATCTCAAAAATAATAATAAAAATAAAGATAAATAAAAAGGTGACATGGTTATGGAATAATGGGAACTGCGAGTGGGAGTGTAACTGGGGTGAGTGTTTTGAAGTGTGAGTTGGTAATATTCTAGCAAAGGTGAGGACACTCATGACCAATGACCCAGCAATTCCACTTCGAGAAATACATTCTGTACCTAACGTACACAATGTAGAAAATCTCAGGTATGAACACAGGATGATAATACAAAAGAGTCAATTGTATTAGTCTCTATACTTATCTGGATTTTGGCAAATTTCACAATAAAAAAGAATGTGGTATAGTTATTTTATTTTATTTTTTGAGACAGAGTCTCGCTCTGTCGTCCAGGCTAGAGTGCAGTGGTGCGATCTCGGCTCACTGCAAGCTCCGCCTCCTGGGTTCACGCCATTCTCCTACCTCAGCCTCTGGAGTAGCTGGGACTACAGGTACCCGCCACCACGCCTAGCTAATTTTTTGTATTTTTAGTAGAGACGGGGTTTCACCGTGGTCTCGATCTCCTGACCTTGTGAGCCGCCCGCCTCGGCCAGAATGTGGTATAGTTATTTTTTTAAAAAGTGAACATTGATATGCAGAAAGGGGCTTATACAGCCAGCTAAGGGGTTGTAACTCTGAAAGGAGGATGAAGGGGAACACCACCCAGGAAAACGGTACCTGTGCTTCTAGAATCATGTTCATGACAGTTGATGGGTCCTCAACACAACAGCTCCTCAAGGTCTGCCAGTCACACCACACTGGGGGAGACTGCAAACCCAGAATCTAAGGAAAGACAAGAAAATCCGTCAAACCACACTGCAGCTTCTCCCTCCATGAACAAGTCACTGGGCATGTCCACAGATGGGCCATCCCTAGATCTCTGCCCCAAAGTCAGGCTGTCAGAACTTGCCAGAAAAGAGAGCAAATTGGGCAAAGATTATTTAGAGAGCAGAGTGAACCTATCCAGGAAGAACAAGCAGGGAGTGAAGGCTGAATATGGAGGCCAGGACTGGGGCCTTTCACTAGTGAAGACAGTGCTCTCATGCTTCCCAGATTGTTCTGGGGTCACCTGTCCCATGCTCCTCTACCCCAAACTCCACCCAAGATATTCTTCTGGCTTGAATGCTCTGTGGGATCACCTTTCATACAACATTTTAGCTCTGCATGAAAACTGCCAAGGAAGAATAAAAAGAAACCTTTTTTCACCTGTCATTTTCACTACCCCTGGTAGGGTTTCTGGACTCTGTCTGCTCCAAGGATATGTTGGAAAATTAGCATCTATTTTATAGTTGTTATGTAGCCGTGCTTCCTAAATTTGTCTCCCTAAGCCTCTTGAGCTTGAACATAACAAATATCCCACAAGAATCTTTTAGTTTTGAAATTGTCACCTTCATATATCTTTTCAAAATAGCTCTTGAAATGTTGCTGAAATTTAAAACAAACTTTATAGAAGACACAATATACAAAAATATACACAAAGCTCAAAAAGACATGTGAAAAAGCCTTTTTGGACTGTAATACACCATTCCAATGTTAATTTTGTTATTTTTACCCTCACTTCATGCAAATGTATTTAAAATTATAGGAATAAGTAACACAGCAACCAGCTAGGAGGCCTCCCTGCTGTTCACCTAAGAACTGAAGCCAGATGCAAAGCAAAACCCAGACCTATATTTTCTCTTTCTTAAAGTCCCCCATCATATAAGATAGGTTGGGGTTGATCATAGAGTGAGAAGCCCGTTCCCTTTCTCTTGATGCGAGGGCCCATACCTTCTGATACACCTGCAGCTCCGCCAGCTTCCTCTGTAGCTCACACTTTAGTCCTTCTTGGACAGCCGTGTCTGAAATGCAGTAGGCCAGAATCTCCAGGCATGACTCCAGGGGCCACCTGTCCACAAACTGTAGGGCCAGCCGACTTCTCAGAGATGCATCCTTCACGGGAAACAGGTATTGCCAACCTTCTTTGTCTATAAGACAAAAAAGATGCTCAGAGGCAGCAAGCGTGGGACCAGAAGAGTTCAAGAGTCCAGGTTACTTCTTGAGAAAGGGCTTTCTTCAATCTCGTAAAAGAGGAGCTTGGAGGATCCTTAAGATGGATGTGATCTTAACTAGTTTTTACACTTGGAACCATTATATGACAAGGAAAATGCTGTATCTCTACCCTATGTGTATCTTTAGGTAAACCTGATAATAGCCATGAGACTTTCAGAAGGAAGAGAGGGAAAAGAGAAAGGAAGGAAGGAATGAAGGAAGGACAGAAGAGATGAAGCTCTCCATGTTTTGGCATGCTGAACATATAGGACTGTTTCAGACTCACCTTGTCAGTGAAACTTTCCTTTTCCCTGTAATTTCCACCCTGTGCCATACATAACCACTTGAAAGTTATTCCAGGTAGACTAGTTTCACTCCCTGACTTAGATCTCTCTCTTCCACACCCATTTCACAGATCTGATCTTGGAGATACAAAAAACAGACTCCAAGCAATTAAGAACACACAGCCAGTCAGTGGATTTCTCCACCTTTTCAAGGATGGATTTTCTCCTTTCCAAAGGGAGCCAAGCCTCCTACCCAAAAGTCATTCCCTACATCACACCCAACTCTTGTTGCAACACTGCTAGGAAATCCTAGTAGTGTTACAGCTCATTGGCTTTCCACTCTGGTTACACGTCAGAATTTCCTGGGGAGCTTTCAAAGCAGTGGTCATCAAACAGACCCACAATCTGCTTTTATAATACAGTTTTATTAGACTGTAGCCATGCTCATTTCTTTATATATTGACTCTGGCTGCTTTCATGCTGTACTGGAGGGGCTGGGTAGTTACGAGCGAGACTGTGGCTTACAAAGTCCTTTATAGAAAAAATGTGCTGATCCCTATTTTAAAGTAAACACTTGCCTGAGCTCTATCCTGGGCCTCTGGGGAAGGGACCCAAACATTTGTAGTCTGTAGAATTTCACAAGAATTGTGATATACAGTATTGAGAATACTGGTTATGCGTGGCTGTTTAAAGTCAGATGGACTTGGGTTCTAAGCTCTACTCTACCACTTACCACCCTGGGCAAGTTTCCTAACCCCTCTGAGACCTGGTCTCCTCTTAATAACATGAGATTATAGTGGGGCTTCTCTCTAGAGTTACCGTGAGGATTAAATGTGATAATATACCCAGTGAATACCAAATATTACCACTAGTGAAAAAGGGAGGCATAGCATTCTGCTCACCACATGCCACAGCACAGCTCAGGACTGCATCCTTTATGCTGCTCAAATCGTCCACATCTCGCCCGTACACTTCAGTGAGCTGAAGGGCCCGGGACCAATCTCTGGCCACCAAGGATTCCTCAAAAGCCTCACTCAGTACATCTAGGGCAATGGGAGAATGTAGGCCCAGGAGAACGGTAGAAAGACTGGCCCAACCACAGAGATTCACTGCCAGACTCTGCCCCTGCTGCAAAGACCCTCGCAGGGGCTCCCAGGCAGCCAGGAGGAAGGCCTCAAACAGAGGGAATTGTTCCAGAAGGCGCTCACACTCCCGGGCTACCTGCTCTGCAGCCAGAGGCACCTCCCTGCGGCCACGAAGTTCCTTCCATGACAAGCTGGGTTTGCTGACCTTTAACCTCGGGGAAGCCCCCAGGCAGGCCACCGTAGCTAGGAGCTTTGAGCGTGACTTAAGAAAGGCCAAGGCAGAGGAGGTGAGGGCTGGGAGTGATGAGTCCCTTGGGGAGGAGTAGGGCTTTCTTTCCAATGTAGGGTTCTCAGTTGTCCTCGGGGAGCTCGGTGTAGAAAGTGGGAGGTCATCCAGGCAGTGAGAGGCGTGTAGCTGGGCCAGAGTACCCAGACGAGTCAGGAGGGAGGAGGTCTGCTGGCTTTGCCGGGATGAGCAAAGAGCAAGGGGCTCACAGCAGCAGCTGACGATGACCTGTGGCACACTTAGGCTGAGATTCTCTTGGGCCAGAAGGGCTGCCAGTCTGGAAGGAGAGAAGCAGAAAGCATACAAGGCCTGAATACACAGGCACCATTAACCAGTCTTACAATTTCTTTATGCTTACATGAGCAAATGTAAATAAAAGTTCCTAATTGTCACACTCTTTTTTTAAAACACAAAAAGTAGCCTATTAGACATATCGCTCTGCCCTTTATGTTTTCACGAACACTTCTGCGAGATCTATCCATATCCCTCTACAGAGAGGACCCTCTTTAGTTTTTGCAGTTACATAGTATTCCATTATATAGATGAACAATAACTAGGCTCCTGTTAGTGGACAATGAATTTTCTGATCTGTTGGTACTATATACAAGATTGCAATGAAATGATTTTGCATATAAATCATTTATGTATAATAAAGCTGTAGGATAAATTATCCAAAATGGTTTGCTAAATCAAAGGGCATATGAATTTGCAATTTTAATAAATATTGACAAACTGCCTTCCGACAGAGGCTGTACAAATTTATGTCCCACTTGCATTCTCTGAGAATGCTGTTTTCCTACAGTCTAATCAACTATCATGTTATTGAATTTTTAGATTTTTGCCTATTTATAAAGTGCAGAGTCACCCACTGATTTCATACTTAACAATATACATGCTAAAGGTATCGAGAGAGAAAGCAGGAAACAAGGCACATTAAATTTTCAGTTATATAAGAATAAAAAATTCAGTCAGGAAGAAATCCCCACTCTCTGTGCTAACCCCAAGCACCACCGCACTGAGCCCTTGGCTATATTGATGAAATCATCCGAAGGCCCATGGCTGACTTGCATGGAGGTGGCTCCTACCTCTCTGGGGGAACTTGTCTCTCAAACAGGAGATGTGACACCAGTTGGGAAGAGCTCTGTTGCAGCAGAACAAAGGGATTTCCTACCTTGACCTCCACATGATCTGCAAAGGTAAAGAACATGATCTTTGTTTGCACCACTGACTGCAAGAGTTCAGAGCCCTGTTTCCCAGAATTGAGAAAAAAGTACAGTGTCAAGATGAAGACAATATGGAGAGCCTTCTGTTAATTCATTCTAGGTAAAGGGTATTCTCAACATGAACCTGACCACAAGTTTTATCTATATCTTACCACTGCTCTAAAGACTTCCAACCCCAGACGAACTTCAGTGGGCAGATCTAGCCACGGACAGCCAACTCCTGCTCTCTTCAACCCGACTGAAGTGCATGTAGTACTCACTCTGTGGACTTAAGAATCTGGTACTCATATCAGAGACTTGATTCCTCTGCTGGGTGCTCAAATTCACAATGGACCACAGGTCTGACAGAGATATTTTTGAGTCGCTAATTCCAAGAAAATTAATTGAGTACTCCCATGTGCTATACAGCTATACTAGCACAAAGATGAGTAAAATAGCCAGAGATGAATAAGAGAGGACAACCTTATAAATCTAGTGTTCTTGGCTACTGCTGTATCCAGAGCCTTTCAATTGTGCATCTTTTCTCTTCCTTGCCCTGAACACTTGCAGGTCTGCCATGAATCTATTGCCTCTTTCTTGCTACCTACCAGGCTCAGAGCTCAAACTTTGAAGGAGAACTGCAGCAAGGGTGCTGCAGTAACTGAAGAAGGTGCCCAAGTAGTCCATCTGCCTGCTGCCTGATGGGGTCTGTTTGCCCAGGTTCTTCTGGAGGAGCTGAGTCTGGATCTGCACAGGGTGGGCCTCTGCCTCTGGAGCTTTCTGGGCTGCCTGCTCCACCAGGGAAGACAGTGGAGGAGTCCTGGGCTCTGAGAGGAGGATGGCAGGAGAAAGGACACAGGCTTCAGTCTGTGAGTCCAGCTTTGGGTCAATTTCTGACTGGATATGTGAACTGTGCCCCCTATACACTGCCTGGGGCATCTGATGGCCTGGACACTACACTTACAAGGCAAATATAAAATCCTAAGTCAGTCACTTGGACAAGTGATTCCCAGCCAGGGAAAGCTTTGAGTCTGGAGTGTATAAAATTACTCTGGTGTGTATAGTTCTATTTTTATCCTTGTCTCTGGGGTGGAACAACTTTATGAAGAACACAGCAATCTTTTGGGGAAGGGTTCATCAATATTTACTAAGCACCTGCTGGCTGTATTTCTTATTCATCATGAGAAAATGTATCAGCTGATGGAGTGTTCACCATTCTTTCAATTGAGAGGTGGGAAAACAGGTGAAGTTAAGTTACGAGACATTGAGACATGCCCTGGCTAACTAAAGGGCTGATAGATCCCAGTTCTGGAGTCCCAAGCCTCTGCTCCAAAGTGCTTCGTTACTCTCAGCTGTTTCCTCTCCCCAGTTCAGCTTTTATTTGTTCCCAAGCAGACAGCCTTATACCTGGCAGCTCTAGTGCCTCTCTCAGTGACTGAAGGACCTGATCTAGCTGCTGGGAGAGGGTGGTGTGGCTGGCAACACAGTCCTCGCTTAGGCTGGGCCAGCACATCTGAAGCAGTTCAGTGATGCTGCACCGTGGAGGGCCTCCTCCCTTTTCTTCCACACTCTCTATGGAAAGCAAATGAGAAAGAAAAAGTAAAGTCTGTTGCTGACCTAATGTTCCAAGTCCAGGAGAAGAAAAGAGAAAAAAGCAACTCACCTGATTTGGTTTGACTGGCTGACATAAGCAGATAATTGAGACTCTTACTGATTTGCTGAAGAACAACTGGAAAACCTCGAATGCCATCAGCATTTAGGAGTACGTGGTCTATCCGTCGACCTGGAAATAGATGAAGGAAGAGGGAATGCAAAAAAAAAAAATTGAAGTGTTTTCAGAGATTGACACTCAGTCCTGTATTTACCTGTGAAATTTTATCCTCTCCAATATTAAGGAGGAAATACATGCTGTGCCATTTTGGGTGACAACCAGTATACTTGGCTTATTTCATGCCTGAGATTCTAGGACTGACTCTGGCAAGATGCCTCAGCTGTCAACAACATCAGCAGATTCAGAATCTCTGGCACTCCTATGGAATTGTTGTCCCAAGCCAAATAGATTTGCCTTGGTACTGCCTTCAGTTGTACTCAACTTGAGCGGAGATCATATGTCTTCTTTAATTGCTTTAAGTGGTATCTTGACACTCCAACTAGACTATGAACAACTTTATGGACACAGATTATTCCTTACATCTCTCCTATACTCCCATATGCTCAGGATAATCTGGAAACACAGTAGTCACTAAATTAATTCCTAAATCAGTATATTGAAGAGATATTTGCACTCCCATGTTTCTTGCAGCACTCTTCACAATAGCCAAGATTTTGAAGCAACCTCAGTGTCCATCAGTGGATGAATGGATAAAGAAAATGTGATACATATACACAATGGAGTACTATACAGTTATGGAAAAGAATGAGATCCAATCATTAGCAACAACTTGGATAGAACTGAAGATCATTATGTTAAGTGAAATAAGCCAGGCACAGAAAGACAAACACCACATGTTCTCACTTATGTGTGGGATCCAAAAATCAAAATAACTGAATTCATGGAGATAGAGAATAGAAGGATGGTTACCAGAGGCTGGGAAGGTAGTAAGGGGTGGGGGAAGATGGAGATGGTTAATGAGTATAAAAAATAGTTAGAGGCCGGGTGTGGTGGCTCACACCTGTAATCCCAGCACTTTGGGAGGCTGAGGTGGGTGGATGGTGAAACCCCTTCTCTACTAAAGATACAAAAATTAGCTGGGCGTGGTGGCACACACCTGTCATTCTAGCTACTGCGGGGTTGTGGGGGAGGGCTGAGACAGGAGAATCACCTGAACCCAGGAGTCAAAGGCTGCAGTGAGCCGAGATGGCGCCACTGCACTCCAGCCTGGGTGACAGAGTGAGACTCTGTCTCAGAAAAAAAAAAAGTTAGAAACAAGGAATAAGGCCTAGTATTTAATAGCATAACATGGGGGCTACAGTGAATAATAATTCAATTGCACATTTAACAATAACTAAAAGAGTCTAACTAGCTTGTTTGTAACACAAAGGATAAATGCTTGAGGGGATGGATACTCAATTTTCCATGATGTGATTGTTAAGCATTGTGTGCCTGTACCAAAAAATCTCATATACTCCATAAATACATACACCGACTATGCACCCACACACACACACAAATTCCTCATTGATTGACCTGAAACTGTTTCAGTGATTAAGAGCTTGAATAATATTTTATTTTAGGATATAAGTATTAGATGAGGGGAAGAGCAGATCACTGGACACAAACAGCATTGTATAAGCCACTGTGTACTTTCTTTGAAGGACTATAGGGACTATGTAAACATTAAAGGACATTTTAACCAACAGCTCAGAGGTGATTTGGAGGGGTGTATAGAAAAGAGTTAAACAGCAGGCTTGACACTGCTATCCTTAGAACATCTGCTTGCAAGGTTGGCCCTTGGCTGGCACTGTGGACTTGACTGGTAAGAAGTTTCCTATGCTTACGTACTTTCCCTAAATAATAACAGTGGCTCACTGGCCCTAAACTCTTTGTACAATGTGGTTTATGCTGAACACCTGCTTTCCTTTTAGGAATCTGGAATTTGCTACATGTTAAGCAGAGGGTGTTTTTGTCACCAGTCCTCGAAAAAAAAAAACCGTGGGTGGTTGGGTGCGGTGGCTCACGCCTATAATCCCAGCACTTTGGGAGGCTGAGGCAGGCGGATCATTACGTCAGGAGTTCGAGATCAGCCTGACCAACATGGTGAAACCCAGTCTCTATTAAATATACAAAAATTAGCCGGGCGTGGTGGCACGTGCCTGTAATCCCAGTTACTTGGGAGGCTGAGGCAGGAGAATCGCTTGAACCCGGGAGGTGGAAGTTGCAGTGAGCAGTGAGCCGAGACTGTGCCACTGCACTCCAGCCTGGGGGACAGAGCGAGATTCTATCTCAAAAACACAAACAAACAAACAAACCTTGGGCCTTGAGTCTCTAATGAGCTTCCCTATATACAACACCTTGCAACTGCTGGCACAACTCATTGCTGGAGAAATAGGCATAGGCATGCCCTGTGTAGCCACAGGGAGAGGACTCTTGGAAGCTTGCACCTGGTTTCCTCCAGATTTTATCCTATGAGCCTTTTTACTTTGCTGATTTTTCTTTGTATCCATTTGCTGAAATAAATCTTAGCTCTATGACGATAAGCTGATTCTTGAGAGTTCTCCTAGAGAATCACTGAACCTGGGGGTGGACTTGGGGACCCCAGACACATGGGGCTACTCATATCATAACCTATTCACCACTCCTCCCTCTATATTACTAAGGCAGAACAGGTTCCTTTCTCCTCCACTGCTCAGTCCTTCCAATGTTTGGTGCAAGTAGCAAGGACAGGTGTGGGGAGTAGAACGTTGCCTAATTCTACCTTCATATACTGATGCCTTCACATACCTGATTTCTCTAAGAATTCTGTATGCACATTCTGCACTGTTATTCACCTCAAGGTATGATCATCCCTCCAACTGTGACTCATTAAGTTTTCCCTTACACCTGGCTTACAAATTCAAGATGGTCTCAGGTTTTAGGTTAAGTGAAGTTCACCAAGGAGAAAGGCATGGAGTCTTAAGGCTCGAATTCCATTGATACCATTTTAAAATGTATATTTCTTCTTTGAATTCACCTATAATTCAATAAAGAATTTCCCCAAATTGCTATGTCTATTTTGTCTCTCAACAGACTGTATTTATGCCATCAGATTGTATGTGACAAAATTTCATAATCCATTCACCATCTGCCTCCTCCAATAACTGCTTTCTTCCTGGACAATTTATCAAGACTCTCAGAAACCCATCTCATTTGAGAATGAAGGGATACAGCTAACACAGCACACTCACCCCGCCTTTCAAGGCTACTATTCAAACGCCGTTCGGCTGTCTCCAAAAGCTGCTTGCAGGTTTTCCAGAGCTGGCACTGAGAGCAAGCTAGGTCAAATGCAGCCATGGCAGGGGGACTGAGGTCTTCCAGAACCTCTCTCAGGGGAGCAGTGGGCTCCACTAGAGCCGTGCTTATCCAAAAGTCCTCCTGGAGCATGGGGATGGGGTCTCCAGAGGTGTTGAGCAGCTTGTCAGTCACGTCAGAGATAGAGTAAAACACCATTCCTGGCCGCCCAGCAGAGGAATAAAAAGCAAAGGGTTAAAAGGATTCTTACTACAACTTTTATTAGGTAAAGTAGTTACTTTCAAAATGTTTGAGGTTCATCTGCACAGGGTATCTTTCATGTATATTAGCACTATCATTATGGCCCACTCTTATAGCTTCAAAACAGTGGCATGAAAGGAAGACCAAGAGACTCAGAGTGGTCCAGATGAGGGAGGGCTTTTTCCAAACGGAATCTCAAAGTAGGTTCAGAAAGAATGACGTAGATCTGTGTGTGCTAATCAGAAAAGATCTCTAGAACGCATCACTAAAAAGCAAGGTAGACTATAGTATTGTCCTAAGAACCTATTTATATTAAAAACAGAAAGGATGTGTGTATGTTCTTGTGAATAGGCATAGAAAATTTCTGGGATAATATATAGGAAGCAATATGTGATGGTACCATGGTATGTAGGGCCTAGGCCAGTAAGAGTTGTGAAAATGTGGAACAAGATTCCAACTTCAAGAAGTAATGAAAGGATGGGCTCTTTTGCAGTGCATCCAAGGTTGGGAAACTGAGACCTGTGAATTCTAGGCCTTAAATTTTAATACCCAACTGCACTTTATAGAACAGTAAAACAATATGCTTTATCCCTGAGTAATTACATGGGAAGGAAATAAACTCCTAACCATTTCCTGAAGCCAGAGACAGTGGCCATCAAAACACAGGTTAAAAACAGCATTCACAGGCTTCATTTAAATCACACAGGATAAGCTTTATGCAGTAGGTTGAGTGGTGGTATCTGAACAGCCTGGGCAAGGAGGATGGGCACAGCTGGAAAACTGGACGTATCAGGTTTGCTGTTTTTCAAGGCAGGTGTCCTGTATTTAATTTCTGCTCACCCTCATGAGGAGCCTAGGATTTTAGTGGTTTCTCCCCTTTTACCCCCTCTCCCAGCCACCTCACCACTTATGGTGTTAGCAGGGAAGCCTGACCTGCTGCTGCAGCGCTGCCAATGGCCTGTAGAGTTGAGCGGCCACTGCCAGTTCTCCGAATGGTGCTGCTACCCGCATCTGAGTTCTGGTTTTCAATCTTGTGCTCTACTTGGGCCAGTTCTTGGATCACTTCCTGGTAGCGCTCCATGAACATCAGTTCCCCTGAACTGGGTGAGGACTTCAGGTTGAACGTGAACAGCACCTGTCATAGGAGAGGGAGTGTGTGGGCCCTGGTGGTCCCACTGATTTAGGGAATGTCCATGGATAGGAGATCTTGCCAACCATTAGACTGTGGCCCTAAGATGTCTTTGTGCTTTGTAGGGTCAGAAGAGCACTGAATGTTAGAAGAGCAGGTCAACTATAAAAAATAATTCATAAAAGTAAGAAAACCACCAAAGCCTCAGTAGAAAATAGGCAAAAGATGTGGACAATTTCAGAGGAAATATATATGACTAATATATAAATGAGAAAATATTTTTTCCCTTGTCAGTAATCTAGGAATTTAAGTAACAATAACATTTTGCATCTATCACAATAACAAAGCACAAAAATAAATCCTCAGGAGATGGTGTAACATTAAGTGTCACAACTTTTTTGAAAAGCAATTTGGCAATCCATAAAGCTTTAAAAATGTTTACATCTTTTGACTCAGTAGTTTTTATGAGGAACTTTCTTAAAAAAATAATTCAAAAGGCTTAATGCCTAAACGTAATCACCTTGGCACTATATATTACAACTATTACAAGGTTAAAAATAATCTAAATCTTGAGCAACAGGAAAATGGTTAAATGCAGCTACTTGATCAGACTATTGTAAGGTCACTAAAATCAAGGTTAAAAGACAAATGCTAATATTAAAATGTAAAAATGCATGATATAAAGTTTTAGATTTGAAATAATCTCAGCTATATAAAAGTCATACATATTTTGGAGAAATATTGGCCAAAAAAATAAATTTTTAATATTGGTTGTTCCATACTATAGGGTTAAAAGTAATTTTATTTTCTTGTTAATACTTTCTGATATTGTCGTATATGTACAACTTATTCTGTCTGTATCCAGGTCAAAAAATAAAAGTTTTTATTGAAAAAAAAAAAAAAGACCACGGCTCAAGAAAAGGAGGAGAAGTGGAGGACATTTAGGGGTAAAATATCATGGGACTCCTAGCTAAATTCCTCTGGATTTGAGTATTAGAAAGGCTGGGGAGGGGCTGGCGTGGTGGCTCGTGCCTGTAATCCCAGCACTTCAGGAGGCCAAGGAGGGTGGATCATTTGAGGTCAGGAGTTCAAAACCAGCCTGGCCAACATGGTGAAACCCCGTCTCTATTAAAAATATAAAAATTAGCCAGGAGTGGTGGTGTGCACCTGTAGTCCCAGCTACTCAGGAGGCTGAGGCAGGAGAATCGCTTGATCCCAGGAGGCAAAGACTGCAGTGAGCCGAGATCGAGCCACTGCACTCCAGCCTGGGTGAGAAAGTGAGACTCTGCTTCAAAAAAAAAAAAAAAGAAAAAGAAAGGCTGGGGCTGGGGAGGGTCCTATCCTCCTCCAAGGATCATAATTATAATTATCATTAAAGTATAAGATCTAAAATGATCAGAGAAGGTTAAGTAAAAATTGTCCTGTTACCTAGAGTTCCCTAGATTTATTCCTCAAAAACTGAACTCACATGAAAGAACAATTCTGACCTACATGTTACGTAGATAAACTACCAAATACTTTACTACCAGTAAAAGTATCATTAATATGCCAAGAGGGTTTTAAAAATTAGAAGAGTACTATTTTATGTTATTAAGTTTAATAACTTGTTATTAAGTTTAATCAATAGTAGAGGATTTTTATATTTCTCACGGCTAGAACATAATCCTCTTAACATTCCTATGAGGTAGAAAAACCAGGTATTACATTTAACTCCAATTTTCAAATGAGGAAACCAAAGCTCAGAGAGGTTCAGTCTTTCTGATTACCATTCCAGTGCTATTTTCTCTCTACAATACAAATATTCTAGTCTGCTAGCTCTCCATACTTCTTGTATATTGAACTGGCATTCTATTTATAATTGAGACTGGGCGCAATGGCTCATGCCTGTAATCCCAGCATTTTGGGATGCCGAGGCGGGTGGATCTCCTGAGGTCAGGAGTTTGAGACCAGCCTGACAAACATCGCAAAACCTCATCTCTACTAAAAATACAAAAATTAGCCAGATATGGTGGTGCATGCCTGTAATCCTAACTACTCGGGAGGCTGAGGCAGGAGAATCGGTTGAACATGGGAGGTGGAGGTTGCAGTGAGCTGGGATCGCGCCACTGCACTCCAGCAGCCTGGGTGACAAAAGCAAATCTGTCTCAAAAAAAAAAAAAAAAAAAAAGAAAAGGAAATTGTATTATAATTTTTAACTAGATAAAAACATGGGCTGGGTGTGGTGGCTCATGCCTGTAATCCCAGCATTTTGGGAGGCTGAGGCAGGTAGATCACTTGAGGTCAGGAGTTCGAGACCAGCCTGGCCAACATGGCAAAACCCTGTCTCTACTAAAAATACAAAAATTAGCCTGGTGTGGTGGGCACCTGTAATCCCAGCTGCTTGGGAGGCTTAGGCAGGAGAATCGTTTGAACCTGGGAGGTGGAGGGTGCAGTGAGCAGAAATCGTGCCACAGCACTCCAGCCTGGGCAACAGAGCAAGACTCTGTCTCAAACAAACAAACAAACAAACAAGCAAACAAACAAAAACCCATGTATATGTTCAGAGAAGGAGTCAAGGAGAGAAACAAAAGTTTCCATGCTTTTAAGTGGTGGGAGTGTGGCTGAATATTTTCTTTCACCTTTTAAAAACACTGCTTATGTTAAGAACCACAAACAATTCACTATCTTTCAATCCACCCTGCTGAAGACTGGGCCTGGGCACATGGAAACCCCCTCTTGCTTCTGCTTCTTCTGCTTGATGTGGACCCCTGAGTGCTCCCAGGTG